>NC_000010.11:105446125-105749155 GCF_000001405.40 Homo sapiens | reverse complement strand
ATAAAATGGCATGTACATTTTTAGATTCGCTGTGTATTTCCTTTGCAAGATATGCTCACTTTATCTGTGAATGAGTTCACAGGTGGTTGCATATTTTAAATATACCTGAAGAACCAACACGCATAACTTAGTTATGCGTGGAAGGAGAGTGGAAGTGGGGAGAACAAGAAAGTCAGTGTAAATGTGGTTAAAGAGGAAAAGCCTTGAATTCAGAGCTAGTAGGGGGGTAGGTTTTTATTTCATCACCATCACAATCTGAATAACTCTATAAAAACTACAATTATATCTTCTAGTTTTGCCATCTGTATAATAGGTGTAATTGCCATTTTCCTGCATACTTCATTGTATTGATTCACCAAAAAAAGAGATGTATTTTGACAACTCTGAAGCCAAGAAGCCTCTAGATTCAAAATGATGGATGATATTGGCATTTCCTCCTAACCTTCTACCCCTAGAGCAGGTATATTTGTCCTCCTCTCCACTCCAGCCTTGAATGCATTGTATGTTAGAGTTTTCAGCTAAACTTGTGTTTATCTTCTCCACCTGCTCAGTAAATCTCTTTTACTGTTTTGTTTACTGGCTCAAAATTAGGGGGTTTATATTCTAAGTGTATCTTCACAGAAATGCAAATGGATTTTACGATAGCTAAAGTCAGCTGCTCAAGCACACTAGTTTGCTGACCTTTCATGGTTGCTTTGGAGCTTAGGACATTTAAGAGCCAAAACAAAGACAGGTCACCTGTCTGTGCATGCAGTTCTACTCATTTTCAACAAACATTCATTTCTTACATGCTCTAACAAAACCTTATGTTGGGTGCTTGAGGAATAAGCAAAGTTGATTAAGATTATGTCCTCCAAGAGCTTCCAGTCAATTCCAGTGAATGTTGCTATTTTTTTCTATTTACAAAAATACACTATCACAGGCAGTATAATCATGTGGAAACCTCACATTGGAGCCAAGAAGAAAATGAAAGTTTCTAGAGTAACTTTCACAGTTCTTAATATCATTAGCCTATTTCAAAATAAATAAGAAACTACCAGGATTGTGGTGAGCCCATATGATAACAGAAGCCTAAACACTCATAATGAACTGCCCTAAAAAGATGGAAAGTTAGCAATTTCTATGCAGTTTCTGTCAGGCTTTCTCCAAGGCAATGAGTGGAATATAGGAATCATTATGTAGGCAAATGAGGTTGGCATTAGGCACAAAAAGTCCCACTGGGAATGACAAACGTGCTAATGCTCATTAATTATTTTGGCTTATTAGCTTAAAAATATAGGAAAAAGAATTCTGTTTCTTTTCCTATGTTTGGGTTTGTTATTTGCTTTATAAAATGCAAAGTGCAAAAGAACCGTATCTAGTGCTGGAGTGTCTAATTAAAGTAATCCCTTATATATTGTATTGTTGCTATGTTTTCATCTTAATATCAACATTTCCTACTGAGTGTGCGTGGTTAGAGTTGTGTTTGTCCAAGGTTTACATTCAAGACTCATGTCACAAACAAAACAAAAAGTGGATTTTTATATGCAAGAGCCCAGGCATTGCCTCTTTCGAACTGAATCTTCTTACGTGTTCCACAGCTAAGTTAAAAATGGAAGAGCCTTTGTATGTATATATCACAGTGTCTTTATCCATTCATCGTTCAATGGACATCTAGATTGTTTCTTGGCCATTATGAATAGTACTGTGATGAACACTGAAGTGCTATATCTCTTCAAGATCCTGATTTCACTTCCTCTGGGTAAATACCCAGAAGTGGGATTGCTGGACCCCACATTATAGTTTTATTTTTAATTTTCTGAGGAACCTCCATACCGTTTTCCATAATGGCTGCACAATTTTGCATTTTTACCAGCAGTATATAAGGGTTCTGGTTTTGTAACATGCTCACCAACACCTGTTGCCTTTTGTTTTGTTTTTTTGTTTTTGTTTTTTTAGTAATAGCCACCCTAACAAAGAAAGAAATCCTGCAATATGTGACAACATGGATGAACCTGGGGGAATTATGCTAAGTGAAATAAGCCAGTCAGAGAAAGACAAATACAATGATCCTTCTTACATGAGGTATCTAAAATAGCCAAATACCTAGAAGCAGAGAGTGGAATGTTGGCTGCCAGGAGAAGGGGAAAGGGGGCAATGGGGATTTGCAAGTCAACAGTTACAAAGTTTCAGTAACACAAGAGAAGCGAGTTCTAGAGATCTGGTGTACAACATTGTGCCTATACTTAACAATATTGTATTGTATACTTAAACATCTGTTATGAGGGTAGATCTCACGTTAAGTGTTCTCACCACCGTAAAGATAATGTTGTAAATGGCAAAGTCTTGGGGTCACTCTGCTGTTTCTTGGGGTGACTGTAAAACTACAGAACCATTCTGAGGGTCCCCACCATGGTGTTCATGAGCAGGATAGTGTATAAACATCAGTGCATTTTCAGCTACCATGTCTGAGTAAGAAGGATCTGAAAATATTTAGGTGGCCAAATGCACAATACAACATCATTCTGTATCTCTGTCTACTATTTGGGAAAATAAATCCCTGCCAATTCTGAGCAGCTTCAGGAAAGCTATTTATTGTGACTAATTATTCTGGGGCTCCAGAATATCTAGGCAGCTTTCCTGATCTCACACGCCTCAGCTATTTGCCAGTACGTATGATATGCATGGGCACTACAATTGGGTTCTTAATGCCTAGTCTCATTAAATCAGTTTTATTTTTTGTTTTAGGGGTTATTGTATTTGTAGAATTCTATTCCTTTAAACATGTGTTCCCATGCACCCAAGCCTGGATGTTCAATAGAACATAGGTGATTCCATTAACTATCTCACTGATTGCATCCATAAATAACTAACATGAAAACAAATCAGTTTTACATTCAGGTGCTTATTTCCTAACCCCTCTTGCTCTTCCATTTTTGCTCATAGTTGCGTTGAACATTACCCTGTCAACTCTTCAAGTATTTGACTACAAAATATGCTTGGTAAATAATATAGGGAGATTAACTAAATGGTACATAATTACCACAAATTTAGAGTCCTGTAAAAGAATATATTTTATCCATGATTAGAAGGCTTACAGACTTTCCAAATCCATTTTAATATATTTGACAGTAAGCCATGGGAAATTTTAAACAGCAGACAACGCTTATTCAGAATTTATAATAAGTTGGCCCTAGATTACCGTATTATTAAAGACTTCAGCACATGAAGCTGCTAATTTGTTTCCTTTCCTAAACACACATGCTCCCTCCCAGCACGTTGTTACCACCCCCCACATCAGCAACAACTATAAACCTCTCTGTGTTGAAAGCTGCGTGGAATTGAAATATAAGTCGATTTTTAAACTTTGCCACACTAACAAGATATATCAAGTTCTGGCACACACTCAAACAAGTCAATTAAGTAAAGCAATGAAGCAGTACAAGAAACTCTAAATTTTTCCTTTTTTTTTTTTTCCTTTACTTAACTGGTGCCAGGGAAGGCTGGGCCCACTCTGTCTGGCAAGGGAAAATGTCCGTGTAGTAATTGTCTGAACAGCTTTGAAATGTCACTAAAAAAACTTCATCTTCTCATAACAGGTCTAGGACCATGAAACCAGCATGCCTATCTAGGAGCAACTGGGGAACCCCACTAAGAACTTGCACAATTTTTTTAAACTGGTCATCAAATGGACCAGAACTGATGAATACATCTTATCTCTATCCATGCTTTCTCTCCAAAAATGTGTTTTCATGTTGAAACAACAGTGCCATTGCCATCTTTATCCCACATAGGACTCCTTGGCATTGACTCTTCCACCAGCAGCTGGTGGCATGACTCTTTGCTAAAACCTTCCTTTGCTAAAGCCTTCCATGAGATTGTGCTCAGTTCCCATTGTGCTAGCCATTTAGGCTAGACACGTATGAGGGTGGACACCCCAGGAACAACCCTAAAGAGGTAGGAACTGGTGGGTCAGCTTCCTTGCTAATCGGGTGGTGTGATTCTGATCCTATCCCATCTCCCAATGGGCCCCAGCAGGGTGAGCCCCAGCCCAGCAGTAACCTGCTCATTAATGCATCCTGTCATTGGTGTCCTTCCCTTCTCTCTCTCATTCTTCAATTCTCTTATCGATGCTTCTTAGATCACTTCCCAAATAAACTACACTTAAATATTTTCCTCAAGCCCTCCTTCCATGGGAACCCAATCAAAGGCAAAATTTATTATAACTAAGGTGGCAAGAACATGGATTCTCCAGTCAAAATACCAGGGTTTCAACTTTGTCTCCATCAGACTAGCTGTATGATTTTGGGAAACAAACTTATCTTTTCGTCATTTTGCCTCAGTTTACTCATCTTTTGTGATTATCACATGGAATAATGTATGCAAAACACACTTAAAATATTACCTGGCACATAGCAAATATCAAACAAGTATTAAGCTAAAATGAATTACTATTATTACTATTATTGTTTTGGCCAAACATTGAGCTAAGTGCTGGGATAAAACAATAAATTAGTTAAGATAAAAATCATATCCTCGAATTGCTTATAATCTAGAGGAAAGCTAGACATACAAACAAAAGTCAGAATAAAATCAGTAAAAACTGTTGTGTGTTAAATAGAGTTTGCTTTTATCTTCCATGAATGTGTGGATGGATTTCTACTTGACATAAACATGTGTTTATCTACAAGAATAATTGAGTATAAATGTAATTTTCCTTGTTATTTAAGTGAAATACTATAGAGTTCTTATAAAACTAACACTAAAGGATCCTGCTTTAAATTAAATTTAGCAAACACTGATGCCTGGATTAATCAACTTACATATTTTGTGTGTTGTATTCCTTTAAAATTAGGCTAATCTGTATTGAAACACTTGTCAACTGCTGCTTGTAGCCTCCATTCATACCATGGTCCGCCTTCAGTCCAATAAGCCGAGAGGCTGCAAGAGGATGAACAACATGGTCACCTGTAGGCTGATTGATACACTAATGCAACCATTCCATTTCATCAGAACATTTTCATTGTTTATCCCTGGAAATATCAAAAGGCAGTTTTCAGAGGAGTCTTTCATATTGTCCCAAAGGACAACATTAATACAGGATAACAAGGAAGAGATGGACAGTGGAGTAGGAGTGCTTAAACCGACCCCGATAATGCAGTGTACCAGACTATGCTTCTGAATGTGCACTATGCTCACTTTATTAGATAGAAATGTACCTAATGGAACAATTTTAATGAGGAGACTTTGTTATCCATTGGGCCAGGACCCAGTTGGCTTCATGATGAACCTGTGCTTGGTTCTGGGATAGAGGCCAGTGCCATGTGGTACATGCAGAGTATTGAGAGAAAAGTTTGTTCACTGGCCCAAATCCAGAAATGAGTCTGACAATAGCAGCACCAGCTCTAATTAGAAGGGAAAAGTCTGTTTGTTCCTTCTGTGTGCTATCTCCTTCCCTTCCTCCAGTCACCTCAAATAATGATAGTATTAATAATATATTTTAAAAGAAAAATGTAAAGATAATAAAGGTTTGTGACCCTGGTTCTCATCCACAACTTGGAGCTGGTGCCTGCAACATATCAAGTATCAAAAAAAGGACAGGGTGTTTGCCCTTTAAGAGACAGCATTTTCCTCCAGGCATGTTTACAGACTGACTATAGCTGGCGTGAGCTCACGGGTATGGCTGGTTTCTATAGATGATCAGTTCCTTTATTCCCTTTGAAAACATATGCATTTGAACTGATGAAAGAAGTTTTGTTGTTGGTAACAGGGAGACCTGCCATGCTATAACTTGAAAGTCTACCTGCACTTTAAAATTGAAACCTTGGCCCAGCTCGTGGGAAAAAAAATAAATTAAAAAGAGCAGTTCTGTTTTGCTTTGAGAAAAATCTCAAGTTTCAAGAGTGAATAATTAGAGAAAATCATGGTTGTACCTTGCAGCATTTTTTATTCTTATTATTTCTGTGTTCTCCTTGGCAAGACCTTGACATTAACCACAGTTTATTCTTTCTTTCCTTAAGATTATGTAACTCAAAATGTGGACACTCCCTAATGGCTGTGGCACACAGACATCTGAGTTTGGCATCAGTGCCATGTGGCTTTAGAAACTCATGGTTGGGCACTTTTTTCTTAATGGATGATACTACCACTGTGGATCATGAGGTGACTCCATTAGGACCTAAGAGAATTTATGAAATAATTTTTTCTTCAAATTATGACAGCATTTATTTCCTACACCGCTCATTCTGAAAAAGAATTGTCTCATCTTGGATCCAGCCCAGATAGAACTACTTAGTATTCACTGACCACCCACCCTGATACTGCCCTCTTTGCTTGTGTGTTCTCTTCATCTAGAGTACTAGTCTCAAATGTCTGTATGCTCGTAAAACAGTAGTTTTGTTGTTTTATCCTTCAAACTGCAAATCAACTTATTTCATAAAGCAATCTTGATTTTTTCAGATATAGGATCTTTCCTTCCTCCTATAACATGCTCTTTTTACTTATTTTTAAGTGAGCCCTATTCATTTTGTCTATTTGTAGAAGCTTCCTATTTGACACTTCCTGGTTGGGTTAGAAGGCTGAAATAAGCAATTCCAGAAGACAGAATAAAAGGAGATCTAGAGAAGAGGCATGTCAGTGGATCTAAAGGAATGGCCAAAAGTGTGCAGATCTTTGAGTCTTACCTCAGTACCCAACAGAGATCTTCAACTGTGTATGAGGGATTAAAGAAGCCGGTGGATAAATGACTCATCCAGTGGCTATCAGCCAGCTTCTGTGGTAGGCCACTCCAGGCCTGGTACAATGGGGCTATAAAAGGAACAGTCCTGGTGGCTGAGATAAAAGCTCTGTATGGGCTCTCTAGTGAAAGCTGATCTAGCCACTGCTGATAGCCAGTCAGCAGCAGTGACAGAATCTCAGTGCTCAATATGGGACTATCCCTAAAGAAGATCAAACAGCCACTTGGTGGCACATTGATCCAGTTGGAATCTTTCAACCCTGAAGAAGCAGTGATTCTTCCTTACTAAAAATGACAACTATTTCCAATATGGGTTTAGCATGCGTCTCTACTATACTCTGCTAGCTTTACTATCTGAGGGCTTACAAGTTATTAAGATTATCATGATTTAGTGGCATGGATCCTATATAATATTGCTTTGGAACAAGAGACCCACTTTAAAGCAAGTGAAATATGACGATGGACTCATGACCAGAGTATTAACTCTTCCTGCCATATACTTTATCACCTCAAAGCAGATGTCTCGATAAATTTTATTTTATTTTATTTTATTGTTTTTATTTTTTATTTTATTGTTATTATACTTTAAGTTTTAGGGTACATGTGCACAATGTGCAGGTTAGTTACATATGTATACGTGTGCCATGCTGGTGTGCTGCACCCATTAACTCGTCATTTAGCATTAGGTATATCTCCTAATGCTATCCCTCCCCCTTCCCCCCACCCCACAAGAGTCCCCAGAGTGTGATGTTCCCCTTCCTGTGTCCATGTGTTCTCATTGTTCAATTCCCACCTATATGTGAGAACCTGCGGTGTTTGGTTTTTTGTCCTTGCGATAGTTTACTGAGAATGATGATTTCCAATTTCATCCATGTCCCTACAAAGGACATGAACTCATCATTTTTGATAGCTGCATAGTATTCCATGGTATATATGTGCCACATTTTCTTAATCCAGTCTATCATTGTTGGACATTCGGGTTGGTTCCAAGTCTTTGCTATTGTGAATAGTGCTGCAATAAACATACGTGTGCATGTGTCTTTATAGCAGCATGATTTATAGTCCTTTGGGTATATACCCAGTAATGGGATGGCTGGGTCAAATGACATTTCTAGTTCTAGATCCCTGAGGAATCGCCACACTGACTTCCACAATGGTTGAACTAGTTTACAGTCCCACCAACAGTGTAAAAGTGTTCCTATTTCTCCACATCCTCTCCAGCACCTGTTGTTTCCTGACTTTTTAATGATTGCCATTCTAACTGGTGTGACATGGTATCTCATTGTAGTTTTGATTTGCATTTCTCTGATGGCCAGTGATAGTAAGCATTTTTTCATGTGTTTTTTGGCTGCATAAACGTCTTCTTTTGAGCAGTGTCTGTTCATGTCCTTCGCCCACTTTTTGATGGGGTTGTTTGTTTTTTTCTTGTAAATTTGTTTGAGTTCATTGTAGATTCCGGATATTAGCCCTTTGTCAGATGAGTAGGTTGCGAAAATTTTCTCCCATTTTGTAGATTGCTTGTTCACTCTGATGGTAGTTTCTTTTGCTGTGCAGAAGCTCTTTAGCTTAATTAGATCCTATTTGTCAATTTTGTCTTTTGTTGCCATTGCTTTTGGTGTTTTAGACGTGAAGTCCTTGCCCATGCTATGTCCTAAATGGTAGGTAATGCCTAGGTTTTCTTCTAGGGTTTTTATGGTTTTAGGTCTAACGTTTAAGTCTTTAATCCATCTTGAATTAATTTTTGTATAAGGTGTAAGGAAGGGATCCAGTTTCAGCTTTCTACATATGGCTAGCCAGTTTTCCCAGCACCATTTATTAAATAGGGAATCCTTTCCCCATTGCTTGTTTTTCTCAGGTTTGTCAAAGATCAGATAGTTGTAGATATGCGGCGTTATTTCTGAGGGCTCTGTTCTGTTCCATTGATCTATATCTCTGTTTTGGTACCAGTACCATGCTGTTTTGGTTACTGTAGCCTTGTAGTATAGTTTGAAGTCAGGTAGTGTGATGCCTCCAGCTTTGTTCTTTTGGCTTAGGATTGACTTGGCGATGCAGGCTCTTTTTTGGTTCCATATGAACTTTAAAGTAGTTTCTTCCAATTCTGTGAAGAAAGTCATTGGTAGCTTGATGGGGATGGCATTGAATCTATAAATTACCTTGGGCAGTATGCCCATTTTCACGATATTGATTCTTCCTACCCATGAGCATGGAATGTTCTTCCATTTCTTTGTATCCTCTTTTATTTCCTTGAGCAGTGGTTTGTAGTTGTCCTTGAAGAGGTCCTTCACATCCCTTGTAAGTTGGATTCCTAGGTATTTTA
Organism: Homo sapiens; assembly: GCF_000001405.40. Lineage (NCBI taxonomy): Eukaryota > Metazoa > Chordata > Mammalia > Primates > Hominidae > Homo > Homo sapiens. The sequence goes on along the minus strand of NC_000010.11, from coordinate 105,740,123 downwards.
TTCTCTTTGAAGCAATTGTGAATGGGAGTTCACTCATGATTTGGCTCTCTGTTTGTCTGTTGTTGGTGTATAAGAATGCTTGTGATTTTTGTACATTGATTTTGTATCCTGAGACTTTGCTGAAGTTGCTTATCAGCTTAAGGAAATTTTGGCCTGAGACAATGGGGTTTTCTAGATATACAATCATGTTGTCTGCAAACAGGGACAATTTGACTTCCTCTTCTCCTAATTGAATACCCTTTATTTCCTTCTCCTGCCTAATTGTCCTGGCCAGAACTTCCAACACTATGTTGAATAGGAGCGGTGAGAGAGGGCATCCCTGTCTTGTGCCAGTTTTCAAAGGGAATGCTTCCAGTTTTTGCCGATTCAGTATGATATTGGCTGTGGTTTGTCATAGATAGCTCTTATTATTTTGAGATATGTCCCATCAATACCTAATTTATTAGAGTTTTTAGCATGAAGGGTTGTTGAATTTTGTCAAAGGCCTTTTCTGCATCTATTGAGATAATCATGTGGTTTTTGTCTTTGGTTCTGTTTATATGCTGGATTACATTTATTGGTTTGCGTATATTGAACCAGCCTTGCATCCCAGGGATGAAGCCCACTTGATCATGGTGGATAAGCTTTTTGAGGTGTTGCTGGATTCACTTTGCCAGTATTTTATTGAGGATTTTTGCATCAATGTTCATCAAGGATATTGGTCTAAAATTCTCTTTTTTGGAGCTGTCTCTGCCCGGCTTTGGTATCAGGATGATGGTGGCCTCATAAAATGAGTTAGGGAGGATTCTCTCTTTTTCTATTCATTGGAATAGTTTCAGAAGGAATGGTACCAGTTCCTCCTTGTACCTCTGGTAGAATTGGGCTGTGAATCCATCTGGTCCTGGACTCTTTTTGGTTGGTAAGCTATGGATTATTGCCACAATTTCAGATCCTGTTATTGGTCTATTCAGAGATTCCACTTCTTCCTGGTTTAGTCTTGGGAGGGTGTATGTGTCGAGGAATTTATCCATTTCTTCTAGATTTTCTAGTTTATTTGTGTAGAGGTGTTTGTAGTATTCTCTGATGGTAGTTTGTATTTCTGTGGGATCGGTGGTGATATCCCCTTTGTCATTTTTTATTGCGTCTATTTGATTCTTCTCTCTTTTTTTCTTTATTAGTCTTGCTAGCGGTCTATCAATTTTGTTGATCCTTTCAAAAAACCAGCTCCTGGATTCATTAATTTTTTGAAGGGTTTTTTGTGTCTCTATTTCCTTCAGTTCTGCTCTGATTTTAGTTATTTCTTGCCTTCTGCTAGCTTTTGAATGTGTTTGCTCTTGCTTTTCTAGTTCTTTTAATTGTGATGTTAGGGTGTCAATTTTGGATCTTTCCTGCTTTCTCTTGTAGGCATTTAGTGCTATAAATTTCCCTCTACACACTGCTTTGAATGTGTCCCAGAGATTCTGGTAAGTTGTGTCTTTGTTCTCGTTGGTTTCAAAGAACATCTTTATTTCTGCCTTCATTTTGTTATGTACCCAGTAGTCATTCAGGAGCAGGTTGTTCAGTTTCCATGTAGTTGAGAAGTTTTGAGTGAGCTTCTTAATCTTGAGTTCTAGTTTGATTGCACTGTGGTCTGAGAGATAGTTTGTTATAATTTCTGTTCTTTTACATTTGCTGAGGAGAGCTTTACTTCCAACTATGTGGTCAATTTTGGAATAGGTGTGGTGTGGTGCTGAAAAAAATGTATATTCTGTTGATTTGGGGTGGAGAGTTCTGTAGATGTCTATTAGGTCCGCTTGGTGCAGAGCTGAGTTCAATTCCTGGGTATCCTTGTTAACTTTCTGTCTCATTGATCTGTCTAACGTTGACAGTAGGGTGTTAAAGTCTCCCATTATTATTGTGTGGGAGTCTAAGTCTCTTTGTAGGTCACTCAGGACTTGCTTTATGAATCTGGGTGCTCCTGTATTGGGTGCATATATATTTAGGATAGTTAGCTCTTCTTGTTTAATTGATCCCTTTACCATTATGTAATGGCCTTCATTGTCTCTTTTGATCTTTGTTGGTTTAAAATCTGTTTTATCAGAGACTAGGCTTGCAACCCGTGCCTTTTTTTGTTTTCCATTTGCTTGGTAGATCTTCCTCCATCCTTTTATTTTGAGCCAATGTGTGTCTCTGCACGTGAGATGGGTTTCCTGAATACAGCACACTGATAGGTCTTGACTCTTTATCCAATTTGCCAGTCTGTGTCTTTTAATTGGAGCATTTAGTCCATTTACATTTAAAGTTAATGTTGTTATGTGTGAATTTGATCCTGTCATTATGATGTTAGCTGGTTATTTTGCTCGTTAGCTGATGCAATTTCTTCCTAGCCTCGATTGTCTTTACCATTTGGCATGATTTTGCAGTGGCTGGTACCGGTTGTTCCTTTCCATGTTTAGTGCTTCCTTCAGGAGCTCTTTTAGGGCAGGCCTGCTGGTGACAGAATCTCTCAGCATTTGCTTGTCTGTAAAGTATTTTATTTCTCCTTCACTTATGAAGCTTAGTTTGGCTGGATATGAAATTCTGGGTTGAAAATTCTTTTCTTTAAGAATGTTGAATATTGGCCCCCACTCTCTTCTGGCTTGTAGGGTTTCTGCCGAGAGATCCGCTGTTAGTCTGATGGGCTTCCCTTTGAGGGTAACCTGACCTTTCTCTCTGGCTGCCCTTAACATTTTTTCCTTCATTTCAACTTTGGTGAATCTGACAATTATGTGTCTTGGAGTTGGTCTTCTCGAGGAGTATCTTTGTGGCGTTCTCTGTATTTCCTGAATCTGAATGTTGGCCTGCCTTGCTAGATTGGGGAAGTTCTCCTGGATAATATCCTGCAGAGTGTTTTGCAACTTGGTTCCATTCTCCCCATCACCTTCAGGTACACCAATCAGACGTAGATTTGGTCTTTTCACATAGTCCCATATTTCTTGGAGGCTTTGTTCATTTCTTTTTATTCTTTTTTCTCTAAACTTCCCTTCTCGCTTCATTTCATGCATTTCATCTTCCATCACTGATACGCTTTCTTCCAGTTGGTCGCATCGGCTCCTGAGGCTTATGCATTCTTCACGTAGTTCTCGAGCCTTGGTTTTCAGCTCCATCAGCTTCTTTAAGCACTTCTCTGTATTGGGTATTCTAGTTATACATTCATCTAAATTTTTTTCAATGTTTTTAACTTCTTTGCCTTTGGTTTGAATTTCCTCCTGTAGCTCGGAGTAGTTTGATCGTCTGAAGCCTTCTTCTCTCAACTCGTCAAAGCCATTCTCCATCCAGCTGTGTTCCGTTGCCGGTGAGGAACTGCGTTCCTTTGGAGGAGGAGAGGCGCTCTGCTTTTTAGAGTTTCCAGTTTTTCTGCTCTGTTTTTTTCCCATCTTTGTGGTTTTATCTACTTTCGGCCTTTGATGATGGTGATGTACAGATGGGTTTTTGGTGAGGATGTCCTTTCTGTTTGTTAGTTTTCCTTCTAACAGACAGGACCCTCAGCTGCAGGTCTGTTGGAGTTTGCTAGAGGTCCACTCCAGACCCTGTTTGCCTGGGTACCAGCAGCAGTGGCTGCAGAACAGCGGATTTTCGTGAACCGCGAATGCTGCTGTCTGATCGTTCCTCTGGAAGTTTTGTCTCAGAGGAGTACCCGGCCATGTGAGGTGTCAGTCTGCCCCTACTAGGGGGTGCCTCCTAGTTAGGCTGCTCGGGGGTCACAGGTCAGCGACCCACTTGAAGAGGCAGTCTGCCCATTCTCAGATCTCCACCTGTGTGCTGGGAGAACCACCGCTCTCTTCAAAGCTGTCAGACAGGGACATTTAAGTCTGCAGAGGTTACTGCTGTCTTTTTGTTTGTCTGTGCCCTGCCCCCAGAGGTGGAGCCTACAGAGGCAGGCAGGCAGGCCTCCTTGAGCTGTGGTGGGCTCCACCCAGTTCGAGCTTCCCAGCTGCTTTGTTTACCTAAGCAAGCCTGGGGAATGGCAGGCGCCCCTCCCCCAGCCTCGCTGCCACCTTGCAGTTTGATCTCAGACTGCTGTGCTAGTAATCAGCGAGACTCCTTGGGCGTAGGACCCTTCGAGCCAGGTGCGGAATATAATCTCCTGGTGTGCTGTTTTTTAAGCCGGTCGGAAAAGTGCAGTATTATGGTGGGAGTGAGCTGATTTTCCAGGTGCCATCTGTCACCCCTTTCTTTGACTAGGAAAGGGAACTCCCTGACCCCTTGCACTTCCCGAGTGAGGCAATGCCTCGCCCTGCTTCGGCTCGCACACGGTGCGCTGCACCCACTGTCCTGTGCCCACTGTCTGGCACTCCCTAGTGAGATGAACCCAGTACCTCGGATGGAAATGCAGAAATCACCCGTCTTCTGTGTTGCTCACGCTGGGAGCTGTAGACCAGAGCTGTTCCTATTCGGCCATCTTGGCTGCCAGACCCCGATAAATTTTAATACATTATTAAAGGCTCACCTAAGGCACCAGCTTGAGAAAGACACACTAAGAGGGTGGGCAGTTCTTCTGAAGGATGCTATGCTATGCACTAAAGCAATCACAAGACATCGAATACATCAGACTGGACACCAAAAGTGAGATGTATGATTGGCCTCTTTATTACTCCAAGCAGCCAATTACAAAATTTATACTTTCTGGCCTCAGAATGTTAAGCTTTGCTGGATTAAAAGCACTGTTTTCCAGCAAGGAATATTTCCACCAAGAGTCACAATGAGAATTCGATTGAACTGTAAGTTACAATTCCACTTGGTCACTTTGGGCACCACATGCAGGTGGGCTGGACAACAGGCAACGAAAAGTTTAGGTTTGCTATGCACTGAATGTTTGCCAAAATTCATATGTTGAAGCCACAGTCCCTTGTGCAATTTGGAGCTGAGGCCTTTGAGAGGTAAGTAGTTCATAAGAGTGGAGCCCTCATGGTGGGAGTAGTGCCCTTATAAAAAGACAACAAGAAAGACAATCTATCTCTTTCCCTCTCTTTCTTTCTCTCTCTGCCACGTGAGAATACAGCAAGCAGCCGGTCATCTAAAAACCAGTGAGAGGGCCTTCACCAGGAAACAAATTGGTTGGTACTTTGGGATCATGGACTTCTCAGCCTCCAGAACTGTAAAAAATAAATATTTGTTGTTTAAGCCACCCAGTCAATGGTATTTGTTCAGGGATAGCAGCCTGAACTAAGACGGGATTATTAACACTGCATGAGAAGCTGGGGTTGCTACCATATCATGGAGCTGAGAAAGACTATATGCAGAACTATGGGAATTTACTAGAATGTATATTTGGGCTTTATGTCTGGTGTTAACACTGTGAAGAAAATTGAGGCAAATAGTCTGATGAGTATGAGAAAATAAAGGAATTATCCCTCAAGGATAAAGGATTAGATCACCACAACATGTAGGCAACCTAGTGACTGAATTTCTCCCTGAAGGTGAGGGAAATCTACAACAGGATGTCGAGCCAAAAGGAAGAAGCTGAGGAAAAATTAATACAAGTAGAGAGTTTATTTAGGCCAAGTATGAGGATTGCAACCCATGAGTATAGATTCTCGGTATAGTCTTTTCAACCCTGAAAAGATTCTCTGATTACCAGCAGTTACAAATGGATTTTATTTTATTTTATTGTAGCAGTGAGGTCTCCCTATGTTATCCAGGCTGGTCTCGAACTCTGGCCTCAAGTTATTGATCTTCCTACTACAGCCTCCCAAAGTGCTGGGACTGTAGGCATGAGCCACCCTACCTGACTACAAGTCAATTTTTAAAGAAAAAGTAGGGAGAGTTCCTGAGTAGTTTCCTAAGAATTTACATTAAGATATTGATTGGTTATAGATTGTTATTTGTATCACACATTCCAGGAACATGAAAATAATCACTGAGGCAGCTAGTCAGAACCAAGAAGACTTTAAACAATTGTCCCCAACCATAAAGGAGAGGGCATGATGAAACTGCTATACTCTTGTCTCTCTGGGCCTGCATACTTTACATAACTTGGACTGCCCTAGGACATTTTTATTTTCTCAGGTGGTAATACTCTCAGAACTTATTCTGGTAGGACAGCTGCATTGCATTCCATTAAACTATGCTTTTTTTTTTTTTTGCTACTCTTTTCAGAGATCCTTGCCAACTTCAGTGCTCTTTGCCAACACCAGCACCTTCATAACAGGTCTTTATTGAATTTTCTTCCTTTCCTGTCTCAGTCTCCCCACTGTCACTGCTTCCTTTTGGAATTATTTTCCAAAGAAACTATCCCAAATTAAGTCGTTATCTCAGGTTCTACTCTTGGCAGAATCCAAATCAAGGGAAGCACCATTTTTATACAATTTATAAACACATATACTTTGAAATGTAATACATGTCACGCACGTCCGTGTGAAGAGACCACCACATGGGCTTTGTGTGAGCAATAAAGCTGTTTATTTCACCTGGGTGCAGGTGGGCTGAGTCCGAAGAAGGAGTCAGTGAAGGGAGCTAGGGGTGGGGCCATTTTATAGGATTTGGGTAGGTAATGGAAAATTACAGTCAAAGGGGGTTGTTCTCTGGCAGGCAGGGGCGGGGTTCACAAGGTGCTAAGTAGGGGAGCTTCTGATCCAGGAGAAGGAATTTCACTAAATAATGTCATCGTTAAGGCAGGAACCAGCCATTTTCACTTCTTTTGTGATTTTTCACTTGTTTCAGGCCATTTGGAGGTATACGTGCAGGCTTGGGCTCAGAGGCCTGACATTCCTGTCTTTTTACATTAATAAGAAAAATAAAACAAAATAGTGTTGAAGTGTTCGGAAAGTGAAAATTTTTGGCGGTGGTATGGAGAGATAATGGGCGATGTTTCTCAGAGGTGCTTCGAGTGGGATTAGGGGTGGCGTGGGAACCTAGAGTGGGAGAGATTAAGCTGAAGGAAGATTTTTGTGGTAAGGGGTGATACTGTGGGTTGTTAGAAGGAGCATTTGTCATACAGAATGATTGTTGATGGCCTGGATATGGTTTGGGTTGAACTGAGAAACTAAACAGAAGACACAAGGTCCAAATAAGAGAAGGAGAAAAACAGGTATTAAAAGACAAAGAATTTGGGAGGACCCAGGACATCCAATTAGAGAGTGCCTAAGGGGGTTCAGCATAATTACTTTCTTGGTTGGCAAGTTTTTAGACTCTATCCTTTAGTTTTTTTATATTGTCATATACCAGGCCAGATTGATTTATGTAAAAACAACACTTTTCATTTAAAAATATACAGAATCCTCTTTTTTTAGCAGTGAGTAAGTCGAGGCCTTGGCAATTTTGGAGGAAAGAGAAATGCAAAGCCAGCAATTGTTTGTTAAAGGAGGATTAGAAACAGCTAGGAGAGAGTGAGTGAGATTGAGTGTGATGGAGATAGCTGGGGAGAGGTAGAGGGTGGCATAAGAACGGGAGTGAGAATAAGAGTAAGTATAAAAGTAAAGAACAGGACTTTATCAGGGTGAAAGTATTGGAGTGCACCCTGTCAGCAAAGATTATCTATCCACTTTAAGAGAGACTTAAGGGTGGTGGTTTGAGGTAAAACCAGGAGATATCCTTTATGATGGTTTGAAGGAAAAGTGTAAACTGGCAGTGTAAACAAAGGCAGGGTATTTACGAGTAGTTGAGAATGGTGAATGGGAGTATGACTAGACAGAAGACAGTAGGGATGACCAGTTTTTGGGGTGCAGTTCAAGTTGGGCTGGTGTCTGGAATGAGACTGGGGCCTAATAAAAATGAGCATCCATACAGGAGCTCAAATGGGCTGTATCCAGTAGCATCCTGAGGACAGGCCCGAATTCTGAGAAGGGCAAGTGGTAAAAATATTGTCCAGTCCTTTTTAAATTGGAGGCTGAGCTTGGTGAGGTATGTTTTTTTAAAGACCATTAGTCCATTTTACCTTTTCTGAAGATTGAGGATGGTAAGGGTATGAAGGTTCCATTGAATACCAAGAGCCTGAGAAACTGCTTGGGTGATTTGACAAGTAAAGGACAGTCTGAGAGGTGGGAAGGCCAAATCGAGGAATTTTGTCTGACAGAAGGGAAGAAATGACCACGGTGGCCTTCTTAGACCCTGTGGGAAAGGGCTGTACCCATCCAGTGAAAGTGTCTACCTAGACCAAGAGGTATTTTAGTTTCCTGACTCAGGACATGTGAGTAAAGTCAGTTTGCCAGTCCTGGGCAGGGGCAAATTCTCGAGCCTGATGTGTAGGGAAGGGAGGGGCCTGATAAATTCCTGAGGAGTAGTAGAATAGCAGATGGAACACTGAGAAGTGATTTTTAGAGGATAGATTTTTACAATGGAAAGGAAAGGGTTTTAAGAGGTGGGCTAGCGGCTTGTAACTTACATGGAAGAGGTTATGAAATGATGGCAGAATAGAATGGGCCTGTGAGGCTGGAAGGAGATATTTTCCTTGGTCCACGAACCATTTGCCTTGTGTAAGAGATTGATAGGTGGAAGGTTCAGTGGGAGAGGTGGGAGTAGCCAATGAGGAGGAGAAAAACTGGCTCTGAGAGACAGAAGTTGGAATGCTAGCTGCTTTTTTAGCTACCTTATCAGCATAAGCATTGCCCTGAGCAATGGGATCTATCCTTTTGATGGCCTTTGCAGTGAATGATTCCAGCTTCCTTTGGAAGTAAAGCAGCCTTTAGAAGAGTTTTTATTAAAGAGGCATTAATGATGGAGGACCCTTGTGTAGTGAGGAAACCTCTTTCTCCCCATATAACAGCATGGTGGTGCAGGATGTGGAAGACATATTTAGAGTCAGTATAAATATTGACGCATAGTCCCTTTGCAAGAGTGAGGGCTCGAGTTAAGGCAATGAGCTCGGCTTGCTGAGAGGTAGTGGAGGGGGGCAGAGCAGTAGCCTCTCAGTGATAGATGTGGAAGATACTATAGCATAGCCTGCCTTTGCTGGTGAGTGGCGATTAGGCCTGGTGGAACTGCCATCAATAAACCAAGTGTGATCAGGGTGAGAAACAGGAAAGAAGGAAATATGGGGAAATGGAGTGAATGTCAGGTGGATCAGAGAGATACAGTCATGGGGGTCAGATGTGGTATCTGGAATAATGTGGGAGGCCGAATTGAAGTCTGGGCCAGGAACAATGGTAATTGTGGGAGACTCAACAAAGAGTGCATATAGCTGAAGTGGGTGGGGAGCAGAAAGTATATGCATCAGGTGTGAGGAAGAAAATAGATTTTGGAAGTTATGAGAACTGTAGAGAGTGAGTTGAGCATAGTTTGTGATTTTGAGGGCCTCTAAAAGTATTAAAGCAGTGGCAGCCACCGCACACAGACATGAGTGCTAGGCTAAAACAGTAAGGTCAAGTTGTTTGGACAGAAAGGCTACAGGGTGAGGTCCCAGCTCTTGTGTAAGAATTCTGACCACACAGCCCTGTACTTCAGCTGTGTGTAATGAAAAGGGTTGGGATGAGTTAGGGAGAGTTAGTGTGGGAGCAGCTTTTAGGGCTGTTTTTTAAGGAATGGAAAAGGGAGTGGGGAAAGGATTTAGGATTTATGGGGTCAGCTAGGTTTATCTAGAACAGAATAATGGGTTGTGGAGGGAGGTATTGAGGATAGGAGAGTATATGGGTTTGGCACCACGGGGTGGATAGGCAAGACAATTTGGTTGGTAAGGCGTAAATCCTGAATTAACCTGTAAGACTTGTCCGGTTTTTGGACAGGTAAAATGGGGGAATTGTAAGGAGAGTTTATAGGCTTTAGAAGGCGATGCTGTAGCAAGCCAGTGATAACAGGCTTTAATCATTTTAAAGGGTGCTGTGGGATGGATATTGAGCAGGGTAAGGGTGATTAGGTTTTAATGGGATGGTAAGGGAGTGCATGATCGGTCACCTAGGAGGGTGTAGAGGTGTCCCATACTTGTGGACTAAGGTGGGGAGATACAAGGGGAGTTTGTGAAGGAGGCTTTGAACTGGGAAAAAGGGTGGCAATGAGGTGTCGCTATAGTCCAGGAATAGTCAGGGAAGCAGATAATTTAGTTAAAATGTCTCAGCCTAATAAGGGAACTGGGCAGGTGGGGATAACTAAAAAGGAGTACGTAAAAGAATATTGTCCAAGTTGGCACCAGAGTTGGGGAGTTTTAAGAGGTTTAGAAGCCCGGCCATCAAAATACACAACAGTTATGGAGGCAAAGGAAACAGGCCCTTGAAAAGAAGGTAATGTGGAGTTGGTAGCCTCCATATTGATTAAGAAGGGGAGGACTTACCCTCCACTGTAAGAGTTACCCAAAGCGTCTGTGATGGTCCAGGAGGCTTCCGAGGCAATCAGGCAGCGTCAGTCTTCAGCCCGCTAAGCCAAGAAGATCTGGGAAGGAGTCAGTCAGAGAACCTTGAGCCAGAGTTCCAGGGTCTCTGGGAGTGGCTGCTGGGCAAGTTGGACAGTCTGATATCCAGTGGGGTCCTGCACAGATGGGACACAGCTTAGGAGGAATCTCAGGCTGAGGGCATTCCTTGGCCCAGATTTCTGGCACTTGAAGCCAGATTTCTGGCACTTGAAGCAAGATCCTGATGGAGGAAGTCCTGAAGGAATGCTTGACTGCTGTGGCTTAGGCATTTTGAAGTGTTTGTGTGCTGGAGGTGCAGCTGGGTTTTGTCTCACAGCAGAGGCAAGTAATTGTAACTCTTCTCTATTATTGTACACCTTGAAGGCGAGGTTATTTAAGTCCTGTTGTGGGGTTTGAGGGCTGGAATCTAATTTTTGGAGCTTTATTTAAAGTCGGGAGTGGATTGGGTAATAAAATGCATATTTAGAGTGAGACGGCCTTCTGACCCTTCAGGGTCTAGGGCTATAACGCATCTCAGGGTTGCTGCCAAATGAGCCATGAACTGGGCTGTGTTTTCATATTTGATAAAAAAAAAAAAAAAAAAAAAAAGAATGCCCAAATGCTAACTGATTTGGGAGAGGTCGAATAAAGAAAAAGGAGCATTAAACTTGACTATGTCTTTAGCTCCAGCCACCTCTTTAAGAGGAAATTGTTGGGCAGGTGGGGGAGGGCTAGTCATGGAACAAAACTGTAAGCTGGACTGGGTGTGATGAGGGGAGGTGATTGAAGGATTATAGGGTTGGGGAGCAGAGGCTGAGGAAGAATTGGAGCCTGATTCAGCCTGGTGGGGAGTGACTTGAGGAGGAGCAGTCTGGGGAGGAGTGGAGAGGTCAGATGGGTCGGTAGAAAAGGAAGATTGAAAAGACTCAGTGACGCTTGGGGTTGGGACTGAGGGGACAGGCAGGAGGGAAAGAAGGAAGATTTGAGACGAGTTGCATTGGGAACAGAGACTAGGGAGGGACTGATGTGTAAAAGAATGCCTGGATGTCAGACACCTCAGACCGTTTGCCCATTTTATGACAAGAATTATCTAGATCTGATAGGATGGAAAAATCAAAAGTGCCATTTTCTGGCTATTTGGAACCATCGTTGAGTTTGTACTGGGGTCAAGTGGCATTGCAGAAGAAAATAAGGCATTTAGGTTTTAGGTCAGGTGTGAGTTGAAGAGGTTTAAAATTTTTGAGAGCACAGGCTAAGGGAGAAGAGGGAGGAATGGAGGGTGGAAGGTTGCCCATAGTGAAGGAGGCAAGCCCAAAGAAAAGAGAGGGTAGAGACACAGAGAGAAGGAGTGGGGGGGGTACTTGCCCCCCAGGGGAGGTGGTGCTTGCCCCCCAGGAAAGTGGTACTTGCCACTAAGGGTGAAGGATCAAGGCAGGCGTCCCCGCAGTGATCAGACACCTCTGAAACATGGGTGAATAATCAAGCAGGTGTCCCTGCAGTGATTAAACACCAAGGGAAGACTGTCTTCCTGAGTCCGTGACTGATGCCGGAGTTTGGGGTTCACGGATAAAACGCATCTCCTCTGTCTCTACCAGAAAAGGAAAGGAACTGAAATTAACAGAAGGGAGAGATTGAAGGGTGGCGCCAATATTGAAAGGAGAAAGAGGTTGAAGGATAGTGAGAGAGGTTGGAGAAGAGAGTAAAAAGAGGCCGCTTACCTGATTTAAAATTAGTGAGATGTTCCTTGGGCTGGTTGGTCTGAGGACCTGAGGTCGTAGGTGGATCTTTCTCACGGAGCAAAGAGCAGGAGGACAGGGGATTGATCTCCCAAGGGAGGTTCCCTGATCTGAGTCATGGCACCAAATGTCACGCACGTCCATTTGAAGAGACCACCAAACAAGCTTTGTGTGAGCAATAAAGCCATTTATTTCACCTGGGTGCAGGCGGGCAGAGTCCAAAAAGAGAGTCAGCAAAGGGAGATAGGGGTGGGGCCGTTTTATAGGATTTGGGTAGGTAATGGAAAATTATAGTCAAAGGGGGTTTTTCTCTTGCAGGCAGGGGCAGGGTTCACAAGGTGCTCAGTGGGGGTGCTTCTGAGCCAGGAGAAGGAATTCCACAAGGTAATGTCATCAGTTAAGATAAGAAACAGCAATTTTCACTTCTTTTGTGATTCTTCACTTGCTTCAGGCCATCTGCATGTATACATGCAGGCTTGGCCTCAGAGGCCTGACAATACATACATAATGTGATTTTTTTTTCTATTTTTTATTATTATACTTTAAGTTTTAGGGTACATGTGCACATTGTGCAGGTTAGTTACATACGTATACATGTGCCATGCTGAAGTAAAATTATATTTTGGAAAAAATACTGTGCTTATGGCAAGTTGCTTCTGACTGCCTTGACCAAGTCCACTTTAAGGTTTCCCTCAGCTTGATCCGACTTTACACCCTTCTCTCCCTGTCTCAAGGCCCCTGGCCTCCCTTTCCTTAAGTTAGAAAACTTGTAATTGCAAATTCTCTATCTGTCCCTTTGAGATATAAATCTTATTCCAGCCTCTGGTCAGTTTTACAACCCAGGAATGTCTTTCTCTAGGACCAGGAGCCACCCTTTGAAATGGAATCAACAAAGTAAATAATGCCTCTTTCTCCAAGTCTTTGAGGGCGCATAAGAGCCTAATGGCCTTGGGTGTCTTGCTCCCAGTTGTAAAAATATATGATGCCATGAAGATAGGAGAAAGTTTATTTTCTTTTAGGTATGGCCAATTAGCCAATACAAGTGGAATAAGATTGGGCCCCACCAGCTCTGGAAACCTCTCCGACTTCTTGTTTCAGCTGGATCAAGTTCAGACTGAGTTCTGGTTTCTCCCTGCTATCGCATTACTCTTGAATAAAGTCTTTTCATAACCATTTAACATTGTCAAGCGCAATTTTTGGCTTGCCAGTTCCAAGAAATCCCAGTCTTCTTCTATGGGCAGGGACTGTCACATATTTTTTCTCCTACAAGACTCTGCACAAAACTGTTGATATAATATGTGTCCACTATGCACTTGCTAAATAGTAATATATTTGGTCTGGCTACCTCTACCTCGCCTTTGCCTACCTCAGCTCTTCCAAGCCTCATTCTTACTGTAGCCAGAGTTACATGCCTGCATACAACATTTCAATGCCAGGAAATCCTTTGTTCATGAGGTAAAGTTCAAAATTAGCATGATATGCATGATTTTGCAAGATCTAGCCCTACCTTGCCTTTCTAGATTCTTCAGTGATCATGCTCCTTCTCAAAATGTATGCATGAAGAAAGTTGCACAAATATATTATCTTAGCACATATTGCTCTTTCCATCTTGAAAACTTTTCCTCTCCAGTGTTCATTTGAATCCCATCCTTCAGGTCACAATAGACATATTTCCTTTGAGAAGTTTTCTGAACTGCAAGTCTGAATTAGATGCCCTCTTTTAGATCTTTGAATTTTTTCTATTTTATTTTGTTATTTATTTATTTATTTATTTATTTATTTAATTTATTTATTTATTTATTTTTGAGATAGAGTTTTCACTCTTATTGACCAGGCTGGAGTGCAATGGTGCGATGTCAGCTCACTGCAACCTCCATCTCCCAGGTTCAAGTGATTCTCTTGCCTCACCCTCCCGAGTAGGTGGGATTACAGGCACCTGCCACCATACACGCCTAATTTTTTGTATTTTTATTAGAGATGGGGTTTCACCATGTTGGCCAGGCTGGTCTTGAACTCCTGACCTCAGGTGATCGACCTGCCTCAGCCTCCCAAAGTGCTGGGATTACAGGTAACTTTTCCTATTTTAGACTTCATCTTTACTATTCCTTGTGGACTTGTTTGTCTCCCTGCTACATCCACCCTTCCCTTCAAACTGTGAGGATCCTAGTACGCAGCATATAATAAGCACAAAATAAATATTTGCTAAATGAATGATTAAGAACCTTCTTTTTTTATCATGGTCATATGCTACCTTTGGCTGATTGATATTTGATCTAATAGACAAGTCCTCAAAAATAATGGAAGAAAAACAAGCTTCACTTTAGAAAACATATTTCCAGCCTGGAAGAAACAAATGAGAATTTGAGGAGGCTTTATTTTATTTCATTCCTATGCTTTTCTAGAAATTACCAAAAACATTGAAACTTACTTTCTGGTGTCTGATTTATGTAATTTATATAATGTCTCCTAATACAAGAAAATATTTCCCAAAGGAGAAATCACCCACTGAAGTAGAGGGCTAGGACTCTCCTCTCCAACTTACAAGACGCTTGGAGGCTATTAATTCCACCTGCTAATGAAGACATCAAACTTTTCTGATACAGGAAAGAAAAAAAATTCAGATTACAAAAAGTTAATCTATCACAGCATTGGTTTTCATAGAATGATAGGTAAGTCTTTGAAAATCATGATAGCAATCAGTTAACGTCAGGTTATTAAAAATTACTTACATGGAACATTCATATACCTATTTTTTAATGCTGTAACCACATTGTGAGATTCACATTATCATTATACAGATAAGGAAACAGGGCTCAGGTGATCTGTAATACATGTCCTTAGGTCAGTCGGAGGCTCTGGCATTGGCCACCACTCTCTGTGGCCGCTGGCTATTCAAAGGAGTTGTGACTCACCTTGACCCGCCTCCTCCATCCATAATCTACATGTCCACGATTAATTCGTAATCCAGCTGCCCACCCTCACCCTCAGGTTGCCTGTGATCAGATGTACTTGATACCCTCATAAGGGCTCAATTTAAGAAGTAGGTGGCTCTTCCTCTTAATACGTGGAGAGTTTTTACCATCTGCCACAAGAAGCACACACACGACCCCTCCGAAAGGCTGAAAGCAGCGTTCCATTTGGTGGCAGGTCAAATGGTCATGCAGAATTGTTACCAATGTTGAGAGCCTTCAAAGGCCAATCCAGATTGCTACCATAACTTCTTGTTTACAACAGCAATGGGTACTAATAGGCAGAAAAGAAAATACAGAGATGTGTGAGAGATAACCCACCCCACAGATTCAAGGAAGGGTCATTTTCTGATGTCATTAGGCTGTGTTTTGTTTGCTGATAAATGTTCACCCTGGCGTGGAGTGGAGGCTGAGGAACTGCATCATACTGCCACAAGTCACAAGCAGTGTGTTTTTTCACAAATTAGTGTATACCATATACTTACACAGTCAGGAGAATCAGACATAGCCAAAGGTTGGGGAAATTTAAAACCTACAATTTGTGCTTGATGGGTTTTTTTTTACCTCTTGTTTTACTTCACCTCCCTATCTCCTGCTTCCCACAAACCCCTGTTATATACAGTTTTTTTTGTACATTATTTCTATATATCACTTATTGAGTTTTCATTTATTGGGCACTCTGATAAATATTTTGTTTTGTTTTGTTTTTTCAATTAAATTCCCCACAACCCTATGAAGTGATGTTAGTAAATCTCTCATCTTACAGAAAAGGAAACTGAGGCCCAGAATGTTAGAAAACATGGCCAAGGCAACATAACTAGTAAATATTAGGAAAAGGTTTTGAACATGTATTCGACTCTTCAACACTCATGCAATAATATTACCCAGAATCTTCCTCTAAGATGACTAATTCCTGACTATGATATTACTTTGATTACAAGTGTATATATTTTTCCAACAAAATATGATTTTATTTTAATAGGTCATAATGACTTTCCCTCCAAGAAATATATTTCTATTGCAGAAAAGTTAGGCGTTAAGGGCAAAAACAGTATCTATTTCCAACACTAGTCATATTGATGGCTCTTCATATGGTGGAGGTCTAAGTTTCAAGTTGTGGTATGTGAAGTATTAATCACTCTAGAATTGGAATGCTTACCTAGGGTTGAATCTTGAATTGGAATGTTTATCTAGAGCTCAGATCAGTACTGAAATGCACAATAACAAAATTGCATCTCTCCATCAGACAAACTCCCTGAAAACCTTCGTTGAATGTGTGAGGTACTGGATTAGGTGGTTTGGTAGATATACACATGATTCATATAGAGAACTTTTGGGAGCTCAGAACAAAAAATGAAATGTCTACATATATAACTTGCACAATATTGAAAATAAAAATGCTAAAATGGAAGTTTAGATAAAGAACAGTGAACATTCAGGGTAAGGTAACATTACTTTTGAAGTCACATTTGTAGTGGATGAAGAAGTGATTTTAGAGCCACACAGACCGAGGTAGGAAAAAATCCCAGCTCTTGAACCTCAACTTCATGTCAAGTGAAACAAGTCACTTAATCTCATTGTGCTAGGTTTTTTATCTATAAAATGAAGATTAAATGTATTTTTTATGTAAGAAATAATCTGTTCTATATAGATATAGGTATCTATACATACCCACACACACATCATAGTCTATGTCTTACTGTAAGAACTCTGTAAATCATGTTTTCTTTTCAATTGTGGGATAAGAGAAGAGGCCATAGAGAAATAGCAAAGTAAGGGGTCTGAAAAGATCAGGAGAATTTGTCAGAGCCAAGATGTGTTTGTTAGACAGGAAGAGGGAGAGAGGATGAATCCAGGAACAGTGAAAATCCTAAGTGAAGCTAAGGGGAAAAAAATACTGAGTTGCATCTTCAAGCTAAGTCCTTTCTACATTTGTTAGTACAAAGGTAAGTCAATTTGGAAAGACAGTTTAGAACCAAGTAGGAGAGGACGTGGCAATAGACTAAAGAGTTTAGAAATATTCATGAATGTCACAGAGAATCACGGGAGCCTCTGGGTAAAGTATAGGAATGTTGTGTTGTCATGATCACGTATATGCTTCTGGAAAACTATTAAAAGAATTTCAATAACTGATTAGAAGAGAGAAGGATTGTAGCCTAGGAGATCATAATAGTAGCCAGAGCATTGATCTAGGCAAAACTATTGAATGACTAAATTTGGGAAATGACTCTGTCAATGAGGTAATTAGGTCGGGATAAGATAGCTTTTGGAAAGAGTGGTGTAGTGCTCAGTGGCATAGTGCTCAGATCAAAGATTACACTGGCATTTTGACACTAAAAGATTGGGAATGTAGTGTTATGTATAATAGAACATTATTTTGGAGTATACAGTAAGGTTAGAGGAAATGATCTGCTTGGGGGTTTGAATTTTCAAGTTCCAGAGAAATTTATAAAAGTAAGTAAGAGAAAGGCAGGAAAAAATATAATCTTTTAGCTTGGGAGAGAGGCTGAAACTCTAAAAACAGGCTATATTTCTCATTTGCATAGAGGTCATAATAGAAGTTGTACAGTTATGTGAGGAAATAATAGAAATTGATTTATTTAGGGACAGGTCCATAGAGCCTTACATTGGAAATGCAGAAGGATAAAAGATTTGAGAGTGAAAATAATCTCAGAAGTCAGATGAAAAGCAGAAGATAGAACATCCTGGGAACAAATGTAGGTGTAAATCAAAAGGGATTTTTAAAAGCTGGATAAAAAACAAAAATGATGAAGATATGCCAAATAGTCATTGCATTTGGTGGGCAGTAAACTTCACAGAGAACTATTACTGACTAATGATATATAAGTCAAATTGTAGGATGTAGGAATAAGTGGGTGGAGAGTACATAGAAATAATTAGTGAAGAACAATAGTTCTTAACTGGAGGTGATTTTGCTTCCAAGAAATATGTGGCACTATCTGGAGATGTACTTGGCTATCACAATGGCAGGGTACAGTGTCTGCTAGTGACACCTATTGAGTAGAGCCCAATGATGGTGTTAATCATTCTGTAACACACAAGACAGCCCCCCACAATAAAGACTTATTTGGCCCTAATGTCAATAGTGCTGAGGGTAAGAAACTGGTGTAGAATGAAGGGAGAGACTTGTTGGGAGTTTGGGAGAACAAGATCAAAGATGAATTTCTTATTGTGCCATTAGGTAATGTTGGCGAGTGTAGATGAAGTAGACCTTGGAGAGGAAATACTAAGTGTTCAATTGAGAAAAGTTTTAATTGGTGGAATATTCCAGATGAGATGGCTATGAGATCAAATCAAGGGCATGATTGGAGGACTTTGCCTTAAAGGAGTTTGCTTTCTCTGAGATGCCTAATCCAACAATATTTCAACCACACCTATTTGTCCACTGTTCACTCTCTTGACTCTATTATTCCCTTCCCTCTCTCATTTTCCTTCTCACCCAACTTAAATTCTATAGTCATTATTATAACCACTCTTGCAAACAACCATAACTTCCTGAACCTCCACTTTTTCTATTATATTCACTTACCATACCACCAAATATTAGTAAAATCCTATTGGTCCCACTTTTGACTTATGATGTCAAATTTTAAAATGGGCTCTTAACATTGTCCAACCTCTCTTCCATAGTGCGTTTACACTTCCACTTTTTGAAATGATAATTTCATAATTATCTCTTTAAACTTACTTTACCCTTTTACCTTCCTTAATCTCAGATGATGACATGGCCCCAAACTTCACTTATGAAATAGGAACAGACAAAAACTTCTCAAGTTTCTATCACTATTCTGTCATTTACTTGCATCTACTTCCAAATCTCTGCCTCTCCTCTAGTTGCAATGAAATAAATACCCTTATCCTCATCAAAGGCCAATCCCTTTACTTGCGCCTGGTTCCCCCCTACCCGTATGTATATATACACATTATTATCTTCATAATACTCATCATTATATAAAATTATCTTATGTATATATTTGTTTTTAAAGGCTTATCTTTTTATATTTAGAGTTTAATTTCTAAAGAAGCAGAGAATTTTCCTTTTTTCCCTCTTGCATCCCAAGAAACTAGAACAGTACCTGGACAGAATAGGTTCTTATTTATAAGCTTAATGAAAAAAAAATGCAAAAAAAGGAGGAAAACGATTATATCTTTCTCTTAGTTGTAAAAGAAGTCTGAAAGGATGTATTTTCAGCAAGATTAAAGTTGTAGATATTCAAATTATTTTACCTCTATTTTGGGACTGTGTCTTATACATCTGGGTCCCTTCCAACTATAACAATGCCTAACTCATAATGGATACATATTAAATATATTTTAAGGAACTAGAAAACCAGGGTATGCATTCTTTTTCAGATGTCATGATTGAAGCAGCAGAGTTGAAGCCTCAAAAATAAGGGCCATGGATAATTGAGAGACCTCAGGTAAAGAAAATGCAGTTGAGTTGAGTATCATGGATTTGTAATAATGTCACAGCACCAGGAACACTTAATGTACAAAGGTCATCAGTCTAAGCATACTTGGCTATCTCCAAACAACCCAGCATGCTTGACATAAGGGAGCTCTTCATAAGGAGCTACAGCTCAAGAAAATTAAATATTAATGAATATACTTTTTCCATTAACAATCTATAGTTCCCTTAACACCATGTGAAAAGCCTTTAGAGAAAACAGAATCATCTTTGTCTCTGGAGTCAATCTCAGCCTAGTAATCATTTGCCATG
Source organism: Homo sapiens (assembly GCF_000001405.40). NCBI lineage: Eukaryota > Metazoa > Chordata > Mammalia > Primates > Hominidae > Homo > Homo sapiens. The sequence continues at coordinate 105,720,422 of NC_000010.11, read as the reverse complement.
TGCAGGACTGGAAGCCTCTGTGAGGTGCCTGTGTGTGTCAGCATCAACCATGGCTCTCACATATGTCCACACAAGAGTTGACAGTAATTGGCATGTGGGGAGGAATCGCTGGCTCTAAACACTGAACAGTCCCTTATCAAAAATGTACCTGCCAGACAAAATTGAAGCCTGGCTGCAAAAACTGGAAAAAAAGAGAACATCTTTTGTCTCTTGAAACATTTCCAGAAGAGTAGAATTCTTAACAGCTGGCAAAGTTACCCCAGTATTATGAATTATTTGTACTCAAATAACATTGAACTGGATAGTACGGTGGCTTAAAACTTTATTTATGATTGTCATCTATTATGGACTCAATGTTTGTATCCCTCAAATTCCTTTGTTGAAACCCTAACCCCCAATGTGATGATATTTGGGGGTGGGGCCTTTGGGAGGTAATGAGGGTTAGATTATGCCATGAGGTTCAGGCCCACGTGAATGGAATTCACACCCTTATAAAAAGAGGAGACACAGGATCTCTCTCTCTCTCTCTCTCTCTCACATACACACACACACACACACACACACACACACACACACACACACACCCCATTCTGCTATGTAATGATACAACAAGAAGATAGCCATCTGCAAATAAGGAAGTGAGCTTTCACCAGACATCGGACATGCTGGCATCTTAGGGCTGGATTTCCCAGTCTCTAGAACTGTAAAACACAAATGTTTGCTGTTGAAACCAGGGGTACCCCATTCTCCGGGCCACAGACAGTACCAGTCCATGGCCTGTTAGGAACTGGGCCACGCAGTAGGAGGTGAGCAGCAGGCAAGCCAGCATTATTGCCTGAGTTCCACCTCCTGTTAGATCAGTGGTGGCATTAGATTTTCATAGAACCCTATTGTGGAATGTAGGTTGCATGCTCCTTATAAGAATCTAATGCCTGGTGATCTGAGGTGAAACAGTTTCATCCCAAACCATCTCCCTATGCCCACCTCCATCTGTGGAAAAATTGTCTTCCATGGAACCAGTCCCTGGTGCCAAAAAGGCTGGGTTCTGCTGGTTTAAACCACCTAATCTATTGTAATTTGTTATAGCAGCCCAAACCAACTAGGACATATCTTTCTGCATTCCCTACCCTCGTGCTTAAACACACACACACACACACGGTTTGAGAGACCTCTATGTGTCTGGTTTGTCCTCTATGATTTGGGGGACACAGAGGAAGCAGAATACAAGTTATATTTTTTAGTTATGATTTTTTTTTCCCCAAAAAAAGGTTAGAAATTACTACAGAAAGACACAGAACTCTGGAAGCCAGGTGGGGGGAATTTGTGAGAAAATTAGCTATAATATGAGTCAGAATAGTGCAGAGGTGACAGTGTCTGAGCTTGATTCAATAATCAGAGATTAAGGCCAAATAAAGATGTGGCAAATTCAACCTAGTCCTCAGGCAGACATCCAGACCTAGAAGGACATGGTTCATAGAACATGGTAGAGTGAGAAATTGTACAATGGAGGACAAATTGCAGTTTTCCAAGTAGCTCTGGAAAAAAGAAATGGGTAGGTTATCGCTACATAACCAGAGGCATGAAAACATGGTGCCCCAGATGGGCCTGACTAATCCGTAATTAGTTCCATGGGAAAGTGAGTACTCTTTCCAGAATGGCTGGGATATTGTGCAGCTGTGGAAGGCTCAGACCAAGAGATTAATAGAGATGAAAAATTAAAGAATAGAGACTCCAATGTCAGTCCTGAGCACTGAGACTGTCTTTTAATCAATGCTTTGCTAGATATGAAATGCCTTCCTTTTTCTCTGGAAGAATTTCTTTATTGTGTCTCTTAATAGATGTTTCTGAATGAAGATAAACAATTCTTCCAAAACAGTAGCCAAATCAATAATTTATTCAATAGATTTGTGTTTAACCCACATTTTATGAAAGGCATGGTGCCATGGGCTGGGCATACAGAAGGGAGCTGCAAGTTCAGCAAACTTCTCACATGGAAGTCTGTGAGAGAAGGAAGTGAGAAAGCAGGTGGTTAGAAAACGAAAGTGTGCTAAAGCAGTAGATAGGAAGGACTCCAAACCCAGGCTCCAGGGGAGGTTCCCTGGAGAAAGTGTTATCTAAACAGATTTCTGAAAGTAGAATTGGATAGCTGGATGTCAAAGAGATGGGTGGATAATGTTCTGTGCAAGAGAAAGAACATCCAAAGACTTGGAGATAATACAGAATTATGGAGCATTTAAGGGACAGGATGAAGTTTGGTATAGCTGAGTTGTGGCATGAAAAGAGGTTGCAAGGGAGAAGAATGGAAAGAGATGAGATGGAAGAGGTAAGTGGGTATGGATTGTGTAGGGACATAGAAATCTTGATCAAGCCAAGGAGCTTGACCACAAAGCCCCTCTCCTCCTCAGGTTTCCTCTGATATTTACTAATTGTGCCAGGACATTTGCGCTTGATCCACCCCCTGGTATTGTTACCTTTTTGTGTGTGCTCCATATTCCCAACTAGTATATAAGAACCTGGAGGAAAGTAATCAGCATTTGCAATTCTTTGGATGTCCCCAGTGTTTAGACCATGTAGGAATTTGATCAATATTGGGAATTGATTGGTTAATCCCAGTGAATATTTCATGACATTCAACCCACTACTGTGAACTAGATGGAACAAGTCTGCACACAGATAAGTTCATCAAGTCTTGGAGGAGAGAGGGTCCACAAGAGGAGGCCAAAGGACAAGCAGGAGCAGGCAAGGTACAAGGTGGCCAGAACAGTCTATACACATCAACATGAACAAAAAGAGTGCTAACATTTTTAGTCCTTGTAAGGTGCTACTCTGTGGTTTTTTTTTTTTTTTTTTTTTTTTTTGTGAGAACTCTGTCGCCCAGGCTGGAGTGCAGTGGTGCAATCTCAGCTCACTACAAGCTCCACCTCCCAGGTTCACGCCATTCTTCTGCCTAAGCCTCCCGAGCAGCTGGGACTTCAGGCGCCCGCCACCACGCCCAGCTAATCTTTTGTATTTTTTAGTAGAGACGGGGTTTCTCTGTGTGAGCCAGGATGGTCTCAATCTCCTAACCTCGTGATCCGCCCACCTTGGCCTCCCAAAGTGCTGGGATTACAGGCGTGAGCCACTGCACACCCGGCCATGTTCTAAGTTCTTTACATGTATTAACTCACTTCTTCTCAAAATAACCTAATGAGATCAGAAGGATTACTATCTTCCATAGTAAGATTACCATATTCCATGGTAATATCTTACCATTCTTCCAGGTAAGGAAACAGAGGCACAAAGAAAGTAAGTAGCTCACCCACAGTCACTCATATGAAATGCCAAAGTGGGGACTCAAAAACAAGCATTCTGACTCTTTCATCCATACTTCATCCATGGGGAATGCTGGATCCCAACACACACACATACAGAAACAAGCATGGTGGGATGTGCACTAAGCCATTACTCATATCCATCTCTTGGAAATTTTCTTTTTAATTATCTGTATCTGCTACTGTCTTATTGTCTGTGCATCATAGGTGGAGTAGTGAACAATATGAAGGCTATAGAATTCCAGAGCATCAAATCAAAAAGGCACTTGACAAACCCTAAAATCTAAGACCTTAATTGTAAAAGAAAGAAAGAGGAAGGAAGGAAGGGAGGGAGGGAGGGGAAGAAGGAAGGAAGGAAGGAAGGAAGGAAGGAAGGAAGGAAGGAAAAGAAAGAGAAAGAGAGAAAGAAAAGAAAGAAAGAGGGAGAAAGAAAGAAAAGAAAGAGAATGAAAGAAAAAGAGAAAGAAAGAAGAAAGAGAAAGAAAGGAAGGAAGGAAAGAGAAGGGAGGGAGGGAAGGAAAGAGAGAGAAAGCAAGAAAGAAAAGATAAAGCAAAAGAAAATAAAGGAAAGAAAGGAAGAAAGAAAGAGAAATAAAGAAGGAAATAAACTAGACCAAATGAAGTGAGGTGACACAGATCCTTTATGCAGGCAGTGCCTGCTCTGCTCAAGGAAGCGCTAGGCACAGTAAATGTGTGGTAAACAAGAGCAATCAAAACAACAAGCCAAAGCCATCCTTGGATAGGACTGTCATCCTCCTGGGGAAGAACAGCAATAACAAGTAAAATAAAAGGTAGTGTCAGGTAGATATGAGTCACTGAAAATAACGTAGAGTAAGATATGGATGGTGTTGGGGGCAGCCCAGGTAGGGAGGGTGGTGAGAGAAGCCTCTCTGAGGAGACCATGTTCCAGTGCAAGCCTTGTGAGGAGCCCAAGAAGGGTGTCCACTGGAGTCCCCAGCACAGGGAGGCTCCAGGCAGAAACACATCTGTTGATGAGCAAGCGAGCCAGTGTGGCTGGAGCCCAGTGAAGAGGGGAAAGAGTGGCAGAAAAAGTGGGAGAGTGAGCCAGGGACTGTGTCCTTTAGGATGTGGTAAGAGTAAGAGTTTTGGAGAATGTTCAAAGTGAGGTTTGAAGCAGGAGAGTAATCTAATTTTTTGTTTTAGAAAGAGCATTCTAGCCAGGGGAAGTGACCCATGCCTGTCATTTCAGCACTTTGGGAGGTAGAGGTGGGCGATTGCTTGAGCTCAGGAGTTCAAGACAGCCTGGGCAAGATAGTGAGACTCCATTTTTACAAACAAACAAAAAAATTAGCCAAGCAGGGTGGCACACACCTATAGGCCTAGCTACTCGGGAGGCTGAGGAGAGAGGGTAACTTCAGCCCAAGAGTTTGAGGCTTCAGTGAGCTGTGATCACACCACTGCACTCCAGCCTGGACAACAGAGCGAGACCCTGTCTTTCTAAAATTAAAAAAACAACATTCACTTAATGTAATACTACACAGCAGAAAAAAAAAAGAGCATTTTGGCGGCTGTGTGTAAAGATGATGGTAACATGGACTTTCATGGAATAATGATAAAGATGGTGAGAAGTATTTCAATTTCCTGATGGAAGAAATGAGAAATATTAGAGAAACAGGCATGAAGGGTTTGGGGTCTGAGTAACTGAATATTGGAAGTAGAACTAAAAATCAGACCTAGGTTCTTGACTTTTCAACTAAAGTTTTTGCTACTACTCCATAATGGTAGAAGCCATAAAAATTATTGTCATTTAACTCTAGAGGAAAATAATGATGGAAAAGCTGCAGTTAATAATGACACTTCTGTTTTAAACAAAAAGGTAATAAAACATTAGAGGGATTTTACATTTCCCTACTTTCCTCACTCCACTCCCTTCAGAATTCAGGGTAAAGGGAATTATAACTTAAATGCCATAGAGAGGCAATAACAATTGCATACATAAATTGGAGACTTTGGAATGTATGCTTTTGGCTAAGCAGTGGCTGCCATTTAAAATCCCCTCCTCTCTAGGGTAAGAATGGCAATTTTTTTGGGGGGTGGGTGCAGAAGGGGTTGGTTGTTGTTTTATTATCCTGGCTTGGTAAACTCAGGTTTTGGCAGAAACGTAATGCATCAGCTGTAGTCTGAGTGTTAACAGAACAATCCAGAAAGTGGTTGCTTTCAGATTCCTGAAATAGCTTTTGGGCAGCGTGCTCATTCGAGCTAGACAGAGTTCATTTGTCCACCTTGTCTTCATCTGGCCTTGTCTTCATCTGGCCTTGTCTTTCTTCCCTGCCCTCTGAGATTCTTGTAAGCACAGAAACTGGACTTTTCAGAGCAGATTTGGGAAGAAATTATTATTTCTAGTGAGACATTGCTGCAAGGCCCCATATTAGGGACCTTATGTGAACAAAGCCCCTAGTTCCACTCTCTGGTCCAGAGGTTCCACTTCTATGCAGCTGGCACACAACTCCTACTGGAAAACCATCACTAAGCCAAAAGCATCCAATCTAAGCCCACAATCATTACACGTGTTATAGTGTGAACCTATTACCAATAATAACCTTTTTGAATCTCCATTTCTCATGGCTCCAAGAGTAATGACGATTTTTTTCCAGTTCTTTCTAATGCCACCATTATGAGTGCCATTACTGAGGTAATAGCTGATGGAAAAGAATGGAAGCGTTTTATTTCTCACTTTTCACTCACTCTCCTTGATAAGCGAATATGGGGCTCATTTAAAAGAACGTCGCTATGTGTTAGAGCAGACAATGGGGTTGCCCTCAGTGAACAAGCAAGTCTGGGCATCAGAAAGTCCTCACTAAGGTTCTCTTGCATTTTTTTCATATCACGCTTCTGGGAAGCAGTGAGACTGGGCCAATTTTCTAAGAGGAATAGAATGCAGTTTCTAAGCATCATTCATCAAGTCACTGTTTTTAACAATATTTTGTTTAATCCAGTGAGTCCTAACCTTTGGTGGAGACTGAGGAAGGGAGTGGGTTACCCTGTTAAAAAAGTAGGCCATGTGGTGAAGTGCTTAGAGAGATTATGCAAAGTAAAGCAAACATTAAAAAATAGATGGGAGTGTTACCAGTTGCTACTCTGTTTGTGTGAAACCCACTCTGAATTTCTACTACTGTTAGCTCTGACTCTACTTTCTATTGCTGTCAAGTCTGACTCTTCATAGTTTCTCAGGAAAGGTTCTCACATGGGTGGGATTGAGGGTGATCAGGTTTTTATTCTTTTGAATGGCTGCTGTAGGCCAGCTGCTCTGAAAAAACAGAAGTGCTGGTGGACTTAGGGACAGAAAGAATGAGGAAGAAAATGTTGAGATGGTTTGAAAGTATCTGACTCTGCCCAAAAGGGTGGGCCAGATAGGGAATTACGGCAGAGTTTCTAGATAGCCACAGAGCCACATGAGTGTTATGCAGCAACAGAATGGCTGGGAGGCAAGATTTCCTAGAGATGGATGAGGAGAGTAGTTCTCAAAGAAAGCACAGAGAAAGGCATGAGTTTTAACATAAGATACTTTTTATTAAGAGTCTCGCTCTGTCACCCAGATTGAAGTGCAGTGATGTCATCCTAACTCACTGCAGCCTCGAACTCCTGAGCTCAGGTGATCCTCCCGCCTCAGCCTCCTGAGTAGCTGTGATTACAGGCATGTGCCATCACACCCATGAGATAGAATTTGATCAACTGTTGGTCCTGCTATTTGCTAGCTTTGGGACTTTAAGCAAGTAACTTATTTGTTTTAGAATCCTGAACAGGAACAGAAGTACCTAAGTCATAGAGTTGTTATAAGTATGAAAAGTGTTCATGCTAGAATGCTTAGCACTGGATCTAGCACATGGGAAGCATTTAATAAGTATCACACATCATCATCATCATTGATACTGATAATAGATTTATAGCAACATTACTCTGGGGCCGGACACGAAAGAGGAAGAATCAGAAGGATAGGATTTTTGTACCTAAAATGGAAACAGAAAGCCTAGAAAGAGAAAAGCAAGTCAATGTAAACCATAGGAATGTGCCCACATATATGTAAATGGTAAAAAAATATGGCACTGACCCAAACCTTGGGAAAGATTCTTTTAGTCATCCAGTTCCCGGGGACCTTAGAGTCCCATAGTGAAATAATTTTTAAGTTGATATTTTTGTCTCTTTGATTCTGTTTTCATCCACAAGAATTGAAAGGGAGTGGGACACAAAAAAGTTTGAAGAAGTCTCCAAACATTTGTAAGTTAACATCCCATTATTATTAGAGTCGTGGCTATATTGAAATTTTATTCAATAAAATATACACTCAAAAGGAGAGTGACACCCTGCTTTCTGTTCATCACACAGGGAGAAAAGAAAGCTAAAATTCAGGGAAAGGGCTCAGTGTATTAGAAAGACTGTCAGCTTTGGAAGCCTGGAGAGAGGGATTCCACCAGATACTCTATTACTTTCTAATGATACTCCCTTGAGAAAATTACATTGAATTTCTAAAGCTGAACTTTCTCATCTCCAAAACAGAAGATGATAAAGTAAAGAAAAATAAAGATGTGATATCAATAGCAGATGGAAATAAACCATCAATTAACTTTTCTGGTAGCTTGGAACTGCATGGAGGTGAAACAGGAGGGACAATTCCACAAACGAATTACCTTGGTTTCTCACGGCTGCTGTAAAAAGGACCACACACCTAGTGGTTTAAAAGAACCCACATTTATTCTTTGACAGTTCTGGAGGCCAGAAGTCTGAAATCAGGTTCACTGGGTAAAGCAAAATTGTTGGCAGGGCTGGCTTCTTTGGGGTTGGGGGTCTGGGGAGAACCTGCTTTCTTATTTTGTCTCACTTCTGAAGGCTGCCTGCATTTCTTGGCCATGACCTCTTCCTTGCATCACTCCAACCTCTTTGTTCCATCATTTTATCTTCTGCTTTCTTTTCTGTAACCAAATATTTTTCTGCCTTCCTCTTATGAAGACATTTCGGCCCACCCAGACAATCCAGAAAAATCTGCCCCTCTGAAGATCTGTCATTTAATCACATCTGCATGTTCCTTTTGTGATAGAAGTGAACATTCACGGGCTCCAGGCATTAAGATGTGAACATCTTGAGGGCTACTAGTCAGCCTGCCAAAAGAGCCATTTACCTATTTCTTCACCTGCCTAGTCAAAGGAACACTAGGCAAACACGCAGCCCAGCGATCCAGGATATAGGAATGAGAAGACACATAAATCGTGGGATGAAGAGGGAGATATAGGGCCAATGTTGAGTTCGACTTTAATAAAGATTTTGAGGAGCCTGGATTTGAAAGGCCTAAGATGTGGAGGATGAATATATCATAGAGTAGAAAATGAGGGTTAGCCTCAGTCAGACACACCAGCAGCTGCTCAGAGTGAGCTCTTCATCTCACAAATTGCCTCAGCTCTGAGCCATCTAATCCACATCAGTGACTGACAGCTATGCCCCAAGTAAGGTTATCATGAAAGTAACGCCTCAGCACTGTCTTGAGACAAACATGAGCATAAGTATCGTAACTAATTGATAGTGGAACTGCACTTTCCAGCAGAAGACAACACCATAAAGACTAAGGTTTTTTTACAGACAGACTGTTAAAACAAGACTAGATGAAAACAAGCAAAAAGTACCATATTGTGTGAACTACACTAACATTTTGAATTCCCAACTATTTACTTGATACGGGCTGATAATTTTATTCCTAATTCAATGTCAGATACTCAAATGAGCAGAGCTCTTGAAAGTCAGGTGACTTACTTTGTCAAAATGTAGGCATACTTTGGAGATATTGTGGATTCAGTTCCAGATTACTGCAATAAAGCAAAAATTACAATAAAGCAAGTTACACATTATTTTATTTTCCTAGTAAATATAAAAGTTATATTTGTGCTATACTGTAGCCTAAATATGCAGTAGCATTATATCTATAAACTACATACTTCAAAAATATTTTATTGCTAAAAAATGCTAACAATCATCTGAGCCTTCAATGAGTTGTAAAATATTTTTGCTGGTGGAGGGTCTTGCCTCAATGTTGATTGCTGCTGACTGAATAAGATGGTGCTAGAGTTTTGGGTGGCTGTGGCAATTTCTTAAAATATGACAACAATAAAGTTTACCAATTGACTCTTCCTTTTACAAAAGATTTCTTTGTACATGTGATGCTGTTTGATAGCATTTTACCCACAGTAGAAATTCTTTCAAAATTAAAGCCAATTCTCTTAAACCCTGTCACTGCTTTGTCAACTAAGTTTATGTAATATTCTTTTTTTGATGCACTTCTTATTTATTTATTAATGTTTGAATTTTTTTTTATTTTTATGGATTTAGGGGTACAAGTGTGGTTACGTTAAATAACTATATTGCATAATGGTGAAATCTGGGCTTTTAGTGTACCCATCACCCAAAGAGTGTACATTCTACCCAATAGGGTGGTATTTCATTCCTTACCCTCCTCTCACCCAATTTATGTAATATGCTAAATCCTTTGTCATTTCAACAATGTTCACAGGATTTTTACCAGGAGTGGATTCCATCTCAAGAAAATACTTTCTTTGCTCTTCCATAAAAGCAACTCCTCATCTGTTCAAATTTTATCATGAGATTGCAACAATTCGGTCACATCTTCAGCTTCCACTTTTAATCCTAGTTCTCTTGCTGTTTCCACCACATCTGCAGTTACTTTCTTCACTGAAGTCTTAGACCCCTCCAAGTGATACATGAAGGCTGGAATCAACCTCTTTCAAACTCTTATTATGTCAATATGTTGACCTTTTCCCATGAATCACAAATGTCCTTAATGGCATCTAGAATGTTGAATCCTTTCCAAAAGGTTTTCAGTTTACTTTGCCCAGGTCCATCAGAAGAATCATTATCTATAGCAGCTGTAACTTTATAAAACGTACTTCTTCAATAATAAGACTTGAAAGTTGAAATTGCTTCTTGATTGATGGGCTGCAGAATGGATGCTGTGTTATCGGGTATAAAAGCAACATTAATTTTCTTGTATATCTCCATCAGAGCTCTTGGGTGACTGGGTGTGTTGTCAGTGAACAGTAATATTTTGAAAGGAGTCTTTTTCCTGAGCAGTAGTTCTCAACAATGGCTTTAAAATATTCAGTAAAGCATGCTGTAGACAGATATGCTGTCATGCAGACTTAGTTGCTTCTTTTCAGGAGCACAGACAGAATAAATATATCATAATTCTTAAGAGCCCTAGAATTTTTGCAATGGTAAATGAACGTTGGCTTCAACTTAAAAATCACCGGTTGCGTTGGCCCTGACCAAGATCATCAGCCTGTCCTTTGAAGCCCGGCATTGACTTCTCCTTTCTGGCTATGAAATCCTAGATGGCATCTTTTATTTATTTTTTTAATAGAATGCTGTTTCATCTACATTGAAAATCTCTTGTTTTGTTCAGTCACTTTCATCAGTTATCTTAGATCTGGATAATATGCTGTGGCTTCTCCCTCAGCACTTGTTGCTTCACTTTGCACTTTTATGTTGTATATAGAGAAGACATCTTTCCTTAAATTGATGAACCAACCTCTGCTAGCTTCAAACTTTTCTTGTGATGCTTTCTCAGCTCTCTCAGCCTTCACAGAATTGAAGAGAGTCAGCACCCCTTGCTCCGAATTGTGCTGTAGCTTAAGGAAATGTTCTGGCTGGTTTGATCTTCCATCCAGACCACTACAACTTTCTCCATAGCACCTATAAGGCTGTTACACCTTCTTACTATTGTGTGTTCCCTGGAGTACCACTTTTAAATTCCTCCAAGAACTTTTCCTTTGCATTCAGAACTTGGCAAACTGTGTGGTGCAAGAGGCCTAGCTTTCAGCCTGCCTTGGCTTTTGACATGCCTTGCTCACTAAGCTTAATCATGTCTAGCTTTTGATTTAAAGTGAGAGATGTGTGGCTCTTCCTTCACTTGAACACCTAGAGGCCATTTGAAGGGATATTAATTGGCCTAATTTCAATATAGTTGTGTCTCAGAGAACAAGATGGCCCAAAGAGAGGGAGAGAGACAGAACACAGCTGGTCAATGGAGCAGTCAGAACACATACAACATTGATTAATTAAATTTGTCATCTTACATGTGTGAGGTTTGTGGTGCCCCAAAATAATTATGATAGTAACATAAAAGACCACTGATCACAGATCACTATAACAGATATAATCATTATGAAAATATTTGAAATATTGTGAGAATTACCGATATGTGACACATAGCCACAAAGTGGGCACATGCTGGTGGAATGTAGCACTAGTAGAATTGCAAGCACTAGTAGAATTGCACTAGTGGAATGCAGCACTAGTAGAATGTAGCACCAGTAGAATTGCAAGATGCAGGCTGGGTGTGGTGGCTCACACCTGCAATCCCAGCAGTTTGGGAGCCCGAGGTGGGCGGATCACCTGAGGTCAGGAGTTCAAGACCAGCCTGGCCACCATGGCGAAACCCTGTCTCTACTAAAAATACAAAATTGAGCCAGGCATAGTGGCTTGCACCTGTAATCCCAGCTACTCGGGAGGCTGAGGCAGGAGAATCGCTTGAACCCAGGAGGCAGAGGTTGCAGTGAGCCAAGATCATGCCATTGCACTCCAGCCTGGGTGACAGGAGCAAGACTCCATTTCCAAAAAAAAAAAAAAAAAAAAAAAAAAAAGAATTGCAAGATGCAGGATTGCCATGCACCATCAATTTGTAAAAAAAAAAAATGCATTTTCTGTGAAGTGAAGTAAAACAAGTCATGCTTATGTAATTCCTGGAGTTCAGTTCTTTTGTTCTGTGATCTTCCATTTTGATTGGGATTCAAAGTTTTCTTTTTGTGTTTTTTTTTTTTTTGTAAATATTCTTATTTCTACTTGAGTAAGTGACTGGCCTACTTATCTAATGAGCTACATAACTTTGGGAAAGTCTTTAAACTTCTCTGGGTTCCAGTTACACTTTTCACAAAGCAATGGGGCACATAAAATGGTCTCTTTAGTCAGTGGTCCCAATCGTTATTCACCTCACAACTCACATAGAACAAAATATTGTAATGGCTTGTTGGAGTCAACAGATGCGACAATCCAACGCCTGTGCTTCCTGGCCCAGGAGCTCTGCTGTCCAAAGCCCTATATGTTGCCCCAAAGGCTAAGAGGATCAATATATCTGCACATTTATAGTCCTCTGTAAGACGAGGCACACAGAGGGTAGCCCTGAGTAAAAGAATTAAAAGTCTGTGGGATGGCAGTTTGGTAATATCCTAAACAGATAATCTTTCTTAGCTTTGAAACTTTCTACTTCCTTAAATTACGTCATCACCAAAGTCATCAGTTATATGTACAGAAAGAGACATATTAGGCACCTTGATACTTTTTTCCTTTTGCTTTTTACCTCTTTCTATGCCTCATCCCAACAGACCTATTCTGTAATTCATTTGCTTAATATTTATGTTGCTGGTCTCCTAAGCTTATTGTTTTGCTTTGCTTTTTTCTTTTATAACTGAATGTTTTGGGATTCATGTCATTGTCAAAATGCAAGCCATCCAAACAAAGTGAAAGGGAAAACTAAAACACCCCCAATTTAACTACCTCCTCTTCACATTTTAGGGAAATCCTTCCAGGCTTTTCTCTATGCTAATAGCGTATTTGCATTCTATTTTTTATATATGAGTTTATCTTTACTCATCCTTGCTACTAAGTGATCTGTTGTAGATGGACATTCATCTTCACTTTTAATGACGGAAGAGAATTACTTTGTATATGTTATGTTGTTGAACATTTAGATAATTTATTTTCCCTACTTCAAAACAATATTTCAGATAAGCATTTTTGTGCATTTTTTTAGTCTTTTGCAGTTAGTAGTGAAATTACAGATACAAAAGTCATGGCCCATTTATGTTTTGATAGATGTTGACTGAGCCTGCTCCCAAGGATGCATGAGCACATCCTCTTGATGTTTTCTCTATTTTCCTAACATCATACTCCTGCCTAACACCCACAGCTGCCAAGAACTATCCAGCCCTACACTTCAGTTGTAGTGTTACTGCTTCAGGGAAACCTTTCTTACCTTGCTCAGAAATTTACTATTTTCTTCTTGTGTTCTCTGACAGACCCTTCTACATACCTGTAATATGGCATTTATTAAATGCATACAACATATTCTGCATGTCTGTCTCATCCACAGCTGTTGGCCCTAAAGCACAGAGATCATAGGAGGCCATATACGGAACACCACAGTAATATCTTGAGCTCTGGTTTCAATTGTCTGGACTCAAATATTTGCTCTTTCACTTAATAGCTGTGTACTGTTGAGCAAGCTATTTACTCTCCTCAACTTTTTATTTCCTCATCTGTAAAACAGAGCTAGATATAGTGCCTACTTCATAGGATAGGTGTGAGAACTTCAATGAGATAATGTACAAAGTACTTAGACTCCGTGACAAAAATGGAGAAGTAAACAAATTTCATTGAATATTCATTTGGTGCCAAGCACTATGTTGATACATAACTGATGCCCACTGTATTTTAGATGAATGAAGAGCTCCGAAATCCTAATTATTTGGACCTATGCTTTTTCAGTCAGCATACTCAAGTTGTAAACCATGCAATTTGTGTATAGTGATGTTTTTACCAGGGCTGATTGTATGTACACATACACACAGGGCATTTATCATTGCCTCTTTTCCCTATTACCTTTCTGCTAGATCTCTGGTCATTGAGGGTTTGCACTCACCCCCTGATTATTCATTGTTTTATTCATACACCTCCCCTGTAGTATTTTGTTCTTCATATGGGGCCTGTTCCAGAACAAGGAAGGAAATAATTGTTCATTGGAAAGAAGGAAGAGAGAACAAGAGCTCAAATCTATTAAGTTGTTTAGCTTGACTGTTAAGTTGCAAAGAAGGACAACTACAGCAGCAAGGTCCTTTTAATTTTCTTGTTCTTAGCACTTTATTTCAAAGCAGCATGATGCTCAATCTCTCTAGTTGAGTTAACCACAGTAAAAACTAACAGTTATCTCCTAGGCATATTACCTCTTGAGTTAAGCTATGCTTTTCTTACCCTTTTCCCCAGTAAGACTTGAACATTTGGCGCCTCTTTCTCCACTATCTGCTACTGTACCTTGTGGTAACTCAGAGACTTGACCCTATTGGGAACTTCCAGTCTACTTGGAGGTCCTCTGTTGACTTTCCTCCACCTGTCCCTAACACCCACTCAAATTTCTGCCTCCCTTCTAAAATTTAAAGCACACAGATTGTTTGTTTGTTTGTTTATTTCCTTGTATTTTGAGTTTTTACATGTGGTTCGTATCTGCCCACTGGATGTGAGCTTCCTGAGACAAGAGAGAAACACCACATCTTACTCACATTTTATTTTTCTACGTGATTAGCGAAGTTACTAGAATATGGCAAGAGTTCTCCCCAAAATGTAAGCTATTTTATGTAGGTATTGCCTACCATAATAATAGAAGCTAACAACTTTTGAGTGCTTTTTATGTAAACGATGATGTTAAAGACTTTACATATATATCCTTTCTATTCTTCTCAGTTCTCTGACTCAGTTGCTATTATTATTCTCACATTCTCTTTATTGCAGAAAAGAACCTAGGCACAGAGAGATTCGGTTAATTTGCCTAATGTCACACAGCTGCTAACAGGTAAAGACAGTGTTTGAGCCAAGTCATTATGACTCTGGAGACTGAGTTTTAGCAGAAATAGAACGTTGCTGACCAGAGGGGATGTGTCTTTGGGGAAAGTGCATGAAGGTTAAACAAGACACCTGCATCAGGAAATAAAGTATAGCTCTCCTGCAGAGAGCTTAATCCAGAGGGACTACCCCAGCTTAAAGGGGGCAAACAAGCCAAAAAGTGTTCTTCCAAAAGGATGGTGTCTTGCTTGGTATCCCATACTTGTCTTGTTTGGCTTCTAGAATTCACATCACCTAGGAGTTAGTGTGCCGCATCAATAACCTCTAAATGCAGATGCTTTTAAAAATGTCAGTACAAATCACAGCTGTTACATTTATGGAGAGTGCAAAAGAATCACTGCACTTTATATACAAATAAGAAGTAACAAAATTTATTTCTATTGTTCTCTTTATTGACTAATGAATAGAATGATGAAATGATACCTGTAGGCATCCAAAAGGCCACCACCACATCGAAACTGATCTTGAGACCTACTGCTTTCACCTGTACACAGCTTAAGTCTATAGTCATAACCCACATTTTATTTTAGAAAAAAGGCGAGAAGACAGTGAAATATCACTGCTGCTGATTTTAGGAAACATGGTATTATTAGTTGTTATTTGGGAGGATTTAATCCCAAATTGTAGCCTTATCAAGATACTTTACAAGTGAGTGGTTGGCGGACTCCCCAAGGGCTCTGCACCTATGACATGAAACATGGTAGCAGATATGATAGAAATTAGCCAGCCCAGACTCAAGAACCACTCCATCAGTACATATGTATTCATGAACATATGAACATATGAACATATGAACATAGAACAGGGCTGGGCACTGCATTAATTAACGAAGTCTGTGAGCCAAGTGCTAGAGTGTTGGCCCACGTGCTTTGCACTATTAATTCAAGAAGGCATTTAGGAATTATTGAGTGGCAGATATCATGCCAGGCATTTACGCTCACAATAACCTTATTGGGTGAGTATGTTTTTAATCTCTGTTTTGCTAATGAGGGATTGAGACTTTGTATCCTTCATGGTTTGGTCAAGAAAACCAAAGACTCTCCAACTAGCCCAAGTAAAACTCTTTTTATACAGGAACTAGAGGCTTGCACGATTGTTGGGATCTCTTCCTGGATAAGGGAACTGAAAATCAGAGAAGCTTCTAGTGGAATTCCAAAATCAAGAAACCTGTGCACAGGATCTCATCACCTGTGGCACTAAAGCAGGAATTAAAGGTGTTCGTCCAGGGAAAGATTCACACAACAACAATCACAAGAAAGAGCAGTCAGGGATTTTCACTCTCTGTGTCACCTGTGTGGGTACTTCTCCAGGTACCCTAGGTCATGGTTATGACATTCTTATCTGCCCATGTTTCTGCCTGCAACCACCACCAGAGAAGAAGTGCTCTCCTTCTCATCCAATGTTTAAATCTCACAAACATAATGGAATCGATCTTAGGACCATATAGGGAAAATGTTTCTGGGTATTGTTGTTACAGATTTTCCCCCTTCTATACAGAAGACAATGTAAAAGGGGCTGGTAATGATTCTAAATTGACAACAGAACATGAGAAATGTGCTGGTAAATGTGATGAAGCTTGTCCAACAGCATACAAGTCATTAGTAGCAGGAGTGTCAGGAATGGAACCCACAATGGTCTCACTCCAATGTGTATTCCACTGAATGATTGACATATATTACAAGAAATACAATATAGGAAATATTATATTACTAATATAATACAAGAACATTAGCCTAGGTAGCCATGAAAATCTTCAAAGAATAGAAATAATTTGAGTTGGTCAGTAGAGTTCTTTCTCCCTTTCTTTCCTTCCTCCTTCCTTCCTCCCTCCCTTCTTCCTTCCTTCCTTCCTCCTTCCTTCCTTCCTTCCTTCCTTTCTTTCTTTCTTTCTTTCTTTCTTTCTTTCTTTCTTTCTTTTCTTTCTTTTTCTTTCTTTTGACAGGATTTTGCTCTATTGCCAAGACTGGGGTACACTGGCACAATCATAGCTCACTGTAACCCCCAACTCCTGGTCTCAAGCAATCCTCCTGCCTCAGTCTCCCAAGTAGCTAGGACTATAGGTGCATACACCTAGCTAATTTTATTTTTGTAGAGATGGGGTCTCACTATGTCACCCAGGCTGGTCTTGAACTTCTGGGCTCAAGCAGTTCTCCAACTTTGGCCTCTCAAAGCACCGAGATTACAGGTATGAGCCACCTTGTCTGGCCTCAGTGGGGTTCTAACGGGTAGATGGGAGCACTGTGAATATGCCAAAAGCTTGAAATGACCTGAGCAATCAGAGAGGAGTGTTGGTGCATAACAAATCAATCTGAAGGACTGTAAATCCGAAAGTGCATTTTTGTCACTTCTTGTCTCTGCCTCCAATTCCCGGCCTACCCTGGGCAGTGAATGAATAATTGCCGAAAATAATGACAATGACCTGTAATCAGCCATGTTTAGAAGCATCTGGATCCCTTCAGGCAGTGACAGTGGACTGAAAGGGCACATGTTACGCTCCTGCCTTCTCTTATCCCTGGCCAAAAAACAAGGTGAGCCGGGGAAAAAGTCCAGGACCAGCGTAAGTTAATGAGTTGCTTCTAATCTCAAAAATTTGTTATTGTGAGGCTGGGGTATTTTGCTCTTTTTTTTTCACACTGGGTTTTTTTTTTAATCCTATATCTACATAAATATGACAAGAAAGAAGAGGAAGGAAACAAAATGATAAGCAATCCAGATATTTAGATGTAAATATGAAACCCACACTTGTTCTGCATTCAAGAGATACAGGATTTGACAATCATTACTTTGAAAACAGCTTTAGCTTGCTGCGGATTTTTTCTCTTCTCTGCCCATTTCCAGCGACAGAGCCATCATGAAGAAGGATGTTCGAAGGCATCACATCTATAACCTTTGCCAAAGGCACACACAATCTTTGGAAGGAAGACTTTTATTTTCCCTGTCACCTTTAATGCTGGATATACCAGCTGAAAGCTGAATTCCAAGTATAAGGTCACTGCACGGAGGCTTCCTAAAGACATAGAGCTTGAAAAGAAATCTTTTCTGAATGTCACTCTCATTTCAGCTCACATTTTCCTGATACAGCACAGATGTACTAATTGGCCTTGCTGTCGACAGAAATAAACAAAACAAAACATTATTTGCCAACATCCCCCATAGAGGCATTCATGCCCATAATAAGCACAGGTCTCAGTTCAGGGTAATTAATTAAGATACACACAGGAAATGTCTAATGCACAATTTCCTTGTTCACATATTGTATGAATGGCCATGTTCATTCTTTAGAAAAGAATACTGCGCATTTTGTCTTACTTGAGGTTTTGAAAGAGCCTCTTAGAGATCAAAGTATAGGAATCAGTTGGTGAAAGTTTATATTTTTCTCCACACTTTGAGAATTTTGCTTTTTATTATTTTATAATTTACATTTCACAACACTCCCTTAAATAATGCCCACTCTCCTCTTGCAGTAATCATAACAAGGCCTGCTGTCTTAAACTGGTGGCCTACTGACCACATCTATCTGACAGATGGGTCTCAGAATTTTAAGCAAAAATAGCAAATTGGCTTCTTGCAACTAAAAATTTCACCAAAATTCAGATGATTTGCAATAATAGTAGGCCTCTGTCCTTGCATAGAAACTGGCTGAAATTAAGTCACTTCCACTTCCCTTTAATGAAGCAGACCCTTCAATATAGCATCTTCTTAGCCCTGTTCACCTTCCTGTGTTACTCACAGTGTAGCTCACAGAGCCGCAGGTCAGCATCCCCTGGAAGTTTATTACAAATGCAAATTCAGGGCGGGGTGCCGTGGCTCACGCCTGTAATCCTAGCACTTTGGGAGGCCGAGGCAGATGGATCATGAGGTCAGGAGATTGAGACCATCCTGGCCAACATGGTGAAACCCCGTCTCTATTAAAAATACAAAAATTAGCTGGGTGTGGTGGTGCACACCTGTAGTCCCCACTACTCGGGAGGCTGAGGCAGGAGAATTGCTTGAACCTGGGAGGAGGAGGTTGCAATGAGCCGAGATCATGCCACTGCACCCTATGCTGGCAACAAAGCGAGACTCCGTCACCCCCACCAAAAAAAAGAAAAAAAAAAAAAAAGAAAAAAAGAAATGCAAATTCACTGGCCCCACTCCAAACAATTCAATCAGAATATCCAGGGAAGAGGCCCAGCAATCTGAGTTTTAATAAGATCCCAGGTGATTCATATGAATATTAGAGTTTGACAAATCCTGCTCTCTACTAATTCACTTACCTGCCCAACTTTGCTTGACATTTAGATTTATGCCACTAACCTGGGCCCAGCAAACACTGTTATTTCCCTAGGTTTCCATTACCTTAGGAATCTCATGAGAAGAGCAAAACCAAAAACACTAGTCTTTATCTACAGTAGGTTAATTATAATTGATGCAATTTTCTTTTCCCCAGCCTGGATTATATTGCAAGCACCCAGTTGCTTTGCGACTTGCCAGAAAATGTGGACTTAGTGATAGTGGGTGAGTAAAAGCTATTGACACCTTTGGTTATTAGTCAGTGAGGTATCCCTGATTTGTTTTGCTTTGCAGGATCACTGAAAACTGCCAGATTTATTTCTTTGTTTTCTGGAGCTCAGTTATTTTGCCACTCAGATTTTATCTCCTCCCCAAGGGCAGCAAACTGGCTTCAGGCTACAGCAAAAAAGAAGGCAAAGCAGAGTGGTCTTGTGTCTTCCCCAACCATGTTTAATCGCACAAGGTCCTCTGGCTAGAGCCATGTCCCTACACTACAGTATAAAATTAGACCTCTCCCAGCAGTGGCAGAAGCTTAGTGTCCTTCAATCACCATTCAAAGCTAGATCTTCTCTGCCCTAAAAAAGCAGTTTTAAATGGCAGCCCCACTGAGTAACATCATAGCTGATAATAGCTCTGTTAGATGCTATGTAAAGCATCTTGGCCAAACTCTTCATTACCATTTGAAAACATCAGATGCTTTAGAATTGCTTCAGGTCTTTAAAAATCCCAGCTTCTACTCCTGGCAGGACTAAGAGATTCAGTAAGCCGGAGTCATGCCTCAGCCCAGAGATTCAAAATCACTATGCCATGTAATGGTAGTTCACATCTCTCTTTAGATCACCCAAAGCTGAATAGTCTAATTGTTCATGCTCAATTTATTTGTGCTCTCAGTTGCATTCACATGGGCAGCGTGGACAGTCTAAAGGGGGAGCAGAGTGTAAAAAGCATTCAAAATAGCAACTGGTAGTTACAGTAATTGAGGAATCAGCCTCGAGGTTAAGGTATTGATTCATTTTGATAATATTACATATGCTGTGAAATTTTCTGATAGTTAAACCATCACTGATATCTACTGAGGTAATAATACACACTTAATAATGTTTCACTCAACACCACAGATTTGAAAATGCATTTCAAAATTGCACTTTCTAGCTCCGCCATAAATTAGCATACAGGATTCTGTGGACACTGGCATCAGCTCAGAATTTCACAATTTTAGAAAACATTACCCCAGCTTCAGCAGAGCCGGTGAGGTTTTCCTATCAATAACTTCAGAATGAAAAAAAAAAAAAAATCTGCCTCCTTGTCTCTTTGCATCCAAATGGAACTTAAAATACAGTCACTCTTCTCAGGATCCAGGCCAGAACTGCCACCGTCATCTCTGTGCTTGACAGTAAAAGAAACACAGGAAAACCACAGGGTGCCTCTAGGTACTCAGCACTGGAAATTGGCTTTGCTAATAAAGAGAAAGTATCACCTACAGCAGCTACTGGTATTTGTCCCTAAATGAGTGAGGATACTCGCCTCCTGGGACCGCTGGGGAGGGATGCTGCAAAGGACTCAGACTTGGAGGAAAAGCAACTGAGAATATATTCTCTGAGGCTCTATCTTGAAATGTTTGTCAGCACAACTGAGAGTCCGTCTTAGAGCACAGGGGCTTCAGAGAGCAAATGAAAATGGTGTCTAACTTGTGTTAGGTGGAGTCCAAACTGTTTACTCCAGCATTCAATGCCTACCAGTTCTGGTCTCTCCCTCTAACTTTGTCTCCTATGGCTCTGCAGCAAGGACCATGTGACCTACCCATCTCCTAGGGACAAACTGTGCCTGTCTGCCTATCTGTCTGCAGAGCATACTCACAGACTCAGCCCCTACCTGGAGTTCTCCCACTTTGTTTATGCATCTGAGGCTTTCCTTTCTTTTTAAGACTAACTCTGTCCCATGTTCCTTCTCCAGAAATCTTTTCCTACAGCCCCAGGCCTCCCTCCTTCCTTTCATCCCTCTGCTGAGCTGGATCACACGGGCGTATGGTGGGTCCTACGTAGTCAGTCGCCTTGCTCTCCTTTGCAGGATACATACTCAGTGAGCACTTGTTCTGGAGGAGACGTACCTTTTACTTCTATTATTTGTTCTTGTTGTTTATGTGGCAGGTGGAAGACCTCTGCATATCATACACTGGCTTGGCACTTTTACTCACCATTTTGAAGGCAGCAACATTTCTTCTCACTAATATTACTAAAAACCATGAATACAGGGAGGGGAGTGGGAGGCAGGTGGTATGTGTAATACAGTTCTCCTGGGACTTAGCAATATGTATGCAGTGGAGGGTGGGGAGAGCTCAGCCGTCTGAGTTGGTGCAAGCTTAATAAATCAGGGAGCTGAGAATAAATCAGGGAGTGTTTGGAGAACTCCACCAAACATTCATCCGTCTGAATATGATCTAAGCCAGGCCAAGGAGGGTAAGGGAGCTTATTCACAAAAGCAAGCTTAAAATCTCCATGTTTTGAATAAATTCCAGCATTGATTATTTATTAATTCCACAAATATTTGTTGAGCATTTATTCTATGAAAAGAGCTGTTCTGAATGCAGGAGTTGGGGTAATTCGCAAGGCAAACACTTTCCCTGTCCTCATATACCATGCATACCAGTAGCAACGATACTCCATAAGGGTGGTAGAGGGATTCAGTTTCTTCTCTGTCTCTAGGATTTAGGTTTGGAGATGGGTTTTACAGGATGCATAGGAGTCTTTCAGGAGAGAACAGCATACACAAAAGCATAAAATTTTAAAGCCATGTGGCTTAATTGGGAAAATGCAAATAGAGTTCAAAGACAAGAGCAGATGCTGGAATGGCCAGGACCCTTTTCATAGAGAGCCTCAAATTCCCACTAAGCCAGAGCACTTAGAATCACAGTAATAACAGGAATATAAAGTTGTTGTAGCCTTTTTCTTCTCCTCTGAATTAAAGCACAAAATAAATTTTAAAATAATCTTATTCTTCTTCAATGTCCACTCTGGCTTCAGAGGTAGCAGATAGTAGGTTGTATACGTTGAAAAAGCACAGAGATCTCATAGCTCCTCTTTTTTCTGGATCACTTTCCAGGTCTCCTTCAGGGTCCAGTACATAGTAATAAGGTTTTTGCCAGATTATCTAAAAGTAGACACAGCTGATGCGTAGAAAGGAAGAAAAAAGAATAATCAAATGCCCCAGCAGCTCATACCCACTTTACTGTGATGCTCTCCCCTTCCTAATGGGGAGACCTTAGCTGGAGAAGTGGCTCCCACATTTCCTCTGATCACCATCAGTACATCTTTATGTTCTGGATAAAATACATCCTTTATCTCATTAAATTCATGTGCTCAATGGTTATTAAAATGGTGCACCAATACAGTAACTTTGTTTGAGGTAGTGTGCTGGGTAAATATTTTATTTTCTGATGAGTGCTTGAGTTTTATTTGCCAGCATTAAAACTGGGGCAGAGTGACTGGAGATACGAATAGAGATATTTACCAGCACAAGGAGATGATACACAGATGTTAATGAAAGCTCTGGGGGTAGTTTTCTGGGCTGTTGAATGTAATTTCTCACATCGCCAAATGGCTGTAATAGGGAAACACCCTGAAAAGAATTCTCTAATGTTTGTGCATATGCAGCAGAGGATCATTGGGAAGTTAATGTGCTATGCAAGACAGATATTCATTCATTCATTCATTTGGTATGGTGTAAGGCGTGGAACTGAACACTGGATCTTTTGTGCCTCTCTGTCTGTCCATTTGGTTTCCTTACCCCAAATCTCCATTTCTGCCAAGTTAGCTTCCCTTTGAAGGTCAAGGCTAAAGCTCTTATTTTACCTCCTCTTAGCACCTTTCCAAACCTCCTGGACTGACTCATCTCCACTCATAGAGAACCATAAACACACTTCTGTTAGAATAATTTGCACATTTATTAACTCTTTGTTTATGTCCTTGTGTAGTTCACTGGATTATGGTTGCTTAAAAGCAGAAAGCATGCTTATTCTTCATTGTATTTACTCCATAACCCCTTTCCAATGTGCCCTGTATTTAGCAAAGAGATCACCATGTGTTAAACTACCCTCTCATTATTCCTGGTACCAAATATGTGTTTATTGGATGAAAAATCAGTCAGCGAGGCAGGAGATCTTGGCTGACTCTACAAAAGACACCTGACCTTTTCTGTACTTTTTAAGAGCTTTATGGGCTAGCAGTCATTTATGTGTTCACTCATTTTATAAGCATTTAATATGTCCTTAACATGAGCAGAACACTAGGAAGATGCAAGCATCTACTCTCAAACTCCCTGGAATCCTGGAGGAAGTAGTAGGAGCCATTGCCAAACAAATATAAATGTATGTTGTTGAAACTGTAGCTAGAAAATTTTGAGAAAATACAAAGTAAGGTCATGATCAAGACAGTATAATTTTGCTTCTAACTTCTTAGGACTACCTATGATTCTAGAAAATGGTTAGTTGTTCCTTGCAGATGCAAGACACAGAATATATAATGTACAGCTATTGACCTTTGTCCATTCCCAAATCCAAATTCCGGCACCAAGATGATAATTTTTGTATGGAGGAGAACCTAGCCCAGCAAAATCTCAATTGTTCACTTGATGCTGAAGATAAGACTCCAGCCAATGATCTGATCCTAATCAGTAGCCAGATCTATACCTCTGAGACTCATGCATCTGTTTGTGTATTTACCTGGGACACTTCTTTAATATAAACCATATTTCCTCCACCCAGTGCACATTAGATGGGTTCAGTCTTCTGGAAACTTCCTGTGCCCGAGAATGGAAGTCTCTTACAATAAAGATTGCAGCTCTTGTCTCCATAAAGAGCCTCGTGCACTGTGTCGATCCTCTCCATTTCTAGATACTGTTCATTACACATGCCACGTAGTCTCTTGAAATGATTTGGTACAAACACCATGGCTATTATCTAAAAAGGAAAAGAGAACACAGTAATTGATAACACAACCCTAAGAAAATTAATTATCCCCCTTTCTGATTTTCACTTAGAGCAAAGTACACAGTAACATTGCAGTCTATCCGCTGCCCCAACCTACTCCAGCAACTCTTTACTGAATGAGCAATTAGATGAACTATATATTGCATGCCAAGCAAACCCTGCCATGATAAAAGAACTTGTTTCATGTTATCTTTTCTTTTGTATGCCAAAGATTAGAAAATACAAATTCAAGTGACTGAATTATCTGCAATACAAATTGCTGATATTTTTTTAATGTGCCCTTGACTGCATACAAGAAGGAGAAGTGTAAAGAGGCTAGAAATGAGTGCCTTATCACAAAAACCCATCTGTGTGTTTCATGCAAGAAAAATAAGATGACATGATTTTGAAAATAGACTGATGAGAGGCCTAGACTTAATTTGGGGTTTGAAAGTAGAGAAAATGTCAAATCATCTCTAACAAAGGTCGACCGAAAGAGCAAGCATGCAGAAATGCCTGCCTTCTGGCTTTCTCAAGGGAGAGTCTTCATCATTGTAATCTGCTTGGATTCTTGGGGGAAAAAAATAGAAGAAGAACAATACTGGATCAAAGCAATGGGTGCTCTGTGACAGGAATGCACTTCCAGACCGAAATGTGTAACTATCTCTGCCACTTTGTTTTGCTTTTGCATATATTGAGACAGAAATGCCCGGAAGACCAGCCTTTGGAACAGTCTAAACAAGTATAAAAAGGATGTCCATCCTTTCATTTTTCTCATAGTCTCTTCAGTTGGGAAAGTCCTTATCTTCAACACCATGCATAGCATCCCCGCCTGCTCCCTGCCACCTAGAAGCCCAAACATGATTTTGGTATGTCACATGTAGGTCGGCTCTGTCCTCATTCCTCACCATCTCATAAGGTCCTCAGCTCTCTTTTGCTGTATTTGTCATTTTCTTATTTTATTCCCTTATCCCTCTATCTAGTTCCCTTATCCCTCCATCTGACTTTTCAACTAGTTTTTTGCTCCTATCAAACCACCTTAGCAATAGCCCTTGAAATGATATGTTAAAGTTATAGTTTAAATATCATAATTTAATGATAATCTTTGAATGATAAGGACCTCCTTTTTCTGCTATTACTACTTAAAGTCATGCCTAATATTCCGAATGTTAATCATTTTGCAATTCTTGCAAAATTTAATGCAAGAGAGGTTGCAAACTTTTGGTGTATGGAAGTGAGAGAATGAATAAGTGGTTTGGCACGGTTTAATTTTGACTGTGGAGTAAAGAGAAGAACCACTCAATCTCTGGAAAACAAAGATTATCATGTGTGATGAAGAATTAATATTAGGGGACAGATATAACACCTTATATATTACTTACTTTAGTCCTTACATATTTTGTAAATGAGGAAAGTTCAGAGACAGGACCAGTAATTTGCCCAAGAGCATATTTGTAGCAAATGGCCGAACCAGGATTCAAATTATTTGTCTGCATTGTTGATAGATGTCTATATAATATGAATTCAGTAGGAAAGGAGGAAGGGTAAGAAAGGGGGTTCAAAAGGAATTCATGCCCCATCTGTATACATCCCCTACAAACTCTCCAAAAAGACTTGAAATTCCAGAATAGAAGTTTCAATTCCTTTGGTTAAAATATTGTTCTGTTAAGAAGCAAATAAAAGCGATGTGGGAAAGATTAACTTTCAGCTCTCTGTCATTGTCACATTCATGACAGTTACCTTTGGAACTCTTCCTGAAAGTTGACTTTAATAATCAAAAGAGCCAGTGTGCCAGAAAGAGCTAGTACCCTATATAAACAGCCTCAGGCTTAGGGCTGAGGTGGGATCTGCTTTAGTATTTTGGTCCTGGCACTGTGTAATGTATGCCTTTCCTAGATGTTCCAAAGGAAGTGGCCATAACTTAAGAAAATCTAATTTGAAAAAGAATTAGAGAAGGATAATCATTGAAACACCTCTGCCCTGATTCAGTATATAATTTAACACTAATTTTCCACTCCTAAGGAGATGTTTATGCCATCTGTTTCGTGCTGTCTACACAGCCAGCTTCACAGTAGTTTATTCTTGGTCTCTTTGAATATACTGCATTTCTTGAGGGTTATTAACAAAAAGGCTTTTTGCTTTCAGATATGGCTCCTGGTTCATAACAATTCAAGAGCAAACAGATTGATGCTATAGAGTTTAAAGAGGTGCCCATCCTAGAACCAAACAAGGACCAACCAAAGATCATAAAGAAGGTCTACAGATTTTAAATAGCTGTTCTTGGAAATAAAAAGAAAAAAAAAAACAGAGGAAGGGAGGAAAGAAAGAAGGGAAGAAAGGAGGGAAGGGAGCAAGGGAGGGAGGCGGGAAGGAAAGGAAAAGTTTATCTTAAAACTCTGTCTTTTGTTCTATACATGGTCTTTGCCAGCCTATTTCTAGAGACTTCAAACAATACTATCTACATAGCCCATATAACTGAGCTGAGCTGAAAGCTACCTCAAGCTCCATGTTTTTTGTTTGTTTGTTTTGTTTTGTTTTTGAGATGAAATCTCACTCTTGTCACCCAGGCTAGAGTGCAATGACGCGATCTCAGCTCACTGCAACCTCCGCCTCGCGGGTTCAAACGATTCTCCTGCCTCGGCTTCCCAGTAGCTGGGATTACAGGTGCCTGCCACCACGCCTGGCTAATTTTTGTATTTTTAGTAGAGACGGGATTTCACCATGTTGTCCAGGCTGGTCTCGAACTCCTGACCTCAGGCTATCTGCCTGCCTTGGCCTCCCAAGGTGCTGGGATTACAGGCATGAGCCACCATGCCCGGCGAAGCTCCATGTTTTTATTGGGAGCTTTTATTTTCTTGTGTACTATCATCAACTTAATGACACAAACAAAATTTGCTCCCCAATACCAAAGCAGTGGGTTTTGTCTTTGTTAGACCTCTAATACCCCAAACTTATTTCCAACTTGGCTGTTGCCTGCAAAGAAACAGAGAAGAGTTAAACATAATGAATGACCAATAAATGTCAACTATGATGATGATGATTGATAATGATAATGATGATTGAGATCATTTTTGCTAATGAATATTTAAAAGACATAATTTATATCATGTGACTGTTGTAATTTCCATTTCTGCATGTACCTTTTTGTCTACTTAATTTTAAAGTCATTGCACAAGTATGCATTTGGGTACATACACATAGTCTACAGTTTTGAAATTTTTCATTTAATATGATCCAAGGAACCTAAAATTTGTCATTTAAAAAATTTCCATTTGTCATTTCTACTTTTCTACCCCCAGGAGAGAAGTAAATAATGCTTCTTTAAAGATAGTATTCCCCAACTCACTCATAACTCACCCAGGGCTCCTTCCATTGCAACCCAAAAGCCTCCCAGAATAGCACTGCTCTCATTCTTGGGAACCTCAAACCTATGAGGATGATGGACAGAATTTTAGTTCTCCATCCTCGGAGAGTTGGCAGAAACCACATTCCTGTAACAAGTCAGAGCCTCAGAGAAGAACAGCATTCTCAATACTTAGTCTCAATACTCAATACTTGGTCAGCTTGTGTTGACTTAAGGGTCTGGGAGTATGCTTGGGGAACTTCATGTCCTCTTTTTAAGAAAAAGGTATTATTTGGAGCTATTAAGTAGTTTCAGAACACAAATTATAAAAGTCATCTACCCTATGTGTTGCATTGGTTTTTTTTTTGTTTTTTTGTTTGTTTGTTTGTTTTTTAGTATTTGCAAAAGTCAATAGGGAAACATACCAAACAAGGTACCTCACATCTTTCTCTGTATCTACAGATCTTCTTATTATGGTGTACATGACAGACACCTACTACATTATGTCCAATAATCAATTAATGAGATGCTATCCCTAAGAAATCTCATGAGCTAGTGACATCAGATGTTCAAGAGGGATAGAAAGATAAATAAAGGTATGTTTGTGGTGAACATGGACTTCGAACCCATTGCCAAATCTTCAGAGTGAGTGAAAATGGAGTTTATTGAGAAAAAGAGTTCATGCACTTTAGACGCTTGGATCCATGTAGCATCCTATAAATCAGAACAGTGGTGGGATTTTAAGTTAATTAGGGCATGATCAAGAGTACTCAAAGAAAGTTTACAAAGACCACCTGCTTGAGGTGCATATGATAAATCTGGGAAAATCCTCCCAGTAGAGGGGGCTATAGGCTTATCAGTTGTACCTGTCACAACATGCAAACAGGGCAAATCTGAAGATTCCATTTATCTGTATATCCCTAGGACATTCTTGCTATAGCAAGATACATATCAAATATATCTATCCTATATCAAATACACACATATCTATTTAACTATTCATCTACTTATCAATATTTTTATCATCATCATCACAATATAGAAATTGGGGCTTGGGTGTGGAGAGTAAACAAAAGGAAGGTTGTATTTAACTCCAGGAAATGATAAGGGGGAAAAGTAAGGAACTGGAAAGAAATATTTTATATAGTTTTCCAAGCTTGAAAAATTCTGAACGTTTACAGGAAGATGAAAAATCCCTGGAGTCATTTATGACAACATAGATGGAATTGGAGGACATTAGGCTAAGTGAAATAAGCTAAACACATAAAGACAAATACTGAATGTTCTTACTGACGTGTGGAGTCTAAAACAATTGAACTCATAGAAACAAATAGGGAAGAGGTGTTTACCTGAGACTGGATGGTGGAGGATTGGCGAGATGATAACAAAGGGTACAAAGCCTTAGATAGGAAGAATGAGTTTGTTTTTGGTTTTTGTTGTTGTGGTTTGTTTGTTTTTTGAGATCTATTGCACAGTGTGGTGAATATAGCTAATCACTGAATACTGCATATTTCAATATAGCTAAGAGAGTAAACCACAAATGTTTTTTATCACAAAAAATGCCAAATATTTGAGGTGATGAATAGGTTAATTAGCTCTATTTAAACATTCCACATTGCATTCAAAAATCATTACATTGCTTTTTACCCCATAAATATATACAACTATAATTTGTCAATATATCATTTTTAAAAATCATTAGAATCCATTTTCTTGGTCCTTGTGGGATTGATAACAAGTTCATGTTGCACATGGAAAGTTCTGACTTACTAGGATCATGATTCCTGAGGTCAAGGTGGAGTGGGATGGTGGCTAATATGCATATCTATTTCCAAGAATCTGGCACTAGCAAGCACTATTCAGGTTGTTTGGAAGCTAGTACAGAGGACCCCTGTGGAAAATGTTAAGGCTGAGGAAGAAGAACCCAGTACCTAGGAATCCTGACTCTAAAGAAATAAGGAGACAAAAGAGACTTATCCAGAAAAGTGATCGGCAAGGTACTTGAAGAAAGCTCTAAAGCTGATTGTTAGTGGGACAGATATAGTTAGTTGTAACAATCAATTGTTTTCTGATCCACATGCAATGACCTGTTGATCCCAGTTCACCAAAGATGGAAAAAAAAAACAAAACAGTAAATCTAACTCATAGGAAAGTCATTAATAATGACAGCAATGATAGAAAATTGTCCCTTTCTTCTCCTGTCAAGTAGGATAGGGTGCTATAGCCATCAAGGCCCCAGGGTTCAGCATGACTAGGATTTGAAGACAGGGCATAACTACTGTGCTAGAGGCTTGAGGTGCAGGAAAGAATAAGGTCAGGAGGTGTCACAATGAAAACCGATAAACAGCTCTAATTGGACCGTTTTAACGGCTCCCAAGAAGATTGTGTAAGGGCCCAGCAATCTCCCATTGCAAGAGAGAATTTTAAAGTCCTGGTAATTCCAGTGGTGGTAGCTCAGAGCCAAACAGATTCCTATCACCCTCAGTTTTATTATTCATACTAAAAATAAAAACACTTCAAGCTACATCTATCTAAAATTAAATAAACAAAAAGTGATAAACTGGCTTGTTGCAGGTTCATGGGTTGCCTCTGCCAGCGAAGACATATTGTCAATTTACTCTGTAAACTTTCCACAGGCGAAGTGGCTATTTCAAAATATTTTCAGTGGGTTCTTCATAACAGAATAGCAGAAATGTGAGATTTGCAGTGACCTTTTCATATGCCTTTAAGAGATTTTTTTGAATTGATCAAGTAAACAAATGGAAAACTTGCTGTTTAATTCAATGTCACTGCTTTCACTGAGTATGATATCCACCCCCTTCTTGCTCCCTGCCCCCAGTGTAACAACAGATTTCGTTACACCCGTTTTAATAAATGGCCAGCATTTCACAATATATGTTTATATTATCTTAAACCTGTAATCCCTTAAATATTTGGAGCATAATAACTTCATGCAAGAGATAAAATAATTTTAGAGCTAATGTAGACTTTAGGAAACATACAGTTAATGCAACCATTTATAGATTTAAAAAATAGGCTAAGAGATATTATTCAACTTTCCTAAAGTGATTCAGCAGAGCCAGAAGTACATTTTAATCTTTTAATTCCAAGTCTCCTATTTTTTTTCTCCATTGCACTTTTATTTGAATGTAATATTTGGGACAATTATCCAAAAGGGCCAATAGTCCCCAGTTTAATCTGCAGTCATAATAAAACAAGCAACAAAACAGTGTTTGGGATTTCAATTTCTCACCCTTATCATCAAGACTCACTACCTCCCATCATCAATATTTATTGAGCATTTACGGTGTACTAGGCACAATAGAACATACAGAAAACATTGTCCCTGCTCTTGAGGAGCTTACATCCTAAAAGAAAAAACACACCTTTTAAAATGGCATTTTTGTCTGGTGTTTTCTGCAGAGTACTGAGGAAATATTTTGTAAAGTGAGCTTTGGGTGTAACTTAGCCCCATCATTATTTAGAGAATAGAGGGAGAGAAAGAGGAAGGATTTTAAAGGCAGACAATGACAGACAATTCAGGATAGGTAGGGTTTTAAAAGGAGATAAACACACTAAGGAGAGATTTGCTGCAGTAAATAGGATGAGGGAAGTAGTTTGTGGGATGCGAGCAAAGGAAGCAGGATGTCTTAGATATTGAGTAGAGCCAGAAAGATCATGCAGCCTTTTTCCAAGTACGTGGCCACCAAGTAGGAATGGCTGGTGACAAGACAGAACGCTAAAAAAGGAAGGTAATCTTGTGCCCTTGACACATAGAAAGAACAAGGGACCAAAATTGAAGGCAAGCTATAAGAGTATCAAGAAACTCTTAGAAACCAAAAAGTGATTTGGAAGCACAAAACATAGTTAATGCTACCCAACGTCATGATAGGCCAAGAACACTGTGGATTCCTAAGTTAGAAAATGCCATATACCAAAATTTTAAATGGAACATATTCCTTTTTTTTTTTTTCCCAATCAATCTCCCCCTCTCCCAGAAAAAATAGGAGCTCATTTTTTTCAGAGTGGGGAGGAAGAGAGGGGATCATGGGACATGGTTGGAAACAGTAGTGATATTAGTAGTATTTTTGTTGTTATGATAAACTTTGAGAGGGGATCTTGGGACATGGTTGCAAACAGCAGTGATATTAGTAGCATTTTTGTTGTTATGATAAACTTTGTGTTTAAACTTGGAAAAGACCATTAGCTGCCAAGAGGGAATAAGGAATAAATTTCAAAAAATCTACAATTTCCTTTAGAGAAGTTTCAGAACCAAAAGACTAAGTTACATGAAAAGCTGTGGAAAAAGTAGTTGAAAAGTCCATTCATAAAACTTTTATTCCAGTTGCATGAATTTAATACATGTGTTCTTAACAATTATGCTTGGATTGTTCATGAAAATTTCATAAGACATTAAACCAAGCTGGCCATCATTTCAAGTTATTTGCCTGTTAACTGTCTTTACAGCACATGCATGTTAGGCAAGTATCAAAAAACAAAAATCACAAAAGAAAAAACCTTAAAAAAAACTAAATACATGGGTTTTTATTTTACTGCTGTGTTTGATATACATGAAGTAATGAATATCAAGCAATTCATTTTTCCTGCATCTTTACTTTTTCATTTGTTCTTAGGTTGCCTAAAACATTTAAATACAAATAAAATAAATGTAGCAAAAATAATGAAAGCTAACAGCAGGTAACTTTACAAATAATGAAATGTGAACCATTTCTGCCCTTATCCAGAGTAAAATGGGTCACAACTTTGTCTAAAGGAACCCTTCTGCAGCTGTAGTCAAAGGTGTGCACAGTGAGATTAAGTATTCCACAGATATACATGGTTTAACATGCGGTATCCATGGGATATCTGTTTCTACCACAGCCTTGTAAGTGCTCCAAACCTTAACGTACCCACAATTACTACACCTGTGACTGGAACCAATGATCCCTTTTATTCCCCACCAGGACAAACCAATATGTAGACAGTTTTCTTTGCTTAGATATGGACGCAGTTTTAACACTCGCCCTTGTGAAGCCACAATGTACCGAAAGTACTATAGCAAACATTTACAACTTGTATAAAAATTCCACATCCCCATATTGGCCACCTCAAGATGAAAACAGATAACTCCCTAAATGTTAACTGGCTCTACTCCCCTAATATATATATATATATTTATATACACACATATATACATATATATGTGTATATATGTATATATGTGTGTATATATATATGTGTATATATGTGTGTATATATGTGTGTGTGCATATATATACACACACATATATATACATATATATATATATTTTGTGGGTGTGTGTTGTGTGAGACGAAGTCTCACTCTTGTCCCCCAGGCTGAGTGCAATGGCGTGATCTTGGCTCACTGCAACCTCTGCCTCCCAGGTTCAAGCGATTCTCCTGCCTCAGCCTCCTGAGTAGCTGGGATTATAGGCACCTGCCACCGTGTCCAGCTAATTTTTGTATTTTTATTAGAGAAGGGGTTTCACCATGTTGGCCAGGCTAGTCTCAAACTCCTGACCTCAGGTGATCTTCCCGCCTTGGCCTCCCAAAGTGCTTGGATTACAAGCATGAGTCACTGTGCCTGGCCACTACTCCCCTAATATTAAACATAAAAACCACATGGGAAATATAGAAATTCAAATAAAAGTAACACACATCTGCCATAAATTGTAAACAAAAAACCATTTGTGGGACACCATGGATGACAAATGGTCTACTGTGTAAATTTTAGAAAGAGGCAGACAAAAGTTGGAAGGCCGGTTAATTTTCCCCTCTTTCTCCTGCTTCAGCTTTGTCTCCTTGGGTATCCAGTGTCCACAATGTCAAGTTGTCTCTCGGTAATTGCATTATTAGCGTGCTGTCTTTGTATGACTCTTCATTTAATGTATCAAGTTCAGCAATGCCTTCATCAAAAGCCATCTTTGCAAGAGAGCAGACTTTATCTGGGGAGTTCAGAATCTCATAATAGAACAAGAGAAGTTAAGGGCCAGACCCAGTCTGACAGTATGTGTTGGTTGCATTTCCTTTTTGCTGATTTCAAAAGCTTCTTGGTATGCTTGTTGTGACTGACCCACAATCCCTTTCTTGCCATCACCAGCGGCAACCTCAGCCAAGTAACGGTAGTAATCTCCTTTCATTTTCAAATAGAAGACTTTGCTCTCTGCTTGTGAAGCATTGGAGATCAAGAACTTTTCCAAAAGAGATAGTACATCATTGGAGATATCTCTTAGCTCCATCTCAATTTTCTCTCTGTATTCTCGAGCCATCTGCTGTTTTTTCTCAACACCTTCCGTCTTTTGTTCAATACTTGAGATGACCCTCCAAGATGACCTACGGGCTCCTACAACATTTTTATAAGCAACTGAGAGAAGATTCCTCTCCTCATTGGATAATTCAGCTCCTTGCTCAGTTACAGACTTCATGCAGGCTGCCATGTTATCATATTGCTCAGCCTGCTCAGCCAGTTTGGCCTTCTGAACCAGCTCATTTTTTTCCATGACTGGATGTTCTGTGTCCAGAGTGGGTGGTGGTAGCAGATGGATAGGGGTTCAGCAGTCTCTGGACGGTGGTGGCAGCAGCGGTGAGGCTGAGACTGTGTCCCCAAGTCTTCTTTTATGGTTAATGTAAGTTTTATCTAAATAAAAAAAAAAGCAGGAATAATAACAGTAATGATTCCAAGCTTCTGATCACTCCATTTTATTTTAAATGCTTTCAGAAATTTAATTTCTTAAAGCAAATGTTTTAATCATAGGCTAAATTTCTGGTTCTTGGGTAAAATTCATTCAGATATGACTGGGGCTCTGTCAAGGTATTGAATGGTTTGAGCGGAGATTGCTTGAATTTTTTAAGACCAGCAAACAGAAAGAAAAGTAGTCAAACAATTTGGATTATTAAAAAAAAAGTTAGGCTTTGCAGATGCCAACACTGCCTGGAGCCCCCTGCCACCAGCCACAATCAACCTCACTGTGTTCTTCAACAACGCTATTGCTGGTGAGCCCTTGGGCCAAGTTTCCTTCAAGCTGTTTGCAGACAAATTTCCCAAAACAGCAGAAAATTTTCATGCTCTGAGCACTGGAGAGAAAGGATTTAGTTATAAGGGTGTCTGCTTTCCCATAATTATTCCAGGATTTATGTGTCAGTGTGGTGACTTCACATGTCAAAATGGCAGTGGTGGCAAGTCCATCTATGGGGAGAAATTTGATGATGAGAATCCTGAAACATACAGGTCCTGGCATCTTGTCCATGACAAATGTTGGACCCAACACAAACAGTTTCCAGTGTTTCATCTGCACAGCCACGACTGAGTGGTTGGATGGCAAGCATATAGTCTTTGGCAAAGTGAAGGAAGGCATGAATATCATGGAAGCCAGGGAGCACTTTGGGTCCAGGAATGGTAAGACTAGCAAGTAGATCACCATTGCTGACTGTGAACAACTCTAATAAATTGGACTTGTGTTTTATCTTCATCACCAGACCATTCTTTCTGTAGGTCAGAAGAGAACTTCTTCACCCTATTTGCTCACAGTGTCCTATAATCTTTGTGGTCTTACTGCAATCCCTTTGGGTTCCATATTTTTCTTATTCCCTTCCGTGCCTAGTGGAATAGCAGAGTTAAGTTCATGATTATAAAATAAAAACTAAATAAACATACTCGTAGTTCATTTCAGAAAGGTTTTACTTAAAAGGAAGAGTAACAATATATTTCCTTATACCATCCATTAATAGATACCTAGAAGAAGGAAAAAATCACTGGGGTCATATAATGTTTACAGATTATAGACTGTGGTAGTGAGGGTCACTCCACCAGATCACTAAATAGAACCTAAGATGGAAACAAATTAGACAAAATATCACATATGATGCGTACATATGCTTTGCCTTCTCTACATTGGCTTGGTGATTAAGTGGGGCTAGATGAGCAGCTGGTCTATTTAGATTGAAAATAGCTGCCCTACGCCCAGGGGAAGAAAAATGAAGTTCCATGTAAGGGAAGGCAGCAAAAGAACAGAAGGAAATGTTATGCCACATCTGTGTAGGTCATAACCAATGAGTCCAGTGTCATAAGAACAGTGTGATGGGGCAGAAGGATGGAGAAGCCAGAGGACAAATGGCTTCCTTTTCTGTGCAGTGGTGGCGAAGAATAGAAACCTCTTTCCTTCTCAAGATTTTTTTTCTTTCTTCTCTTTTCTTTTTTTCTCCCAATTCATTTAATCCCAAACCAAGGAAAGGATATTGCCATTAGTTGTGTAGATATAAGTCTGGAATAACTGTAACTCAAAAACAGGATGAAGCATAGCTATTATATATACTTCATTTATTCATATATGTGTTAATATAATGTAGATCTGTAAGTAAAAGCTATCATTATTTATAGGGATAGAGATATGATGACTGTTTTTAATCTGTTGAAGTTATAAGTTTAATCAGAAAATCATTCTAACAAACATGGGTTTATAATGTGAGAAACTGGTTCCAGAAAAATGACCTTAATGAATCCCAAAGTGTAATAAAAGTCATTTGCAATTTATATAAACAACAAAATAAGGGTGAGTAAGCAGCAAATCAAAAATGTTGAAGGCTTTCTAAAAGATAGAACATTGATGAATTGAATGAAAGAAAGAGGCCACAGACCAAAACACATTGAAAAAAGATAATTAAAAGGGAGGATAATTTCAGAGGTTGTTTAGTCTCAGATATGATGAAATTAGAGAAAATAAAAGGGCTCTGGGAAAATAATCAGGATGCTTAACTAAAACTTTTTTAGAGCACAAGCCTGGTGGAACCTCCGCTTATTCATGTATTTGCTGATGAAGGATTTTATCATTTGGAAGGAGAATCAGGGCAATGTATTAGGAGAAACAGATTCTTTACCCCAAATGCAAAGCATTGAGCACAACCTCTTCAGTAGCATATCCAGCCAAACTCTCAAAGATTTCAGAAACAGTCTTCTGTAGTCAGACATGGCATCTACATAAAGTAGAGCAGGGATCCTGAATGGCAAATATAACCAAACATTTGAAGAGGACCTACAACTCAAAAGAATGGCAACTTACTCCACAAATGAAAGGAATAATACACAAGGAGGCAAGACACATTTTACTTATTTTAAGATCTTCCTATAATTTGTTTTGAATATTAAATATTCTAGAGGATATTACATTCCATCCATTTAAAAAGTACCCAGAAATCACAAAAATAAAAATATAATTATAAAAATGAAAACCTAAGACTTCTAGTTTCAGCTTCAACAAGTAAAGATTGGAAGTCATCACTCCTGTTCATACCACAAGAAAAGACTAAACAAACTAAAACTCAACATTTTTTCTTGGATGCATTAGAGAACTGAGATTGGCCCAAATCTGGAAAAATAGGCAAATCCAGCGAGTCACAGCCAAGATCTGCTTACCTGAAGAAAAAGCCACTGTAGCCATAACTTGGTGGGGACATTTAACTTGTAATGTTAATTAACTGCTGGAGCTGAATATAGACTAGCTTGAAAGTGAGAAATCCTGGGGTGGAGGGATGCTATGCTGCTAGGAGGGCCCTACATTTTTGTGGGTTTTATCTTCAGGAACTATACCAGATCCTTACTGTGAAAAACTTAAGAAAGATTCTCCCCTGGCTTTATCAAGGGAGGGGAGGAGTAACCATTGTGACAAGCACACCGAGTATTCTCCAGAGCAAAGGCCTTATTCTTCGGGGGAAATGACATTACTAGTCTTATCTTATCTGGGGGAAGGGCATCTCTCCCACCCTGGCCCCCTCTGACCTTTCTGTCTCATCTAAGGGGGAAGAAAAAGACTAAGAGATCTAAGCATAGGTCACACAGCCTTGGGACACAGGCGCACTGATAAAACAGATTTAATTATATGATTATAGAATATCCCTTCTTCCTCACACTTTACCAGCATACCAACAGGGCTCCACTACAATAGTAGCTGAAAGAGCTGCAAGATGCAAATTGTGTCTGAGAATGAGTTTTTAGGAAATCCCAAAATAACACAGGAGACAAAAATAAGGATACAAGAGAAATGTAAAGCCCTTGGCACCCACAGCTACAGTAAACATAAAACACAGCAGAGCTCTTAGCCAAATTAACATAAGACCACACACTAAAGGCCTAGAAAAAATATCTAAATTTTTATTACATGACATATCATGTCCAGCTTTAACCAGAAAATTACAAGTCACGCCAAAAGACAAGAAAAACCACAAACTAAGCATCAGAACCATGATCAGATATGACATAGAACAGGAAATGTAAAGTAATTATGAATAATATGTTAAGGGATCTAATGGAAAAAATAGGTAAAAGCAAGAAAATATGGGGAAGCTATGCAAAGACATTGAAATTGTAAGAGAGTATCAATAGAAAATGCTGGAAAACAAAAACACTACAACAAAAATGGAGAATGTCTATGATATACTTATCAGTAGGTTGAACACCAAGAAAATAGTGAGCATGAAGATAGGTCAATAGAAATTTCCCAAAATAAAATACAAAGAGAAAAATAATAATAATAAAACATTATCTCAGAAATGTAGGATACTTTGTCTAACGTGACATGTGGAATTAGAATAGCAGTGGAGAAGAGAGAACAGAGCAGAAGAAATATTTCAAGTAATAGTAGAGGAGAATTTCTCAAAATTAATGACATATACCAAACCACGGATCCAGAAAGCTTACAGAACACCAGCCAGGAAAAGTTCCAAAAAAACTACAACCAGTTATATCATATTCAAACTGAAGAAAACCAAAGACAAAGAGAAAAATCTTGAAAGAAGCCAGAGAAAATTAAATACTTTACATAGAAAGGAAAAAAGATGAGAATTACAGTAGACTTCTTGTCACAAACCATGCAAGCAAGGAGAGAGTTGACTAAAATATTGGAAGAGTTCAAAGAAAAACCACCAACCTAGGATTCTATATCCTGTTAGATTGCCCTACAAATTACAGATAATTAAAGACTTTCTTAGGAAAACAACAACTGAGGGAATTCATCACCAGCAGTTCTGCCCTAGAAGAAAGGTAAAAACGGATAATGAAATGAAAATTGTATAGGCTGGAAACTTTGATTTACATAAAGAAGGAAGGAGCATCAGGAAAGAAAGAAATGAAGGCATAATTTTTTAAAATTGATAAGTAAATTAAAATATGTCTTTGTTTAAAGTAATAATGGTAACAGTGTGATGGGTGATTTTAGCATACGGATAAGTAAAATAAATGACAGCAATTTCACAAGGTATGAGAGGGAGCTACTGGGGATATTCTGTTATACAGTATGTGAACAACATGTAAAGTGGTATAGAGTTATTTGAAAGTAGACTAAGATTAGTTTAATATTATTTAATACATTGGAAAACACTAAAAACTTTTTTTTTAATGAGAATAATTGATATGCTAATGTTACAGGAAAGGGGATCCGGATCCAGACCCCAAGAGAGGGTTCTTGGATCTCATGCAAGAAAGAATTCAGGGCGAGTCCGCAGTGCAAAGTGAAAGCAAATTTATTAAGAAAGTAAAGGGATAAAAGAATGGCTACTCTGTAAACAGAGCAGCCCGAGGGCTGCTGATAGCCAAATAGCCTGTCTGCAAGCACACTAATTCTTTCTTCCGCTTTTAAAAGACTCTGATGCATTGTTCAGTATACCAGCTGCAATTTTCAGCTCCTGAATTTCTGCTCATTTCTTTGTAATTATTTCAATCTCTTTGTTGAATTTATCTGACAGAGTTCTGAATTCTTTCTCTGTGTTATCTTGAATATTTTTGAGTTTCTTCAAAATAGCTATTTTGAATTCTGTCTAAAAGATCACATACCTCTGTTTCTCCAGGACTGATTCCTGGTGCCTTATTTAGTTCATTTAGTGAGGTCATGTTTTCCTGGGTCATCTTGATACTTGTGGATGTTCGTCTGTGTCTGGGCATTGCAGGGTTAGGTATTTACTGTAGTCTTTGCAGTCAGGGCTTGTTTGTACCCTTCCTTCTTGGGAAGGCTTTCCAGATATTTGAAAGAACTTGGGTGGTGCTGTCTAAGCTATATCTGCTTTAGGGGGAATCCCAAACCTGGTAACACTGCAGTTCTTGCAGACTTGTAGAGGTACCACCTTGAAGTTCTTGGCAAAAATTGGGAATAATTCTCTGGATTACTAGGCAGAGGCTCTTGTTCTCTTCCGTTACATTCTTCAAAACAAATGAAGTCTCGCTCTGTTCTGAGCCACCTGAACCAGGGGTGGAGTGACACAAGCACCCCTGTGGCTACCAGTCCTAGAACTATGCTGGGTCTGACCTAAAGCCAGCCCAGCATTGAGTCTCAACAAAGCCCTGCTCTAACCACTTGCTGGTTACTACCTATGTTTTCTCAAAGCCCTGGGGCCTCATGATCAGCAAGTAGCTAAGTCAGCCAGGCCTGTGTCCTTTCCTTCAGGGTGGCAAGTTCCTCCAGGCCCCTGGTGAATCTAGAGGTGCTGTTCAGGAGCCAGGGATTAGAGTAAAAAACCTTACATATCTACCTGGTGTTCTATTGTACTAAGGCTGAGGTGGCACTCAAACCATAAGATGCAGTCTTTCCCACTCTTTCCTACCCTTTCTAAAGGCAGAGGAGCCTCACTGTATGGCCACCACCACCTCAAATCAATGGGAAGTACTGCCAGACTACCATCAATGTTTTCTTAAAGCTCAAGGCCTCTTAAGTCAGTTTGTGGTGAATGCTGTCTGGCCTGGGACTCACACTTTAAGGCAATGGGCTCCCTTCTGGTCCAGGGCACATCCAGAAATTCTGTCCAAGAGCCAAGTTCTAGAATCAGGGATCCCAAGAGCTCACTGGTACTCTGCCCCCGGTGGCTGAGCTGGTACCTAAAGTGCAAGACAAAGACCCTTTTATTTTTCCTTCTACTTTTCTCAGGCATAAGGAGTCTTTCATTGTAGCCACCACAGCTGGGAATGTGCTAAGTCTCACCAGACACCAGCAAATCTCAATGTCTCACCTAAGTTCCTTAATATACCTGGACATCACTGCTGTTTATTTAAGGCCCAAGGCCTCTTTAGTTAACAGGTGTTGAATTCTGCCAGGACTGAGTCCTTCCCTACAGGGAAATGGGTTTCCTTCTGGCCCAGTGTGTCTAGTAATGTTGTTTGGAAGCAAGGGCCTGGAAAGAGGGGCCTCACGACTCTGACCGGGGACCTTGCCTGCTATGGCTGAGCTGGTATCCAAAATGCAAGAAAACATTTTCTCTACTCTTTCATCTCCTCTCCTCAAGCAGAAAGAAGGGGTCTCTTTTGGAGCTACAGACTGTGCAACCTGGAATTAGAGAAGGGGTGATTCCAGCACTCCCTTGGCTGTTTCAGCTGGTGTCTTCGTAGGTCATGCCCTCCCTAGTCTATTATCTGTGGGACCAGTTCGGCACTAGGAGTCACCTAGGAGTTACAATTCTTGTGGCCTAGACTGTCTTTCAGGTTTATTTGTTACCCCAGAACTCTGTAGCCTGTGGTGCCAAGGCTTGTGGGAGCTCAAGTTCTGACCACTGGGATCTGTGATTCTGCTCTGACTAGGGCTGGTTTAAAGGCTCCCTCCTTGGGTGTCACCTGAGTTTGGTC
Organism: Homo sapiens; assembly: GCF_000001405.40. Lineage (NCBI taxonomy): Eukaryota > Metazoa > Chordata > Mammalia > Primates > Hominidae > Homo > Homo sapiens. The sequence continues at coordinate 105,679,224 of NC_000010.11, read as the reverse complement.
TTGTTTTGCTTTCTGCTCTTCTCACTACTGCACAGAAATACTCTCCACACCACACCACCACTGCTGGGGGATGCAGGAGAGGAGATGCTGGTGATTCAAAACTCTTTTCTCTATTTCTTCAGTGCCTCTTTCAGTAATATCAACTTAAAACCAGGTACTATGAGTGCTGTCCTGATTCTTGGTTCTTATGCTGGTGCTTTTTTTGTGTGTAGATAGTTGTTAAATTGGTGTCCTTATAGAGGGACAGTTGGTCGAGCCTTCTATCTGCCATCTTTCTGATTCTTTACAGAATTAGAAAAAACCATTTTAAAATTCAGATGGAACAACAACAACAAAAATAGCCAAGACAGTCCTAAGCAAAAAGAGCAAAGCTGGAGGCATCATGTTACCTGACTTGAAACTGTATCACAAGGCTACAGTAACCCAAACAGCATGGTACTGGTACAAAAACAGATATATAGACAAATGGAACAGGCAAGAGAGCCCATAAATAATGCTGCACACTTACAACCACCTGGTCTTTGACAAACCTGACAAAAACAAGCGATGGGGAAAGGATTCCCTATTAAATAAATGCTGCTGTGTTAACAGACTAGCCATTGGCAGAAGACTAAAATTGGACTCCTTTCTTAGACCATGTACAAAAATCAACTCAAGAGAGATTGCAGACTTAAATGCAAAACCTAAAACTATAAAAACCCTGGAAGATAACCTAGGGAATACCATTCTGGACATAGGCCCTGGCAAAGATTTCATGAAGAAGACACCAAAAGAATTTGCAACAGTACCAAAAGTTGACAAATGGGACCTAATTAAACCAAAGAGGTTCTGCACAGCAAAAGAAACTATCAACAGAGTAAACAGACAGCCTACAGAATGGGAGAAAACATTTGCAAACTGTGCATCCAACAAAGGTCTAATATCCAGAATTTATAAGGAACTTAAACAAATTAACAACCAAAACCTATCAGGGAACCTGCCCTGATAGTCACGTAGGTTCTTTTCTATTTTCCCTAAGCATCGGCCGCTTTGAGAAATAAAGGGACAGAGTACAAAAGAGAGAAATTTTAAAGCTGGGCATCCGGGGGAGACATCACGTGTCAGTAGGTTTTTTCCATGATGCCCCACAAGCCACAAAACCAGCAAGTTTTTATTAGGGACTTTCAGAAGGGGAGGGAGTGTGCGAATAGGTGTGGGTCACAGAGATCACGTACTTCACAAGGTAATAGAATATCACAAGGCAAATGGAAGCAGGGCGAGATCACAGGACCACAGGACTGGGGCGAAATTAGAATTTCTAATGAGGTTTCAGGCACCATTGTCATTGATAACATCTTATCAGGAGACAGGGTTTTGAGAGCAACCGGTCTGACCAAAATTTATTAGGTGGGAATTTCCTCTTCCTAATAAGCCTGGGAGCACTGTGGGAGACTGGGGTTTATTTCATCCCTACAGTCTCGACCATAGAAGACGGCCACACCCAAGGGGGCCATTTCAGAGACCCTCCCCCCAGGCACGTATTCTCTTTCCCAGGGATGTTCCTTGCTGAGAAAAAGAATTCAGCAATATTTCTCCCATTTGCTTTTGAAAGAAGAGAAATATGGCTCTGTTCCGCCCAGCTCACCAGCCGTCAGAGTTTAAGGTTATCTCCCTTATTCCCTAAACAATTGCTATTATCCTGTTCTTTTTTCAAGGTGCCCAGATTTCATATTGTTTAAACACACATGCTCTACAATTTGTGCAGTTAAGACAATTATCACATGAGTCCTGAGGTGACATACATCCTCCTCAGCTAACAGGATTAAGAGATTAAAGTAAAGACAGGCATAGGAAATCACAAGGGTATTGATTGGGGAAGTGATAAGTGTCCATGAAATCTTCACAATTTATGTTTAGAGACTGCAGTAAAGACAGGCATAAGAAATTATAAAAGTATTAATTTGGGGAACTAATAAATGTCCATGAAATCTTCACAATCCACATTCTTCTGCCATGGCTTCAGCCGGTCCCTCCGTTTGGGGTCCTTGACTTCCTGCAACAAAAACCAAACAACCCAATTACAAAGTGGGCAAAGGACATGAACAGACACTTTTCAAAAGAAGATATATATGTGGCCAATAAGCATATGAAAAAATGCTCATCTTCACTAATCATTAGAGCAATGCAAATCAACACCACTATGAGATACCATCACACCAGTCAGAGTGGCTATTTTTAAAAAGTCAAAAAATAACAAATCATGGCAAGGTTGTGGGGAAAAGGAAAGCTTATACGCTGCTGTATAGTGTAAATTAGTTATATGGGAATGTAAATTAGTTCAGTCATTGTTTGGTGATTTCTCAAAGAACTTAAAACTGAATTACTATTTGACCTAGCAATCCCATTATTGGATATATACCCAAAGGAATATAAATTGTTATACCATAAAGACTCATGGAATCATGTTCATTGCAGCACTATTCACAATAGCAAAGACATGGAATCAACCTTAATATCCATCAGAAGTAGAATGGATAAAGAAAATGTGGCACATATACAGAGTGGAAAACTATGCAGTCATAAAAATGAATAAGATTATGTCCTTTGCAGCAACATGAGTGGAGCTGGAGGCCATTATCCTAAGCAAACTAACAGGAACAGAAAACCAAATACCTCGTGTTCTCACTTATAAGTAGGAACTAAATATTGAGTACACATGGAAACAAAAAGGGAACAACAGACAATAGGGCCTACCTGAGGTTGGAGGGTAGGAGGAGGGTGAGGATAGAAAAACTACCTATGCTGATTAAACCGATGATAAAATCATCTGCACATCAAAGCCCTGTGACATGCAATTTACATGCATAACAAACCTGTACCTGTACTCCTGAATCGAAAATAAAAGGAAGAAAGAAAGAAAGAGAAAAAGAAAGAAAGAAAGAGAAAAAAGAAAGAACCGTCTTCCAATTTTACAGCTTACATTATATTCAGTGGTATAAAACTAAATCCTTTTCTCCTAAGATCAGGAATATGGCATGTAAATTCTTTCTTAGCACTTCTGTTCATGATCATAATGGACCTCTACCCTGTGGAATAAGAGAAGAAAAGGAAATATATATAGTTTGTGAAGGAAGAAACAAAACTGTCTTTGTTCACAGATGACATGATTGTTTGTATATAATATCCCAATGAATCAACAACAACAAAAAACTCCCACAACTAATAGGCTAGTATTGAAAAGTTGAAGAATGTAAGGTTAATATTCAAGTCAATTGTCTCCTTTTTATCAGCAATGTATAATTGGATTTTGAAATTTTGGAAAAAGCAACACAATTATAGTTGTAGGGGTCAAGGGGAAACTATCCCTTTGCCCTCTGAAGGTTCACTGAAAATCAACTGGCCAAAGGCAAATTAATGGGAAAAAAAAGACATACAAAATGTATTTACATGCATCTATAAGCACTGGAGCCATACAAAATATAAAAACTCAAAGGAAGAGCCAGATAGTTGATGCTTTTGTACCATCTTGAGGTTACAGAAAGAATGGGAGCTTGGAACATGGCAAGATATGTTAACAGAGGGAGAGAAGAGGAAAGGGATGGCTTGCAAAGGTGGTCTTGTTATGTACCTGCTGCACAGGTAGCAGCTCTCAGAAAGAATAGATTATAGCCTGTGGTTGAGTTAATCTTTCTTAGATGCAGACAATGGGGGAGGGGCTCAGAGAAAGCCTGGCTGTTTATTTCACTAATGCAGATTTTCTCTACAGATGCAAATCTCCTCCACAAAAGGCAACTTTGCAGGGCTATTCCTGTCTGCAGGCTCTCTGAATAGCCATCTCAAAATATGTCGGAGAAATATATTTTGGGGTAGACAATTTTTGGTTTACTCTACAATCAAACTGAAAATAGAGTAAAATATCTAGGTATAATTTTTTGTAAGTTTAGAATCTATATGTGAATAACTGTAAAACTCTAATGAAATAAACAAAAGACCTAAATAAGTGAAGAGACATACTGTTTTTATACATTGGAAGATCCAATAGTGTTAATACATCAGTTCTTCCCAACTCGGTCTATAGATTTTACACAATCCCAACCAAAATGGTAGCTAGCTGTTTTGTAGGTATCAATAAACTGATTGCTATGTTTATCTGGAAAGGTAAAAGACCTGTAATAGTCAACGTAATAGTGAAGAAAAACATAATTAGACTCATACTACCAGATGTCAAGATATATTTTAAGGCAATAGTAACCAAGATGTAAGAGGCATTTGAACCAGAGCAACTCCGTCTTGAATAGCGGCTGAGTAAAATGAGGCTAAAACCTACTGGACTGCATTCCCAAATGGTTAATGCATTCTAACTCACAGGATGAAATAGGAGGTTGGCACAAGATACACGTCATAAAGACCTTGCTGATAAAATAGTTTGCAGTAAAGAAGTCGGCCAAAATCCAAAACCAAGATGGTGATGAGAGTGACCTCTGGTCGTCCTCACTGTTACACTCCTACCAGCACTATGACAGTTTACAAATGCCATGGCAACATCAGGAAGTTACCCTAGATGGTCTAAAAAGGAGAAGCATGAATAATCCACCGCTTGTTTAGCATATCGTAAAAAATAACCACAAAAATGGGAAACCAGCAGCCCTTGGGGCTGCTCTGTCTATGGAGTAGCCGTTCTGTATTTCTTTACTTTCCTAATAAACTTACTATCATTTTACTCTATGGACTTGTCCTGAATTCTTTCTTGCTTGAGATCCAAGAACTCTCCCTTGGGGTCTGGATTGGGACCCCTTTCCAGTAACAAACACAGTGTGGTACTTGTGAGATTAGTTACATAGATCAATGGATCAGAATAGAGAGCCCAGACATTGACCCACACAAACATAGTCAACTGATCTTTGACAAGGAGCAAAGACAATTCAATGAAGAAAATATAGTCTTTTTAACAAATAGTTTTCGGACAACTGGATATCTACGTTATAAAACAAAACAAAACAAAACAACCTACAAGCTTTACCCACATCTCTTACAGAAAACAGCATAAGTTGTATCATGGACCAAAACGTAAAATATAAAATAAGAAAACGTTCAGTAAAACATAGAAGAAAATTTGGGTAACCTCAGGTTTGACAATCATTTTTTAAATTATTAAATTAAATTTAACCTAAAGCTGCCTCCTTACATATTTTAAGTTTGGCCTGAAGTTTTCTCTGCGCACAGTGAATTGTAACCTAACTGGATGGGTAAACACAGTGTAACATACTCTTGTACCAATCACCAAGTTTCTGCCAATCAAAGGCAGCAAACTGCTCAAACCAAGTTCAAATAAGGCAAATGCCAAGCTGTAAGCAATCAGCTATTTCTGCACCTAACTTTTTCTTTCTGTACATGACTTTCTTTTTCTGTCCATAAATCCTCTCCAACCATGTGGCAGTGCTGGGGTCTCTCTGAGTCTATTCTGGCTCAGGGGGCTGTTTGATTCATGAATTAAACTCTGTTAAATTGCTCAATTAAACTCTGTTATTGAATTTGTCCAACGTTTTTCTTTTAACAGATGGTGTCAGAATTGGAACATGAAGTAGAACTTCCAGTAACCCCTAGGAGCATCAAGTGACCCAGAGAGGTAACCCCCTCCACCAGGGTCCATTGCATCCATTGCTCTCTCACAGCAACTGAGGCTCATGGGTAAGTTCCCTCTCAGATTCTGAAGCTTCACAGATTTGTGTTTTGTGCTATCTGAGTTTGTTTTAGCAAATTTTTTATGTGAACTGTGTTCGGAAGTCACAACAGAAACTAGACTGGGTCGAGGATCAAATTAAATCCAATAATTAATTGGATTAGATCGAGCTAGAGGCTTTAGATGTATGACTGACTCAGAAACTGGCAGTAAAATGGATAATCATACAGAGGATGTAAATTTTGGCTTTAGGAAATTCACAAGGATTTTTGTGTTCTATCCCCTTTGTTTCTTCTTGCATGTTTAGGTAGGGAAAAATCATTGGCTAAATTGATCAAGGGGAGCTCAGAGTCAAAGCCAAGATCTTGCATAAAAATGGAAACCTTGGCCAGGGGCAGTGGCTCACGCCTGTAATCCCATCCCAGCACTTTGGGAAGCCGAGGCGGGTGGATCACGAGGTCAGGAGTCCGAGACCAGCCTGGCCAATGTAGCGAAACCCTGTGTCTACTAAAAATACAAAAAATTAGGCCGGGCGTGATGGCTCACTCCCGTAATCCCAGCACGTTGGGAGGCCAAGGTGGGCGGATCATGAGGTCAGGAGATCGAGACCATCCTGGCTAACGCGATGAAACCCTGTCTCTACTAAAAATACAAAAAAATTAGCCGGGCGTGGTGGTGGGCGCCTGTAGTCCCAGCTACTCAGGAGGCTGAGGCAGGAGAATGGTGTGAACCCAGGAGGTGGAGCTTGCAGTGAGTCCAGATCGCGCCACTACACTCTAGCCTAGGTGACAAAGTGAGACTCCGTCTCAAAAAAAAAAAAAAAAAAAAATTAGCTGGGCGTGGTGGTGCATGCCCGTAATCCCAGCTACTCAAGAGGCTGAGGCAGGAGAATCATTAGAACCCGGGAGGCGGAGGTTGCAGTGAGCTGAGATTGTGTCATTGGACTCCAGCTTGGGTGACAGTGTGAGATTCTGTCTCAAAAAAAAAAAAAAAAAAAAGGGCACTTAATTTCTGAAGAAGTGAGTACCCCACCTTCCAGCTATGCCTGTCTTTACATGTACAAGTATTAGGCCCTGAAGCAACAAACTGTAACAGAAATGGCAAAATATTAATAAAGATAATTTAAAATTTCAGTGGAATGTTCCAAATGAACAACATTGAATTTTAAAAAGTGCATTTAAAAATGAGGGCTCCCAAATTAGGCTAACCAAGGAATTCCTATTAATATGCAGAAACTTCTATAAAGATTTCAATATTTTTATTGATTTTTTTAAAAGACATTATTTAAAAAAAATGTTTTTTCTGGGGATTGGGTCTTGCTATGTTACCCAGGATGGTCTTGAACTCCTGGCCTGAAGTGATCCCCCTGACTTGGCCTCCCAAATGGCTGGGATTATAGCATGAGCCATTACACCCAGCCAATTTCTTTGTTATATATATATATGTGTTATATATATATATATAACACACACATATATATATATATATATATATATATATATATATATATATATATACATGGCAAATAAAAAGCTTAAGCAGCCAAGTGATAAGAATAATTAAATGTGCTAACTTTTTGGCTTGGTTACTACCCTCCTTAAAGGTTAAAAGAAAGCTATGCTGGATAAAGTATGTGTAAAAGGTAGGCCCTCAGCTAACGTAGACTTGCTTCTTTTTCAAAGCTATCCATGCTGAATCCTGGCATAGGGAATGCTTTTTCATCCTATTCCTTAATGGGATCTACCCTGAACTTAGTATTTTAGCTAAGAAATAGTAGCTAAGTTAAAAAAGACCACCTATTTAATGAAATCAGTCTTCCAAATACATATTCATGGAATTTAGCTGGCTACTTTGAAAACCATTTGTAAAAAATAAAATTTTTTAATCACCGTTTTAAGAGTGTCTGCCTTTGTACACCACAAAGAGAGGGAGAACTGAATCATTAGAACCTTTTACAATTAGTTTAAATTTATGTCATAAGACTTACCTTTGCTTAAGGTGCTCTTCCTGTCCATCTTGTCTTAATTGCACTTTTACCTACAACTTTTTTCCTTTGTTTGAGCAAATCATTGTACAGTATTTGGCCTGAAATCTCTGCTGTGTGCTTTTGAGATATAAATTTTCTATCTTGTTTCACCAAAGACTCATCCCTTTAGAAATGCGAATTTAGAGTTGCCCAGCTAACAATTGCTTAGGGCAATGAAACAGTAAATTAGAAGGGTGATACTTTAAATGGAGAGAAGAAAATCTATTTGAATGTCAGTAAAGGAGAATTGTCTATGAAATCAATAAGATCTGCTTCTGTCTGTATGTTTATAGCTTTATACGATTATGTGTATGTGATAATATTTGGTAAGTAAAGCCAGTTTTAAACTTGTTCTCAAAATAAAATAGGAATGTCTTTGGAATTGCCAGTTACATATAATTCAGACATTTTTGCCTGGGTCTATGGGTGAGAGAGTATTATGCTGTCTCTCATACATGTTTTAAGGTAATAAAACTGCTGCTCAGTAATATTTTTGATACTTCCTTGATTTGTCTGTGAGGTTATGTTTTTGGTTTTGGGGCCTCTGGATTCTAGGGTCTGAATAAATGGCCATGGTGAGGACTGGGTTTATGTCCTCAGCACTTGGACCACCAGCTGCAAGGCAGAAGAAAGCACAATATGATTCCATCCTCCTTGTCTCACCTTTGCTTCCTAGCCAGGCTGACAGCAATTAGATCCTCCAGGCATTATCTTCATAGCTCTGTTCTCTGTCCTGAACTCTACACCTGGTATGTCAATTCAGGACCCAAATGTATCATATCCTTCATAGCCATCCTTGGGTACCGCATGAGTATTTGGGACCCAGGACAACAGGGGAAGACATTAGGGAGGGTACCTCTGTCATAGGATCAAAATTCTTTTCAGTAATATAATATCTTAAAGTCATGTTATATTAAAATAAGAGATAATCATAGAATGGCTGAGTCATCTCTAAGTAAGTTAAAACACTGAAATATTAATTATTAAATATAAGTTTAAGTTTATATAATTTGGCATCTTATTTTCATATGGCATAGAAAAAATATATTTAGATTTGTTTACAAGTTGAGAAAACATCTTTCTACAAAAATTATGAAATGGTTTTTATCTACAAATATTGATATAAAATAGTTTGAAAATTATTTATTTCCTAGGTTTTCATTAGAAAGTGGGGTTAATAAGAGTTAAAACTGTGGTTATGTAATTAAAATGACTAGATATAAAAGAAACAGTTCTATATATAGACTGTATAAAGAAAAACAAAATATGTTTTTGATGAGATGAAACATAAAGGCATGAAAATTTGTGTTTAGTGAGAAAAAAATAACTTTGTGTTGTTTAAAAGTTAAAGATTGTTTCAAGTTGAAGGAAGAAAGATATAGATAAAACTAAATACAGAAAGTTGTGAAAAGAAGGAAAAAAATTTGTAAAAGATTCTAAAAGCTTTATGAAAATCTTGTGTAGTCAAAAGCTGACTGATATTGGATATACTCATAAGGTTTATTAAAATTTATTTTAGTATTGATAATACACTAATACAAAGGTAAAATTTGGTTTCCTCTTTTAAATAATAATTTTATGTAATATAATAAGAAACAGTAAAAATAATTTTACTCACCTTTTGAGTAAACTCCAAAAAATAACAGGGAAAAGGAGAGATGGATATATATATATATAAAACACATATATAGGTGTGTGTGTGTGTGTGTGTGTGTGTGTGTGTGTGTGTGGTGACTGTTCTAAATTGCTAACATGGTTTATGACCAATGTTTGGTTTATCAAACCCATATTCCTGGGAAGTCTCAATCAAAACTTCAGGTACATTTTTGCTACCTGATAGGCCATTTGAACACTTATAGAGGAGTTTCACTCAACTGTCATTTCCAGTGCATGTTTTATGGTTGTATAGAAGCTTTCTCAAGCAAGAGGGCTGTTGTTATAACAGTAGCTAAAAGGTTATACAGAAATGTGTTTTCCTCATAGGACATTCCTGGATAAATCTCCAATGATAGAGGTACTTGTTTCACTGGACAAGTTGTAAAATTGTTGAATAAGATATTACAGATACAATAGCATTAGGAAAAGCAAACTGAATTGCCTGGATTGCCTTGGTCAAAGGTGTTGCATATTGATGACAATCAGATCCATTTAGAGTGGAAACATAAGTTGGCCCCTTATAAAATAGTCACTGGAAGGCCTATGCATATGTTAATAGAACCTTATGTATCTTCTGCTACTAAACTCTGACATGACTGTATTCTGCAAGGCTCTAATGAATTATGTCAAAGTGTATTTTCACCAGATAATGAAAGCTTTTTATGATCCACTGACCAAGGGCAATCAAAGCCTTCACAACCTAGAACCCAGAGATTGGGTTTTCTAAGAATGACATCAAAGAAAGACTTCCCTTATCATCACACTGCAGCAAAACTTCAGGACCTTGAAACCTGAGTTCATAATCTTGCAGTACCCATTCTATGAATTTAGCATTTTCTAGAAAACCTTTTATTGTTATTTTAATATTATTATTATTATTATATTATTATTATTTAATAATATTAATATTAATATTATTTCAGTATGCCCACCACATTCTTCATCAAATAAATTTACTCAGTCTGGCTGAGCACAGTGGCTCACGCCTGTAATCCCAGCACTTTGGGAGGTTGAGGCAGGTGGATCACCTGAGGTCGCAAGTTAGAGACCAGCCTGACCAATATGGTGAAACCCTGTCTCTACTAAAAACACACAAAATTAGCCAGGCATGGTGGCAGGTGCCTGTAATCCCAGCTACTCAAAAGGCTTAGGCAGGAGAATTGCTTGAACCCAGGAGGTGGAGGTTTCAGTGAGCTGAGATTGCACCATTGCACTCCAGCCTGGGCAACAAGAGCGAAACTTTGTCTCAAAAACAAAAAAGATTTACTCAACCTCATACCCATTAATGGAAGCTACTCTACCAGAGCATTCTATCACTACTTTCCAATCTGGACTGTTTTCTCTGTAGGCTTGCTCCACAGTTTTTAATTTTAGACATAATTGTAAATTTAATTATAATTAAAATTTCTGCAAATATGTTCTTGTTTTTTGATTTTCTGCAAATATGTTCTTGTCTTTTGATTACTTTTTATTGCATTTTCTGCAAATATGTTCTTGTTTTTTGATTATTTTTATTGCATTTTCTGAAAATATGTTCTTGTTTTTTGATTATTTCTTTTTCATAACATTTGTTTTTGTTTTATAGATGTAATTTTTAAAATATTTCTGAGTTTATTCATTAATATACCCTCCCCTAATTTCTTTTATGATGTCTAAGTTATCTCTATTTCCTCTGGTGCCAATTTTCAATTTTTTAATTTTGGCCATTCTATCTCATTCTGCTGCTTTACTCATATGTCTGGTAATACCAACTATTAAAAAAACTATCATTAATAAAAGTCCACTACTTTTGTGTTAAAACTAATTTCCATTTGGAATTCTCACCTGGAGTTCTGTGTGAAGTAAGCAAATATGAGACTTTGCTTTAGGTGGATCAGTAAGAGAACTAGGAAGCCATCTGTCAGGCTTCAGGTTCACTCAAATTCAAGAGTGAAGGTTTCACCAGGGACCTGGCAATTTGTTCACTTTCACTGAGAAAGTGTCAACTGTTTTTGCTGGAGGTAAATGCCTGCTGCCTGATTTTTGTCTGCATTACAGATGGGGGAAACAAGTGAAAAAGTTGCTGTTTTACGGACCTTAGATTAATCCCTTTATCTTCAGTTTCTTTTTCTCATCCGTCTTAAACCTTTTATTTTTAATTGCATTTATCCAATATAGATCTACAAAAACACACGATTTTATTTCAGATGTTTATTTTGTTCTGTTTGTTTGGATTTGGCTTATTTTATATAAAGGATATAATCTTTACATATTAATCTGCATGTTTCTTCTTTTTACTGAACACTTGGAGTGAAACAGCTTCTACTTAGATGTCTATCCATATCAGGATATAAACCTACCTCATTTTACTTAACTGCTCTTTATTCCAATATTCTGTTGTTTATCTTATAATTTTCCTGTTGATAAATATTAAGTTGCTTCTGAATTTTAGGCTGCTGTGAGCATCTTTATGCATGCTACCTTGTGCACATGCGTGATTTATTTCTCCTGGATACAGATACCTGAAAGTGATTGTTAGAATAAAGAGTTTGCTCATTTCAAATGTATTAGCTTATGACATATTGATTTCCAAATGGTTGTACACATTTATCAGTGTAGTATGAGGTAGTATTTTCCTATAGTTTTGCCAACATTTGATATTAAACTAATTAATATTTGCCAAATGATGAGTGAAATCTTATATTGGTATAATTTCCTTTTCTTTTATTATAAAATTAGTCATGTTTCATGTTTATTGTCCAATTGGGTTTGCAGTTTTGCGAATTGCCCCATTTGGTATTAGATTTCTCTGTGTTTTTGTTTTGCTTTTTGTCTTATTGGCTTGTAGAATTATTGTACGAATTTTGTAACTTAATCCTTTTTATATTATATGTATGGTAAATAATTTTACCCAATATGACAGTTGCCTTTTGTTTCTGAAATGATACATTGGATCATTCTCCCATTTGGACCTTTAAACATATATATTCATATGTTGTAGAGAATAAGGCATTATAAAATTATTTTGACTATGAAAGTAAGACAAAAGTAGGAAGTATCTAAAATATATATCAACCAATATAGGGAAAAAGGGGCCAAAAGACACACACACACACAAACACACACACATAGGTCATTGTAAAATGCCTCTGACAATCTCAAAGGGAAAACAAAAACTGTGACAAGGTCCTGGAGCAGGTGGCAAAGTTAATAGACTCAGGTTTGCCAAGGAGAACAGAAGCCTTCTATTCTTCTGAAAAGAAGGAAAGATAAGAAGACTGACTTGGAATCAGAGTTAGACAGGGGAATAGAAGATGATAAAGTAGTGAAGCTTATATGTAGCATTACCAGATTTAACAAATAAAAATATAAGATATCTAGTTAAATTTGTATTCCATCCAGTAAGATTTGTATCATGAAATACCCAGTTAAATTAGTAATTTTTTTAGTGAAACTATATCTCAAACAATATTGGGATATACCTATATACAAAAAAGTATTCATTGCTTAAATTCAAATGTAACTGGACATCCTGCATGTTATCTGGCAATCCTACTCATGCTGTGGCCCTATTATTGATCTAAGAGCAAGATCATCTATGAAGACTTTAGTCTGAGAAGTATTTATCTACCGGATATCTTAATGACTAGTAATGACTCACAGACTTCCCAACATATTATATTAAAAAACAAACTCCTAGGCTATGCACAGTGGCTCACACCTGCAATTCCAGCACTTTGGGAGCCTGAGGTGGGAGGATTGCTTGAGGTTCGGAGTTTGAGAGCAACCTGGGCAACAAAGCAAGACCCCATCTTTATCAAAAATAAAAAAAAAATGACACCTTGAATCACTCAAGCCAGAAGCCCTTCCTTGATGTCTTCATCTACCTTACTGACAATATGTAATTCATCAGCAAGCACTGACAAATCTGCCTTCAAGATATACCTGAAACCCTATACATTTCTTTCCATACCTACTTCACCATCTGTATTGAGGACACCTAATCCCAGGACTGGATTAATCCAGTTGACCAAAGTGAACTTCACACCTTCCCTCACCACACATCCAGAGTGGACCATTTTTCCCCCAGCTTATAAACCTTTAGTTGGTTCCCTGTAAATCCATACAAAATCAAACTACTTATCACAGCCTACAAGACTGAATATGAGCCAGCTCCTGCCCTTCTCTCCACTGTTACCTTGTGCTGTCCACCCACCCACCCCAGCTCACTTGGTTTCTGCACCTGTTATCTTTAATCTTAGTTCAGCTTCTTTCCTTCCTTGTTAACCCATTTGCATACACTGCATTCCTTGTTTTCTTTAGGTTTTAGCTGAATATTACCACTGCAGGACACCCTTCTTCCTGACCTTATTCAATGTTGGCCTAGCAGGCTGGGCACAGATTTTACTTCCTCCACAGATACCAACCTTGAGAAAAAAACATGAGTGACTTTGAAGGATGTAATTCTGAACCCCACAAAAATGAATGACATGAGCACATTCTGGTCTCAATTCTCTCTGATTTTATTTTCCCTGTGGAGTTTCTGCTCCAAGCAAACTAGGTTATTCGCTTCCCCAGACCATTCCACATGCACATATTTGCAAACATCCTTTCCCTTATTAGATTGCCCCCTCCACCCTCTCGTTTGTCAGGATAACATTTTTTTCCTCACATTCAACTGAAGTTCTGCTCCCTCCATGAAATCCTGGGGCATTCCTCCTGCCTTCTTTAATTTTTACCTCCCTTGAACTACTATCATTCTGAGTATTGTATTCTGAGGCAGAGAATGCATGGAGCCTGACATTCTTGGTTTCAGTCCCACCACTGCCACTTACAAACTTTGTTTTTTAACTTCTCAGAGCTTTAGGTTCCTCAACTATGAAATATTGATGACAAGATGATGCTTACAGATTTGGAGGAAATAAAACAGATATAATAGCAGAGTTCCTGGCACACAGCAGACAATTTACATTAGTTTCTGTTTTCTTTTTCCTTCCTTCTGTTTGATATGTAGAATATGCCACCATAAGATCTGATGAGTTAATATAGATTGACAAGAGCATACTGATAAGGAAGAAAATTAATAGAGTCCCAGGACTGGCAGAAATCTTGGAGGTCATTGAACCCTTGGTTAGCACTCTCCTTAGGTCATTCCAGACTACTTCAGAAGAACAGCTATTCTCTTCTAAAATGCCCCTGTCAAGATTATATTATGAACTAATCTCCAAGAGGCTCCTAAAGGAATTAGATACTGAAATTTATTCTTGTCTCATCATAGGAACCACTGGAAGATGGTCATCCTTTTCCTTCTTATTCGTGCTACACATGCATCATCTAATTCTGTCTCAAATATGGAAGATTCTGATAAACTAAAAATATTGTTTTTGAAGTGTTTACTCTTTAAGACAGATACCTTTAAGATACTGATACTGATATCTTTAATATAGATATCAGTTATAGCTAATTGGGGTCATTACACTTGCTTCCAAATTACATTTACTTTAGTCTAAAGTTAACAGTTTTAACTTCTAAATGTTTTGCTTTCAATGTCTAAAAAATTATTTTAAATATATTTTAACTTGAAAAAGTCGCTTATCCCTTTCTCCTTGGATCATAACAAGAAAGAATTTTCAATGAAGGGAAAGAAGAGATAATTTTGTGGATTTTTTTTTCTTTTTAAAGTATCTGTATTCTGAAAATGAAAAACACAAATTTTAATTCTGAAGGAGAAAAAAAATCACAATGTAGATTGTATATAAAGTTATTACATGTGCAATGACTACAAAACATCATACTACAGTTTAATTGGCATGAGGTATTCATTTCTCACCATTGTCTTCGTTAATGGCAAAATGAAATCTAGTCAGACAATTTACCTTAGTGGGGGATACCTTAGTGCACTCTTCAGTCATTGAAAGTCTCTGGAACCTGAGCATCTTTTCCTTCCGGTCTCTCTAATGGTCCCTACCTGGATGCAGTACAAGATGCTGAGCTTCCTCTTTGCATATCAGATTCTGCTTAACATCAATTGTAAGGTGAACAGATTGGCTGATAGAACAATGTTGTCCTTCTCATTTCCTTTTCCAAGGTTTCTTCATTGGCTGGAGAGAAACAGAAATGGAACTTCTTTCAGGTTCTGTTTGGAGGATAATATGGCTTTGAGAAGCCAGATTAGGAAGCTTGAAAAAGGAAACTCCATTTTCCAAGTGGATTTGGTTCTAATCAGTCTGTTTCTGCAGAGAAATCCTGAAGTGGAGGGAAGGGGATGACTTGATCAGCTAGGTTGGGCCTATCAAAGAGTTGGATTTATTTGTATTTATTTTACATTTGTGCCAGCAGTGGAACCTCTTGAGGAAAGTACACTGTACATACATACTAAATATCAGTTACATCGGGTTCCCACATTCACGTTCCTCATAAAACATGATTGGAGCACAATAAATATGGAAATATGAAATGCATTAAATTAAAATGTTATTAGTTGAAGCAGTTGTAAGAATTTCTTATGCATAAACATAAAGCCATGGCTCCCATGAGAGCATCAGGCAGGATGTTTCCGGCAGTTTTCCCCATGGAGACCTGGAAAGCATTGGGCATTATAAAAATCCTTGCTCATTTAAAATAGATTTATATCAGCCACTGAAAAGTTCGAAACTATCGTCACTTTGTATGTCTTATACGATAGACTTTGTTTCCGGGTGAAAAAAATCTACAAATGCCAAAATAAATGTTGGGCTCTCATTTTGTTTTGGAATTAACCAACACTAATGCTAGAGAGAGTGATTTTCTAGTTTTTATCATCTATATATAATATATAAAAGAATAATGATTAATTCATTTTAAATTTATCTCTTCAATAAGTAGCTTGCAATGTGACTTTAGGCAAGTCTTATATATTTTCTAATGTCTCTCTTTCTCCAATAATTTAGGACTGGAGTGGAGTCGGTAGGAAGGAACAGTCTTTGAAGTTAGATGCGCCAGGTTGTAACCCCACTTCCACCAATTGGTAGGTCTGTTACTTTATGCTGTTTACCTAACTTCTTTAGACCTCTTTCTTTTAAGTTTTAGATAAGAGGGTAAGTGAGTAGAGTAGGATGATAACCGGTGCCTAATAAGTATTAAGGAGATAATAAATATTAACATAAAGCATCAGGTTGAGTAGCTATTATTGTAACATTTATATGTGTCATATACCTTGGCAGACATATTATAGGAATATGGATTCCAAGACATCAACTAAGTGCAATTGTATATCAAGCACCTACCAAAAGAAAAACACTCTATGCAACTTTTTTTTTTGAGACAGAGTTTCACTCTTGTTACCCAGGCTGGAGTACAGTGGCGTGATCTCGGCTCAACGCTACCTCCACCTCCCAGGTTCAAGAGGTTCTCCTGCCTGAACCTCCCGAGTAGCTGGGATTACAGGTGCGTGCCACCACGCCTGGTTAATTTTTTGTATTTTTAGTAGGGGGTTTCTCCATGTTGGTCAGGCTGGTCTTGAACTCTCGACCACAGGTGATCCACCTGCCTCAGCCTCCCAAAGTGCTGGGTTTATAGGCATAAGCCACTGCGCCCAGCCTCTACGACACTTTGTAAAACCATAAAAGATGTATGGGATAACGTACTGCACTTTAGGACTCTTTAAAAAAGGAGGAAACAAGTCTAATCCTCTCAAGAACACTGCAGACAAATAAATATTGCTGGCATCACATCTTCAGTATCTAGCAAAGAGCACTAGATCTCTGGATAGAGGCAGTCAAGCATGACTTCACAAAAATGATGACACTTGAGGGAGGGAAAGATAGAAAGAAACCATTCAGACAGGATGAAGAGCATAAACTAAAGCATTGAGTCAAAAAGTATATAGCAGCACATTTGGGGTCTGGGGAAGTAGAATCTCAGCTAAAGAAGAGGCTTTATTTATGCCCTAGTAGGAAGAAAGCAAGACAGCTAGGCTTGGGCTTGTAGCCATATAAATTCCAGAGCTACAGCAGTCCCTAAACTAAAGAAACAGAGTCTGGAGTCACCATAAATCATGGTTATTAGTTTTTTCAATGTAGTGAAGATTCTAGCAAATACCACCCAAGGTGGTGGTTAGAGAAGGGAAGATATCTGGGAGGGAACTGGGAGAACAGGATGAGAGGGATGCCAGGAGCCAGGCCTGCGGGTCTATCTTTAATTATTCCATTTCATTTCCAAAGAGGAGCATCCACAAGGCATTCATTGACAAACCCTTGTCTTTGTAGACATATGTTATGGGTTCAATGATTAGATTAAATTATTTAACAGGCAAGCTAGGTTTCTTCTTGCAGGAAACATTGTTCCTTTCTTTTCTATTCTTTTCTTATTTTCCCCTTTACGAAGATTTACCCTTTTCTCTGCTGGACACCATTAAACTTCTTGTTCTCTTCCCGGAGAGCTTGAGAAAATGTGCTTTTCAAAAGCCCATAAGAGCAAATTGGTGAAATGGCACTGAAAGTGAACGTGTTACACAACTAATAAGCCCTGTTACTCTCCATCCACCCCCCAGGCAGGAAGGTCAGAGCAAAGAGCCTTCCACAGGAGGCCCCCCTGCCCCACCACCCCGTGAATGGTGTGAAGCGTCTGCTTAGCACTCAGTCTTTGTTGGCTGAGGTCTGACAGTTTATTTTGAGCACTGATTCCACAAAGGTTGAGAGCAACATAAGGTGGCTCCGGAGACTTGAGGCTTCATCAGGAGTGGAAGAAAGAAGCCAGGCTTGTGGTTGTTGTTATCACTGGGGCCTACTACAGAGAACTAGTCCTGAGAGAGAACCTAGCTGTGCAAACTGGGCAAGCCCATGAGAAATGTGTAAATTCAACAGAATAAGAGAGGTAGTCAGTGGAAGAATTTGTAGGCTAGCAGGTTCCCATTTGGTCTTTTGCCCTAAGGTGCTGGTTCTCAAAGTGAGATTCTCATGTCAGCAGCATTAGCATCACCTGGGAACCTATTACAAATTCAAAATCTCACCTCTGCCCCCGACCTGACCTACTGAATCAGGAACTCTGAAAGTGGAGCCCATAAACTAGTTTTAACAAACCCTCTAAGCTCAAGAACTACTGCCCTAGGGAATAAACTCAGCCCCCAGATCTTTTCCTTTTGGTGCTAGGAACCTATGAGATTTAACTTAGAAGTTAGTGTATTACAAGACTGAAGTCATAATTCTAGGCTCTTCATTTCTGTCCAGTGATCTTTTTATAATGGTTTGAGGAGTCTAATCCATTACTAATGCAAATCAGCATTAGAATGACACTATTTCAAAACTTCCAAAGGTTGTTGACAGGAAGAATTAGAAAACTCATGCTAAAACTTCCTATCTGGTTATGCAATTGCTCCTAAATTCTATTGCATTTTGAAATTCAATCCAAGATTTTATTCTATTTTAGGCATTTTGTTCTATAGTAATAGGCACTTAAGAATCTTGTGGTCTTTTATGCATTTTTGAAGTCATGCTTTCTCATCTAATTGATTTTTTGCATTTCGGCAAAGTAAAGGATGTGTTTTTCTAGATAATTATATCTTTAGAACAAGACTGGTCACATATACTGGCCTGCTATCAAATGACTTTCTAATTTTGATTGTGTTGTAGATAAGCACTCACTCAATCACCATTAGTTTATTAAGAGAATTTTTTTTTCTTTTGCACAGGAATGTACTGGTCTTCTGAGTATACTGAATTAAATACAAAGGCACTACCCTCAAAGAAATTTAGATTTACATAAAAATAAATCTGTCAGAAAATATATGAAAGTGTCAGAAAATATACCAAACTATATTCAAAGGTAGCTGATGTAGTACAGCCTGGAAATCCCGTAGAAGGTGCCAAGATTCCTTATTTTCATTTGATTCTAATTGGAGAACTAGCAATCTGAGTTCTCCTTTATTTTTTTCTATGATATAAATGCTATCTTCTGAAACTATTATTCTCCCAGTCCTCGATTGTGTTATTCATGCCTGCTCTCACCTGTTTATGCCTGAATCTCTTGATTCAAGTCGATCATTTATTGAAATTACATTTGAGAAATAAAAAGAGTAGCTTGTCTATGGGAAAAAAAGTGAGAGTGGGGGGGTTAATGTGGGACTGACAAGTGGTGTATGCAGGTAATTCCACCAGAGACAATTGATGCTCCTCTACAATAGGAAACCAAACAAGATGAGATTTTCCCTAGTCCTCTGGGGAAATCATTCAAATATACACTCTTACCAAACTCTAATATTGTTCTTGCTTTTGCCTGTTTGCTTTGATGAAGCTGATAATAACAGAAATTTACATTTATTTGCATTTTTCTACTAGAAGTCACTGAAGCATCTCAGAATATCATTTTAAAGTGCATATGCCTATAAGTGGCAAAAACATGAAATGTCATACAAACGTAGGCAGGGAAGTTCAGGAATAGAATCATTTCAAGAATGAGCTGTGAGCTTGCACCCCTCTTTGTTTTTGAACTGGGTAGTACATAAGGAAGCATCTTTTTTTGTGAGTCTACTTCAGGCTGAAGAGATTATAAAAGCATTTCTTCCCAACTAACTAAAGCTTCTTCCGTTTCCGTTTCCATTTCTAACCATCCCCCAAACCCATGCACACACACACACAAACTAATTGGAAATAATAGAAAGACAAAGAGTTTTAAAGGTCATCTATTACATTCATTTCACTTTACAGATTTGAACAGTCTATCTCAGAGAAAATAAATGATTACTCCAAGGCCACAGAGCCAAATCAAAAAGCAGATAGAGGAGGAAAGAAGGAAAGTTGCCCCGTTCCCATAGTTGTACCCTCCAACACCTCACCATCCTGAAGGCTCCATGCTCAAGCTCAAAACTCGTATTAGGGAATCTCACCTGCTTTTTAAAAATTCCATTTCTAATTTTATGCTCTTTCTTGATGCAGATTACCTTTTTCACTTGATTGACTAGTTGTGAAAGAACACTGGTCCCTTCCAGCTCTGAAATGTTGAGATTCTGTGATTCAGGTTAATTTGCGTGAGTCAATTCTAAAGGCATTTGCTGGAGCTGACGCAGAATGAAAATAGACCTTGGCAGCTTCAGACTCAGCTACTTTCTTCTTAGACGTTTGTAATTTTGTGATTTACTTCCTAGGGCTTCTAAGGTGCATTGGTGGCCATGGGGAGGCATGATTTTAAAGAGGAATTAAAATAGAAACTTTGAGAACACATGGACACAGGAAGGGGAACACCACACTCTAGGGACTGTTGTGGGATGGGGGGAGGGGGGAGGGATAGCATTAGGAGATATATCTAATGCTAAATGACGAGTTAATGGGTGCAGCACACCAGCATGGCACATGTATACATATGTAACTAACCTGCACATTGTGCACATGTACCCTAAAACTTAAAGTATAATAATAATAAAATAAAATAAAAATAAAATAAAATAAAATAGAAACTTTGGAAAACTTACAAAAATTAAAGGCAAAACCTGAGTTAACAATTTAAAAAACAAAAGAAAACTTTCTGCCACTACAAAGCACAGAAAGTCCCCATCAGTCTGTCAGAAAGTTTCCATCCATTTTTCAGCTACTCTTAGAGTAGTTGAAAGGAGCATTTAGAGACTCTCTCCTATCAACTGGCAGAGAGCCTAGCAGACTGTGTGGCAATGGGTCCCAGCACCATCACCTAGTACTGTAACTGGGTGATGTTAGATGAGTTACTTAACCTCTCTGTACCTGGGCATCTTCATCTATGAAAGGAACAACACTAGTACACACTTAGACATTTGTTGTTGTGAAAAATGAGTTCGTACTTGCAAAGCTCTTAGAAAAGCATGTGAAATAATAAGTGGTCAAAGATGTTAGTAATTTTTTTAGTTATTGTTAATATTAATGCTAAATATGAAGTACATTAAGTTGGTAAAGCCAGTTTTCTACAAAATAATAAACCATTCTATGGTACTTCTCAGTGCACAAGGTCTTTTCTGCTACCTGATCTTATTTGTTCATCACACTACACTTTGAGGGAGGAGAAAAGATCTTCATTATTCCCATTTTATAGATTACATAACTGAGACTAAAATTTAAAAAGAGGAATGAATATACCCAACTTTTACACAGGCAAATGGGATTTGAACTCCTGACTCAAATCCCATGTTCTTTGCATTTACCATGTTTAGTTACTTAGAGGCAAATGTTGCTATTTCAAATTCCTGGATTGAAGTTAGAGTGAATGTTCCCAAACTAAAATAGTGCTGATCGCTTGAACTAATATAATGTATTAGTTATATGTAACTGACTTTCAAAAAATTATTATCCATGCATTATAAAAATTGAAAATAATATAATAGTACAAATGATTTAAAAATTTAGTCCCTATCCCAAGATTCTGGTCTCAGAATCTACGTCTAAAACCAAAATTATAGTTTCAGAATAAGTTCATGCAGGAATTGAGCATAACATACGTATTGTTCTGCAACTTGTTGGGTTTGTTTTGTTTGGGGATTTTAGATTAACAATAGGTGTTGGACATCGTTCCATGCAAGTATACCTATTTCTAATTATTTTCAGTGTTACAAAGTATAGCACTGTGTGGATATAGCATATCTTAATCAGTTATTTTCCTTAGTCTTTTACTGTAACACGCAATGCTATAAATATGGACCTGAAGGGCTTTTGGAAACACAAATATTTTTCTTTTTGAAGTTTACCTATCAGAATTAATGTGTTCAATTTTCACATTGCAGCAACTCCTTTCATGAGTTGACCCTTCCTGAGAAAGTCTTTGAATATTCTCAGCATTCTGGGAGTCTTTATTTCACTCCCACAGGAACAAAGCAACCATTAACCAAGAGGACAATGAAAGGGTAAAGAATGCAGAGAAGAGCTTTCATTCTGTGTTTCATTCTCTTCATGATGATGGGGTCAACTGTGGGAGGAACAGAACATTGTAGTCATATATCTGAATCTTATCATGAATACAGATGTCACATCTTATTCTAGGGCCATTTGAACACCATCCAACAGACAAAAAAGTGATAACAATAAGACAAAGAGCATCAATTTTTTTAAAACCTAAAATGAAATCTTATTCTGCAGCCAACTGTTTCTTTGTTAACATTAAAGGAACTCCCTCAGTGAAGGAAAAAACTGTTTTATGTTTTTTTTTTAATTTTACCATTTAGCTTGTTTAAAATTAATTTTTATTTTTAATCAGTGTCATTTATCTATCTCTGGTAAAAAATTATCACTTTTAACTGTTTATTCTTCTATAATCTTCCATCTTAATACATTGCATTTTACTGTGTTTTTTTCCCAATTTTATAATATTTCTTTCTTGTTAAAATAGTTAAGAATTTTTAGCTCTGTACCATACATACCCTATACAATTTGTGCAATTGTATAGGCTATTCCATGGCTGAAATCTTTCCAACACAGTTGTATCACTCTTGAGAGAAACTGAACCAATTAAGTTTGGCATTATTCTAACTATTTGCATGTGGTACTACAAATCTAGAATGTATGCAATTACATTTGTATTCTTATATTTCTTTTTCTTTTTCCTTTGTGTAATAATGGCTTTTTCCCTCTAAACTTTTTATTTTTTGTCACCAAGCTTTTTCATTATTTGTTTTTCCCCTAAATTTGTTTTTTCCCCTAAAAGATTTGTCAAATGTCTATAAATTTTGTCCAAATGCTCAAATATTTTCAAACACAATATAGGATTCTAATTCTTTTTCCTTTGAAGGCATCCCTCTTGTAGTCCTTCAACTTCCTGCTTTAATGTAAACTGTTTGCTGTCTACTGCACAGCAGTGGACCTGGCACCTCTCATCTGGATGGGATTTCCTGTTTCTTGGATCCTAAATCTCATTATTTTTTTCTTTATGTTGCTGAGTGCACTTGCTAGTAGCTTATCAAGAAAGGGTGCCTAGAAGCACATTTTTAAAGTCCTTTTATTTATACAAATGTATCAATTATACATGAAACCAATAGTAATGGTTAGATACAAAATTAAAGTTTGAAAATTATTTTTTGTCAACATTTTGAAGGTATAAGTCTCCAGCCTCCAGGCATGTGCCATGGCTAGAACAGGTAATGCCATTCTTCCTCTTGGTCCTTTGTAAACTCCATTCTGCTTTTGCTGTTGCAGTGGGGCCTGATAAGATGTCCTGGTGTGGATGTTTTCTCTCTCTCAATGGCCTCTTTCAATCTTGAGAATACATATCCTGCTGTCCTGGGAATTGTTTCTTCTGATTTATTTGAAAATCCCCTATGCTTCATTTTATCTGTGCTCTCTCTTTCTGGGGAATTTCCTTGACTCTATCATCTAATCTCTTTGTTGTTGTATTGTTTTTGTTCTTATTTTCTTTGCTATCATATTTGTAATTTCTAAGAGCTCATTTTTGCTTTTTGTTTTCTTATCTCCCTTAAATCTTATGTCATTTATAGCATCCTGTTTTTATTTCATGGCTTGTATTAGTCTGTTCTCACATTGCTATAGAAGAAATACCTGAGACTGGGTAATTTATAAATAAAAGAGGTTTGGCCGGGCACTGTGGCACACGCCTGTAATCCCAGCACTTTGGGAGGCCGAAGCGGGTGGATCACGAGGTCAAGAGA
Organism: Homo sapiens; assembly: GCF_000001405.40. Classification (NCBI taxonomy): domain Eukaryota; kingdom Metazoa; phylum Chordata; class Mammalia; order Primates; family Hominidae; genus Homo; species Homo sapiens. The sequence continues at coordinate 105,655,311 of NC_000010.11, read as the reverse complement.
TTGAGACCATCCTGGTCAACATGGTGAAACCCCATCTCTACTACAAATATAAAAACTAGCCTAGCCGGGCATGGTGACTTGGGAGGCTGAGGCAGGAGAATCACTTGAACCTGGGAGGTGGAGGTTGCAGTGAGCTGAGATCGTGCCACTGCACTCCAGCCTGGTGACAGAGTGAGACTCCATCTGAAAAATAAATAAATAAATAAAAAATAAAAGAGGTTTAATTGGCTTATGGTTCTGCAGGCTGTACAGAAAGCATAGTGACTTCTGCTTCTGGGGAGGCCTCAGGAAACTTCCAATCATGGTGGAAGGCAAAGGGGAAGTGAGGTGTCTTATATGGTGGGAGCAGAAGCAAGAGGGGAGAGGTGCTATGCATTTTTAAATGATCACATCTTATGAGAACTCACTCACTATAGCAAGAACAGCACCAAGAGGATGGTGCTAAATCATTCATGAGAAATCCACCCCCATGATCCAGTTACCTCCCACCAGGCCCCATCTCCAACACTGGGGATTACAATTGAACATGAGATTTGGATGCAGACACAGATCCAAACCATATCATGGCTATTAAATCTTGCCTTAGTTCTCTAAAAAAATTAACAATAGACTTTTTTTTAAATTGTATTCTTCTCCCTGTGTGGAATCCATTTTTCTGAAGTCTCTTTCCTTTGGACTCCATCTTACATATTGAGGTTCTCATCAAGTATCTGATAATCCTTGGTTATTTATTTGAATTGTAGAGTAAGACATTAAATCTCTGATAGAATCTCTAGATGCAATGGAAGTTCTTTCTGACTTGAGGCCTTTATAGTAGATTGGATAACAATTCTGATTCTTATTATAAACTCTTCAAATGCTAATATCTGTTTTCTTTAGGGTTATTCTATTTCCCTTAAAAAAATCCTCAAAGTCCATTCCCTGGGTGTTTCTTGTGCTTTGGTTGGATGGGTGGGTAATACATCTCACCAACCTTACTCTGGGAACAGGGCAGGGTAAGAAGATTGGGTGACTTATGATTCACTTCGCATACTTTCCTAATGCTCATATTTTCTCTCTTGTACCTAAATACAATTTACCTACCACAAACACCAGGACCAGCTACATAATTTATAGGGCCCAGTGCAAACTAAAAATATGGGACTTCTTCAAAATTATTAAGAATTTCAATTTTGACATCAGAGTATTAAACAAGTATGAGGTTCTTTTAAGCGTGGTATTCTGTATAATTGCACAGGTTTTACACCCATGACTTTGGTCCACACAAACACACACTCTGTCCTCTGCTTTGTTCAGTTTCTCCAGAAAAGAATGAATATCCTGTCTTCTGAGAGATTATAAAAGTAATAATAATCTGGCTAAGAGGCATGAGAATGAGGATCTGGGGAATGAACTTTAAGCCAATCCACCTGTTTCAGTCTTACACCTAACTCTCATTTCTGTGACTCTTGGTACCTCTAAGAATTCAGTCTTTTCAGGACTCTATGGGACAAAACAGTTCATTTCTCCCATTTTCATAATGATCACCCTCTGTAGGCATGGTCTAGTCTTCAAAATGAATTGCTTCTTCACATTTTTCAAAACTCTGCTGATAACAATTATCAGTACAGTCTCCATTCTCATGATGTTTTTCCTTATGTGCTTATATCTTCTATTTTTTAATGTAATTTTGTGAGAATATCAAATGGAATAGATATAAAAGCATTTTCTTTCCCAAACTGTCATGTCTAACCAGAGCAATGATATAGTACTTGGTCATTTTCTTCTTTTAGTATATTTATAAAAGATATCTCATTTTACCCTCAAATGACTTAATATATGTCCACCCTTGGCTAGATTTTACTTTACTGAGTCATTTAAGATTCTGAGATCTAAGTTTGAATGCATTTTTCTCTCAAATGCCTCCTATTTCCACCTCCTCCTCCCAATCTTTAAAAAAAGGTGGGTGGATGTCACTTTTTCTGGAAAATAGAATAGGTTATGTCATATATTCATTGACCCAAATATTTCAGGACAGTATATGTCTTGTTCCAACCAATCTGCTGCCTGAAGAAGATAGGATATTGAATTCTTAATTGCAAGCCATTACAAAACTAGCTGTTTTGTATCAACTAACATATAATCAGTAGTTAACGATTCTCCATTGGTTTCAAGACAAAAACCTCAAATTTAATTAGGACTCTGAGGCACAGCCAAGAATTTGGTGACTGATAACCATTCTGACAGAACTAAAACTTGAGGAAGTAGAATGGCAGTAGAAACCTTGAGTACTAATGAGGAAATGGATTATTTTGACCTTAGAATGTTTGCATATACCAGTGCAATACCATTTTAAACAGAATTCTTGGTTCAGACTGCAAACAGCGTTGTTTCAACTCTTCCTTGCTAGAGCTTCACTTAAAATTAATACAATGTGCTGTGTCAGTACCCAATTTTCTAGCATAACTGAAGAGACAGTAAACTATCAAGAGAATTAATTGGACCAGACTCAACTTGTTGATGATCTCAGCCATCTCAGAATCATAGAAGCCTAATAGATCCCAGCTCTCCCAATTGGTTGTGTATCGACTGTCTAATTAAGAAGCAAAACTGTCTAAGGTGATTTAAGATCTAGCCTCATTCTACAATGAGATGGATGTCTTGTCAAAAATCTGATAAAATATTCACCACCACAACCTTTTCAACCCAGATGCTACTCAGTCAAATGTGGAAAAAAGAGTGGAAGAAAGAACATATATTTTTTGTGTGAATTTTTTTTTAAATTTTTGTAAGGACTGTTGTCCTATTTTATTTCCCTAGGACTGAATGACTATCTTCACTACATTTCTTAGAACTAGGAAAATAAATGAGTATGGGCAGATTTGTCAGATAACTATTTTGAGGGAAGGTGATTAAGATTTTCTTCTTGTAGTATGGCCTGCTCTACCCTGGCCTCTTTTAAGAGAAGGAAGCAGTAGTGAAAGTCCAGAACTAAGTATCTTGTTACCCCTGACAATAGAGAGCCAAAAACTTTGAAGAGGTCTTTCTTCATATCTCCCTGCCAAAGGACTTTCCAAAGTTACTCTCCGTGAAATTTAAGGCTGCTGCCTTTAACTCTTATGAAGCCAAAGCACTTCACTTTTATTTTTCCAGCAATGAAAAATACCCTAAGCACTCTTGATTCAACAAAAATATAAAGAATTAAGAAAGGTGAATTCTCTTTATCACCTTTTTATAGGTGAAGTGTTCCACTGACAACATGTGAATTGATGTTCCCCAAAGCAGAGTAAACTTGTGATAATGTAGAAAGAACACCTACCTACCTGGAAATTTGGGTGTCTAGTTCAGTTCTTTGATCTTCTAGCTATATAGCCTTAGATAAATCTATTAGATTCTTTGGATCTGAGTAGTCACTTTTTAAATTGAGAATAATGACACCTGCTCAATTGTTTGTGGAATTTATTAAATGTTTCCTCTATGTCATACCTTTTGCTATATGCTCATATTAAAGCTATTATTTTATTTTAGTCTGTACAATAATCTTACTATTAGATGTAACGTCAATATAAGGTTCAGATAAGTTAAATTACTTAAGGAAGGTCACACAGTTTATAAGCAAGAGAATCAGGATTCATAGTTAAGTCAGTATGGCAATGCAATTTATAACCGAAAGCCATACTGTTCGGTATGACTATAGACCAACCATTCCATATCTTTTTGACATCAGTCCTTATCTATGAAGTGGAGCAAATAAAATTATTATTTCATAGGGTTGTGAAAAGATTAAATAAGGCAATGCATGCACAATAATTAGACCTATGCACACATGAAATAAAATCGTTGTTGATATAATTATTATAATAAAAATAATGAGTATTAGTAAATGTTTTTAGCATCTTCAGGGCTTATCACTTAGGATCTGTTGCCATTCATTAGCTGGCTGAGAAGCTTCTAAATTAGCAGTATGCGGGACCTCATGCTACTCACGGGGGCTTAGAAGCCCATTATGCCCCATTATCTTTGGGGGATTTCATCTACCATTCCTAGAGGAAGTCTGAGCACTGTACTCTTTCTCAGTTTGTATCAGCAATAACAAGCCTTCCCTGTTAGCCAAAACTCCCATGCTGATACCAGAAAGTGTTTGGGACAAAGCAGATGGTTGTTCTCTTCCCCAGTTTCAGGAAATCTCACAAAGACTAGGCAGATTATACATAGTTTGGGCTTGGAAAGGAAGAGTATCCTAAATACTAGAGTATCCTAAAGATGGTCTAGAAACTGTGATTAATGTTAGTAGGTTTCTTTTTTTATCATGTGAGCATTACTTCTTCCCACTCAGATCCCCAGCGTGATGATACACCGCATGACTTCTCAAAAACCATACTCTGTAAGGCAACTGCAGGTGGAGTTGTATTCTGGTAACCAGAACCCATTCTAACTCTCTGCAAACATATTGGTTAATTCCTGTTAAGTGCTGAAGTGGTGGTGCCACAGACTGTGGGTGGGCCATTTTAGACCGAGATGTATGCATTTTCTCAGATTAGGACTTCCAGAGCATCAACAAATCACATTAGGGTTTAGGTTGCTGTCCAAGTCCTCCTTTGCTATTCTTCCCCTCTCCCTGGCCCCCCATCATTATGTGAAACTCCTATCTCATCTCAGTTAAACAGGCAGCTGCACAGGCCCCTGGAAAGCCAACAGATATATTGAAGTTTTGGTTTCTGCAGCACAGCCCTCAGGGTGTCTGTGCAACTGTCAGGATTGATGCGCTTTAATGGTCTTCTTGGAAGAAGCCGCCTTGTGTGAAATAGTTGCCTCTTGAACTGGTCAAATACTTGTTACTGGTCTCCCCTGCTGTGAGGTGGGATGATCCCTGACAGATAAATAGCAGCCAGAGTTAAAAGGAAGCCTCTTAAAATAAAAGCAATTCATTTCCCTTTTCTATTTTAAAGTGCAGCTTTGCAAGGGGCCCTCGCCTCATCTTCCTTTTCCTTGTTGCAGCAGCCCCCATAATGAACTCCCCACATATAATGAGAATGTATGTATGTAGGGCAGGAAGGCCTGCCCCTATTCTGGGAGAGCAGCGTGACAATTGCTGCTTGTTTATTACTTATTACTGAAAGGCATAAAAGAGGCTGCTGCAACAAAGCAGCCTCAAAAGAATCACTGGGGGGAAGGTCAGAGCCCCCAGAATGAATCTATATTTATGGAAGGATAGAGATGGTCAATCAGAGGGTCTCTTAGAAGAAAATACAATAATCAGAGCATGCTGGGGCCCATTTTAACAGTTTGTTCAAAATGTATGTTTCTTACCAAAGTTGGTGTTTTTGCAGATTAGTTTCCTATTGAATTCCGTAAATAGAACAGAGGTAAGCCCTTAAAAGGAAAAATCAGAGGCAAAGATTGTGGTGAGCAAGAGGAGACAGGGGACAATATAACAATTTTAAACATGGCATTTGGAAGAAAGAATAGACTTGAAGAAGGCAAGGAATTCAACAACCAATGGGTTATGTGGGCAATTTCTGTTTGCCAGTGTCTCTGCAGCGCAGTCGGGGTCTTGCTTTAAATATTTTTGCCTGAGCAATGACCCAAACACAGACACAGTTTAGTTATTTTAGTCTCGGAGCCATTTTTGGCAGAAGAGCCATTCGTGCATTTATTCTGGAGGCCAAAGGAAGAGATTGCAAGTAAATACTAAGTTAAGATAGCTAGTCAGGCAAGCTGGGGAAAAATTTAAAAAAAAATTTTTTTTTAAACTACCTTAGGACACTTGCCTAGCTTTGAATAATAAATGTCTTCCAAATAACACTGTGGATTCAGTTAAGGACAAGATTCACTCTTGTCAATAGCAGTAAAAATGGAGAATTAGCAAAATATTTCGTGCTTCTCTTGCATTCAAAGGTGGAATTTTGTGAGTATCTGGAAATGTTGAGGCAAATGGTTTTGTTTGGAGTATTTTGAGTTAATCTGTGCAACAGTGAACTGCTTTACAGACTTTAAGATACATTTCCAGTTTAATATATAGATGGAAAATAACTTCCTTCCTCACTTCTCAGCCGGTCTGTATATGCTGGAAACCAATTTTTAATGTTTTAGATGTGAATCAGTAAAGCTGTTAAGTGTGAGGATTTTCAATTATATGGAGATTATTCTGGATAAGAAAAACTTGACTGCAGGTAACAGTACTTGGTCTCAGCAGAATTTACAAACTAAAATAAATTAGGCTTATGTTATCAAATAGCTATTTATGTCTTATTAACTATCTTTATTTATTGGGAAATGATGGCATCTGCTAATCCATAACACATAAGCACTCTTGATAATCAAAAGAGCAAAACACTTTTTAAAACATCATTTGCCAGGAGATGATGTTTTAAATGAGTTTAAGATTTAGCAGCTCAGTTTCACTTCCTGTTGTCTAATTTAGGCCAACTCTAAAATTGCAATTTTGGGAGCAATCCCTAACAGCTTATGCCATGAGATTTCAACAATAAAAGGTCCCTGCTTAAGGATTCAATCTTCCCATCCACTGACATAGGTCTGAGGCAGTTTGAGTTAAATTGCCTTGTGGAGTAAGGTTAAAGACTTTTGAATGGGATCAGATGTAGGTTGATGAATTCGGGATTGCAGATATTTTCATTACAAGGAGCACTACCTTGCTGCAGCTGGAACAATAGTTTTTAATTAATCTGAATAAACAGTGGGGCTTTGATAAACAAATAATAACCATCAAATTAAATAGCTTTCTGGGAGGAAAACCTTCCAAAGTGGCAGTATTGCCTTTGGGCTTTTGAGAGATTATATACAATAAGAGGCTCACTGCATTTTTTTTTTTTTTCTTGAGACGGAATTTCGCTCTTGTTGCCCAGGGTGGAGTGCAATGGTGCGATCCCGGCTCACTGCAGCCTCTGCCTCCCAGGTTCAAGGGATTCTCCTGCCTCAGCCTCCTGAGTAGCTGGGATTACAGGCACATGCTACCACGCCCAGCTAATTTTTTGTATTTTTAGTAGAAATGGGGTTTCACCATGTTAGTCAGGCTGGTCTCAAACTCCTGACCTCAGGTCATCCGCCCACCTCGGCCTCCCAAAGGGCAGGGATTACAGGCGTGAGCCACTGCACCCGGCCAGCTCACTGCATTTTTTGAGGAAGAAAGGGAAATCGAGTTCCTGTATTGAGGTGCAGGGAGAAGTATGGGATTTACCTGGAATTGCAGGAATGTGAGAACAATGGAATTTTGGATCTGAGTGGGATGTTGATCATTATGTATACCATCTAGCCCCTTATAATGTCCAAAATGGGAAAAATATTGAACTGTAAAGAGCAAACAAAACTTGCTCAAGGTCTTATGTTTCATATTCATAGGAATAATCATAGATTATAGGAGTGGGGGAATCTATATTCAGCTTATTCAGGAAAGGGATTGTAGGGAGCAAAGGCAATACCTCCCTTTTGCCCTCTGCAGTTTCAGTGAAAAACCAACTGAAAAAAGGCAGATTAATAGGAGAAAAGGTATGAAAATTTATTTAATGATAGTTTTATGTCACACAGGAGACTTCAGAATGAAGACCAACAAATACAGAGAAAACTTTCCATTGTTATGCTTAGGTTTAATAAACTATGGACCGTTGTGTAGAACTGTGATTGAACAAAAAGGGTATGAGCTAATGCTAATAGATGGAGTGGGAAAATCCAGCAAGGCCTGTCTGCTTAGATTCTTCTTGGCCTTCCAAGAAGAAAGGAAGTACAGCTTTCCTTCCTTCTGGATGTGGGGCTGGACCCTCTCCAAAAGGAGGTCTTATGACCTACAATCAAACTAGGTAGGTCAGATAATTTTTTTACAGCCAGCTCTTACACAGAAAGGTAAAGGAAAGTTAGAGTCATATTTTTAGGTTTTATGGCTGGCTTTGGGGAAAACAGGTTCTGGTTTCTATAATCTGGCTTGGAGAAGAGGGATTCTAGTTGCTATGGCTAGCCTTGGGGAAAAGTGAGAAGCAAGAGATAAGAGGACAGGAGAAGGTCAGAGAGAAACTTTTGCTTCTGAGGCTTTCACTTTGGCATATTATTTTCTGATCCAAACAGAATGCAATTAAAAACCTTATAAATCTTAATAAAAAGGTTCTGAGTTTCCAATAACTAGAAATTCATGATATCCATGATGTCTCCAGAGGTTTGCATTAATGAGGGACCGCTGACCTATGTCATGTATTGGGCAGAATCATTATCAAATGCATTATCCCAAGAGATCTATGTCTTCAAGATTTAACTCAGATCACCACATTCTAGAACGTGGTGTTTTGAATAGAAGCATTACATCTATCTAACCACCTTTCCCCATCTGTGGAATCCAGGCAGTTTCACTAGAAAGGACTTCTTAGTAAAAGCAGCATTACCAGCCAGCTCAGCCTGCTATGACCCTGCTCACCATTGCTATTCTCCCTGATCTCCCATATAAAAAGATGAAAGGCCAGACTGCTGTGATTCCTCTAAGACTCAGTTCCTTCCATCCTGGGGTGTGAGTTGTGATACAACACCAATAAAAATTCTAATCAGTCATTTTCCACCTTCAGTCACCTCCTCCAGCCTCAGACTCAGGTCTCCATTTTGGGTGGGATTTATTGGCACCTTTTGTTAAGCTATGGGCAAGGGGAAGGATGATGACCAAAATGTAAAGTGAAAAACAAACTCTCTAGAAAACCAAAAAGGGTGCTGTAAAGGTGCCACAATCTCTATTTGTACCTAAATTATTATTTTGTTACCCCTGTAATTATTATTTTTTGTTTTATCAAATGTTTCTCTCATCTTTTTTGAGACAAAGTCTCACTCTGTCATCCAGGCTGGAGTGCAGTGGCACAATCTTGGCTCACTGCAACCTGTGTCTCCTGAGTTCATGCAGGTCTCATGCCTCAGCGTCCCAAGTAGCTGGGACTACAGGCGTGCGCCACCAAGCCCAGCTAATTTTTGTATTTTTAGTAGAGACAGGGTTTCACCATGTTGGCCAGGCTGGTCTCAAACTCCTGACCTCAGTTGATCTGCCCTCCTCAGCCTCCCAAAGTGTTGGAATTACAGATATGAGCCTCCACGACCAACCAAATGTTTCTTTCTTGAGGCCAGCAGAGTCTTGGTATGTCCCCAAACATTTAAGGTGGGCTTATTGGAAGGTTTACTGTACAGACAGGATATAGATGCATTATTTGGGTGGCAAGTAGAAGCCACCCAATGCAGAAGCTAAGACAAACAGCTTCAGTGATATCTTTTTTAATGTTTCATTGTGTCATGGTGAAGTCCTTCTATGTGAAAAGACATACCTTCTCCCTTAAGATGAACATAAAATACAGTTGCAGCTCTTACAAGTTTTTTTAAATCCTACCTTAATCACAGGAAGATGGATATAGAGTATCTTGGAAGGAGGAGGAATAGGGTGGAGGATGGTAGTAATGAGGGTCTGAGGCTGGTAGCAGCACGGAGGAGAAAGACACAACTCAGCTTTCTCACGGAGGAGAAAGACACAAGGAGCAGCTTTTGTTGCCTCCCTCTTTTTCATAAATACCCTCATTGTACTTTACCTCCCACATCAAGATATGCTTGCTGGCAATTTATGCCATCCTACATGCATGGTACATGCACGCACGCATACATACACACATTCACACAAATACACACAATCTTGCATCCACGGCATTCACCTACCAAAAGAGTCACATATATCTTCTACAGCAACATCCCAAATTTTTTACCATCTCCAAAGCCAACACTTACTTAACTTTCTCCCATCTCTGTTATCTCCCAGAGTGCCTAATAAAATATATGTGCTGATGAATGTTATCAAATATTTCCAGGACCATCTAAGATTATGTGCTAGTAATCATCTGGTGACAGCAGCCCTAGAAGTTTTTGGCTCATTTAGAAAAGGAGACATCTAGAGAAGAAGTATTTGGCTAAAATCAAGACCCAGAAGGCCAGTCCCACTCTTGAATGTTGCACCCAAAGTTTGCTTCACTGGCGGTGAAGTCAGTTTGTGATTCTACATTCCTCCTGCGTTGTCCAGTAAAGAGCATCCTTGGAAGAGCTTCCACAGTTTGCTGACCACAGGCAGAAGCTTCCACCAAATCCTCAGATTAGACCCCTGGAGATGGTGTGTGTGACCATGAGCACATGACTGTGTCATTGAGTTTGTTAAACTTTTTCCCACTGCAGAAAAACAAACAGAACCTTCCACTGGGAAACTTTTCAACAAGGATTAAGCAATAAAAGTATGATAAACAGGATTTTCTTCTTGCTCTCAAAGACAGCTGGATGATCATTCTCTACTGAGAGTTCTCCACTTTGCAAAATGAGATGAAAAAATACATAATATATTTTTTCTCCCCCAAAATACAAAATATAGGGCATGGACTAAGTAATTTGACTCCAACAGTGAGATGTGGGAGAGTGAATTAAAAATAACTCATTTGCATTTATTTACTATCTACTATGGATGACATACTATGCTGAGCATTATATATTCCTTGTATATACTTCTCACGTGAACCATGTAAAATGGCCAAGGTTATCCAAAGCTGGGTCAGCTGGTTCTGTCATCCACCTTTCCCAGTGTACTGTTAGCAGTCTTTCCTGGAACACACCTGTATTAGTCAGGGTTCTCTAGAGGGACAGAACTAATAGGATATATGTATATATGAAAGGGATTTTATTAAGGAGAATTGACTTACATGATCACAAGGTGAAGTCCCACGATAGGCCATATGCAAGCTGAGGAGCAAGGAAGCCAGTAGTGGCTCAGTCCGAGTCCCTAAACCTCAAAAGTAGGGAAGCTGACAGTGCAGCCTTCAGTCTGTAGCCAAAGGCTGAAGGTCCCTGCCTGGTAAACCAATGATGTAAGTCCAAAAGTTCAAAAGCTGAAGAATTTAGAGTCTGATGTTCAAGGGCAGGAAGCATCCAGCATGGAAGAAAGATGAAGTTGGGAAAACTAAGCAAGTTAGCTTCTTCCTGTTTTTCTAGCTGCGCTGGCAGCTGATTTTATGGTGCCCACCCACATTGAGGGTGGGTCTGCTTCTCCCCGTCCACTGGCTCAAATGTTAATCTCTTCCAGCAACGCCCAGAAACACCCAGATACATCCAGAAACAATACTTTCCGTGCTTCAATCCAATCAAGTTGACACTTAATATTAACCATCATAGCACCTATTAAAAATGACAAAGTCATGTCAAAGAAATGGAGGATTTTTATATAAAAGGCTTCCCAAATAGTAACGCTTCTTGAATAGGAAACATTTTGTTCTCTTTTAAAGCAGAATTCATTTAGGATGAATATGAGGAAGTATGTGAGAAACAGATAAAAACTCAAAAATGAATTTTTAACCTATGAGCTGCCCAGCTGTGGAACAGGGACAGCCATGGGAAAAACAAGACCATCTGTTCAGAATTCTATAGAAGAGGATTGTATGTCTGTATCTGAGTAATTGGTTGTCAGGGAACTCCCAAGTTGTAAAGTTCAGTGATTCTGCTAACTGGTAATAGTGTTTTCCAAGCTTGGGAGATTTTATTTGCCTGCCCTGCACCTTCCAAGCTAATGTCAAATTTACTCTGACTGCATTAAATAACTTTTGTGTTGCAGATTTCATGCTTGCTATTTTATAGTTAAATAGTAATGAATCCATATTTTTATTTTTGAGTATTTTTGTAAGCAGCATTTGAGAAGCCCTTGGGGCAATGTAGTATGTGCTTCTGTGATCACAGTGATAATATTATAATTATTGCTTTGAGATCAGAACTTTAATCAATAAAATGAGCGCTCTTGAAAAATGTAAAATAAGAGATGTATAAACCACCAGAATCACCAAGTCTTTAGCATGTGATATTCCATATGACTGTTACAGGAAAGGGGTCCCCATCCAGACCCCAAGAGTGGGTTCTTGGATCTTGCACAGGAAAGAATTTAGGGCGAGTCCATAGAGTAAACTGAAAGCAAGTTTATTAAGAAAGTAGAGGAATAAAAGAATGGCTACTTTACCGGCGTGGTGGTGCATGCCTATAATCCCAGCTACTCGGGAGGCTAAGGCAGGAGAATCTCTTGAACCCGGGAGGCGGAGGTTGCGGTGAGCTGAGATTGAGCCATTGCACTTCAGCCTGGGCAACAGAAGTGAAACTCTGTCTCAAAAAAAATAAAAAATAAAAAGAATGGCTACTTTATAGACAGAGAAGCCCCAAGGGCTGCTGGTTGCCCATTTTTATGGTTATTTCTTGATGTTGTCTAAACAAGGAGTGGATTATTCATGCTTCCCCCTTTCAGACCACATAAGGTAACTTCCTGATGTTTCCATGGCATTTGCAAACTGTCATGGTACTGAACTGTCATGGTACTGGTGGGAGTGTAGCAGTGAGACTGACGAGAGGTCACTCTCATGGTCATCTTGGTTTTGGTGGGTTTTAGCCAGCTTCTTTACTGCAACCTGTTTTATCAGCAAGGTCTTTATGACCTATATTTTGTGCCTTATCAGCAAGGTCTTTATGACCTATATTTTGTGCCGACTTCATATCTCATCCTGTGACTTAGAATGCCTAACTGCCTGGGAATGTAGCCCACTGGGTGTCTGCCTCATTTTACTCAGCCCCTATTCAAGATGGAGTTACTCTGGTTCACACACCTCTGACATGACCTCCAACAAGTTGTGAACATTGGTAAGAATGAAGTCTAGCTTGTTATAAGAAATATCTTGAATTTAGTGCACTTTGGGTCACATGTCACAAAAATAATCAGAGATTTGGACAAAACAATGTCTTTTATCCAGGAACCATAAGTTTACCTTAGAAGTTCATTTAGAGCTTATAAAGACCGTAGAGTTCATTACCTTCTTTATCTCCTTTATTTGTACACACATACACAACAGCATTTTACTAGTTTCTTATAACACATTCCTCACCTCTATTTTGCATATACATTTTGGTGTATTCCCATAAGATTAAATTATTTGAAATGTTGTGCTATTTATGAGTATCAAACACTATTAGGCTCATTTTGGTTCTCAGTAACAGAAAATTAGCTGAAGCAAAATAGGGAGATTAAATTGAGGATATATGTGTGGTTCAATGACCCCCAAAGACACGACCTCAAAAGTGAGTTTAGGACCTTCAATGTTGTGAGGAAGAGCTCTCTTTTTCTGTTGTTTTTTAGTGTAGTTGGTTGGTTGGTTGGTTGATTTTGCTTTGATCTCATAGGTGTGTCTACTTCATTCATCTCATACTTTCTTCAGGTCAGTTTTATATATCTCCAATTCACTTGGAAACAAACAAAACAGTAAAAACCACTGCCAACAGACCACAAATCTACTCACACAAATCTGACAATTCAAAGAGAGCCTTACCTCTCTCAGACTCAATTGCAAAGTTTCAGGAAAGAAAAGCAGATGGGCTAGATTGGGAGAAGCCAAATTGAATCTGGCCAGAATGATTCATGTTTTACAAAGATGGCTTCTAGGAGCTGCAAAGTAAGTGGCTTGGAAAATAAGGCACAATTCCCTGAAGACCCACAGAGGTCTGTCTAGACAAACCAAGAATGACAGACAGACAGCATAGTGCAGTAGTCTTAAGCAAGGGTTGTATAGACATACTGCTTGAGTTAAAGTCCCAGATCTACTACTTAATAACTGTTGTCATGGACAAGTTATATAATCCCTTTTTTCCCAGCTTCTACCACTTGTCATATGCAAATAATAAATATCTACTTCATAAGGTTGTTGTGAAGATTAAATTAATGAATATATGTAGAATGCTTTGAAGAGTGCCTTCTATATAGTGCACACATAGTGAACACAGGGTAATGTTAGCTGTGATTCATCCCAACTTCTGATGGGGAGAACACATCCAGAGATTGTCTTGCCTTCCATAAGATTGGGTCTGCTGGTAAATAGTAGGCCCCCACAAAATAAAAAGATTCTAATGTTAAAAACTGTATTTAAATATAAATATCTCAGTCATTCTTTGCTCCCTCTCCCCTTCCTTTTTTTGTTTGGCTCAAGTATAAATTAAAGCAAATCCAAGAAAAAAAATTCACAATAAATCTGGCACACAAACATTCCCAAAATGCTCATTTTCAATGTTCCCTGCTATAATAGATTGAAATAATTTATGTGGCTTTAATTCCAGTATAAATATAATTGTTTATTCAGCTTCTCTTCCACTTATATCAAACATTTTTTTCATGTTACTTCATTTTAAGTTTGTTTTAATGGTTAAATGATATTTCAAAATGTTAATTTACCATAATTTTATTCCATTTTTCATTCCCCTATTGGAATATTGCTGGATATGTGTACATTTCTTTTTGTTATAATGAAGATATAATGGTCAAATTGTTTTCTAAGACAGGGTAGGAACTGTATTTATAAATAATCATTGACTCAAAGTCAATCAGTTTTTGCTAATTAAAGTATTGCTTTCACAAGTAAATTGAAGAATCAGCCAAGAACAGAAAATTTGAGGAACAATACAGACAATAATGTAAATGATAAAGTTTTTTTAGATAATTCACACAATTTTTATGTAAATGTGAGATGTCATAAAATGTTCCATATTATAAATGTCTGCTGAAATTTATTATTATATAAAAAGCATGAGCTTTAAACATCAGTTTCACTGATGTGGATTTGTGTGAGTAAGCCTAAATAATATTTATAAAATACATTTTAAGTAAATTTATTGCTTTCAAATACCTATAGCAACCAATTATAAATAAGTGCTTCTGAGCAAAAACCATGGTGGGCCCTAATTACTTGATAACTAGTTATAAAATAAAAAGTCCTTTGCATTACAACCAATTAATGGAACTTAAAGTCCTTAGAACAGTTGATTCTTTTAGTAGGTACATATATTTTTATACAATGTCATTTATACCAAGCAAAACTTAGCAAAGCTTTTCTTCTTATTGAGAGTCAAAAGTAAGTTTTAGCCCAAGCTAAATCAAATGAGGACTAACTTCCCAATTATTAGAGTGTGAATTAATGTAAATTTTTTGTGTGGTACCATAGGTGGAGAAAGAATGTATAATTATTTGCTTCTTAAGGCACTTTTCCTTTTTAAAAATAAGTAGTAAGTACAAGGTCTGATGCTGACCTGAACCCTATCGGGGTTGGCAATGACTCAGATAGCCTCTGCTTCTAAAATCTAGACTCATTAGGTCATCTTTATATAATTATCATCCCATAAATGAATATAAATATTTCTTATTAGAGTCAATGAAGTTACAAACAGATATTGGGGAAAAGACATTTGGGTTTAAACTCACAGGGTCTCTTAATAAATCTAGAGGTAGTCTTTATTCTCCTGTTAATTCAAAGCAGTGATAAAGATTTTCTTACTGAGGCTATTGAACATTCTCAGCCCTGATCTTCTTGGGTAGTGAAGCTAACATGTTTTGAAAATGTGGCCCTTTTTTTGCACATAGATACATTATGCTATAGTAAAATGGATCCAGGAGTAAAAGTAGTCCTCAAAATGTGTGCCACACCTTTCCAATGATGATGATACAAACAATACTATTATTATGTGCTTACTGTCTTCACTGACATTCATCTAATTGCATTGTATGTTTTTCATTCCTTGATCATCACAAGTCAATGAGGTTAATAGTATTTTTATTCTCATTCTACAGATGAGGAAACAAGCTTAACCTCATGATTATCCAGATATTATGTATTGGAGACTGGATTGGCTCTAAGGAAGTCCGGTTTCAGTGTCTACTCTGCTTTTCTGCTGTTGGTAGAAATTAACCGTGAAACTACCAAGTTTTCTGAAAGTGCTGAAAAAAGTCATTTCACTTAGCACTTATCAACTACTTATGGGCTCAGCATTCAGTATGTATTTATAGAAGTCTTAGAGAGACAAGTCAAGCCACAACATCTTGGTTTTGTTTAGGCAACTGTCTTAGTCTGCTCGGGATGCCCTAACAAAATATCATAGGCTGTGTGGCCCAACACGCAGAACTTTATTTCTTATAGTTCTGGAGGCTGTAAAGTCCAAGATCAAAGTACTGCTAATTCAGTTCTTGGGAAGGTTCTTTCCCTGGCTTGCAGATGGCTGCTTTCTCTCTGTGTGCCTGTATTAGTCCATTTTCACACTGCTGATAAAGACATACCCAGGACTGGGCAATTTACAAAAGAAAGAGGTTTAATGGATTTACAGTTCCACATGGCTGGGGAGGCCTCAGAATCATGGCAGAAGGCAAGGAGGAGAAAGTCATGTCTTGCATGGATGGCAGCAGGCAAAGAGGGAGCTGGAGCTTGTGCAGGGCAACTCCCGTTTATAAAACCAACAGATCATGTGAGACCCACTCACCACAAGAACAGCATGGGAAAGACATGCCCCCCACAATTCAGTTATCTCGCACTGGGTCCCTCCCACAACATTTGAGGATCATCGGAGCCACAAGATGAGAATTTGGGTGGGGACACATAGCCAAACCACATCAGTTCCCATATATCTTTTTCTTGTTGGATAAATGTGTTTTGTCTCATCTTATAAGGGTACTAAACCTATCATTAGAGCCCTACCATGGTAACTTCATCTAAACTTCATTACCTCCTACAGGCCCCATCTCCAAATACTGTCACATTGGGAGTTAGAGCTTTAACATATGGATTTGGGGAGGGACACAATTCAGTTCATAGCAACAACATTTGAAACTGTAAAATTCTATTCTCTTTCTATCATCATCTCCCAGTAAATTAATCATCTTATCAAGGATGTAATAGAAGATAGTCTGATTTGGAAGAAGTTGGACTCTTTTTTCTCTAAAGTCCTTTTTAATTCTAGAATGTTTTAATTCCATCAAGTTACTTCTCTATAGTCAGCACCTGTGGAAGTTTGCCCTTTTAGAGATGTAGATGATTATAACTCTAGATTATTTTAAAAATATGAGCCCGATGTAGTAACTTGGATCTCTGAAGCCTTTTTGCCATATCTTAGAATCATGTGCAAGCACATGCCTTCTCACTAACATTGTCACTTGTTGATTCTCCAGGAATATCTACTTGTTGGTGGAAACAGAAAACCTGGTACATTGGCAAAATCTGTGTAACATTATTTTATTAATTTATTGGTGCAGGGCTTCTTTAAGGGTTCCATGGTACAGTTGAATGTAGGATTAAAGACTATTAGCTCTTTAATAAAATGGTGAAATGTGAACCATAGAAACGTAGCACAGGTTAGGATATCTTTTGTGGACATATGAGATGAAAATGTCATTCTTGAACTTCTATTGCAAATTAGTGAGCAAAACAGTTTCGATTTGTAGAAATTAGATTTATGTGTGTCCCTTCAAGAGTACAGATGCTGCAAAAAGTGAAATATGCCTATGTCAATAAGGCAATGGTTGCAGAAGAATTTAATGATGTCAAAATCTTGTTGTGCTTTGAAAGTCTTCATGATGATTTGATGTCAGTTTCTCAATAGAGGCCTGCCCAGAGACTCAGATTATGAATAGGCATAATCCAGAATCCAAGGGAACATGAACTTCGGTACATTTTTTTACTTCCTTTAAGTCCCTTTATATTTTTATGTAAAATAGACAAATATTGGTACCTTCTTGTTGCACCAGCCACAAACCTTAGGTTCTTTTTTCTTAGATAAAAATAACCCTCTAAGAAATGTGAAATACCAGAGATCAAGGAACTAAGCCAACCTAAACTAATACCTCTGTGTGAATTAGAAAAGATACCCCCTTCTGGACGGACAAAGTGAAAAACTAAAAAACAAAACAAAAGTTATTCTCTTGGAGTTTCTACTGCCCTGACTGGAACAGGGCTATTGGAGAACAAGGCTGGATTCAGCTTCGACATGCTATCTTGGCCTGAAAGCGCAAGCAAAACACACACTTTACAAACAAATGTTATGGCTTTATACAGGATTACAATCTTGCTGCTGGGCTATAATGAAGCCAGTTCAGAGGAAATTCTACTGCATATAGTGACATGTACTGAGTATTCCATAGTAATTAGGAAAAACAACTATTCTGTAAACTCAAAGTTCACCTCTCTCTCCTTTTAGATGTTCCAACTACTCCTTGCATGAAATGTTCACGCAAGACAGATGAAACAATATTCCAGAGGCAGGGTACTGTTTTTCTAGTGATTGGCATAAGGCAGTTAGAAATTCTCCAAACCAATGGTACAGGTCTGTTTAAGAATAGAGTCTCAAGTGCCAGCTCCAGAAACAGAGCAGGCTCTACCAGGTTCTTATATTCTGCTTTGCAAGACGGGGGGAGAATCTCTGTACTTTAGCTATTGCATCTATTGAAAATTGTCATGGAATTGATGAAAGCCTACTTCTAACATTTGTTATGCCATTTAATAAACATAATTTCATCGATAAAGTCTACTTCTGAAATTGCTAATTAATGAAGCATTTAATGTTTTATTGGATATGAATAACAAAAATGTTTGGAGTAGTTGCCTCTGAAGCATGACCTTCCTGATTAGATGGCTAGCTCACTACTGCCAGAGTATGTATTCCCATTAAAACCAACTAAACCTAAGTTGCTGCTTAAGAAATAACCATACACACATAAAATCAAAAACATTCATGCACACATAATGCACTGTCATACTCAACGACACAAACTACAAAGCAAGTGATACCACTCAGACTGTCCTAGAGGCAGAATTTCATATCATTTATGCAAAGGTTTACCATGGTTGCTAGTAAAAATAAGAACTTGAACTTGAGAGATTTTCATATTTCACTGAATAGAAAACATTTATTGTAAGATGCATCATTATTTTATATATTTTAGAGAGAAAACCCAAACTGCCCAAGATGAGGAAGTTAGTGAGAAAGTGGTACCTAAAGCCATGATACCAACGAGCTCTATGCTTCTTGAAAGGGTAAGCAGAAATAAACCCACCATGCAGAAAAAGATCACAAGAAAAGATGCATATCTCAAACTTGACACCAAGTAGAAAGAGCGGAAAGAAAAATCTCCACTGAGTATTTTTTTTTAACCAAGCATGTACTCATGCAGATTTAAAGTCTGAATGCAAACTACCAGTACAGTTCCAACACCTTAATTTAATTTAAAGTGATCTCAAGTGAGCAGTGCCCCTAACTGACAGCAACCAATGTAAATCCTCTCTGTAAAAAAACAATTTCTGTCCCAGCAATAGAAAGACAATTGATTTTTTTCCTTTCTTTCTTTCTTTTTTTTTTTTTTTTTGAGACAGGGTCTTGCTCTATTGCTCAGGCTGGAGTGCAGTAGCATGATCATATTTCTCTGTAGCCTCAAACTCCTGGGTTTAAGCTATCGTCCTGCTTCAGCCTGCCAAGTAGCTGGGACTACAGGCATGCACCATCACTATACATGTAGTGGTATGGCTATATACATATAGCCTGGAGTGGTGATGCACACCTGCATTCCAGCTACCTGGGAGGCTGAGGCGGGAGGATTTCAGAGATATTAACATCCTAATTTCAGAGACACTAACATGTAAAAAAAATGTGCATATTATAGCCAATGAAGATATGGTTTATTTATTTATTCCTTTGTGTACTTACTGCATTGAAGAGTCTGTAGACAATGAGTTTCCTTTACAATGGCTATTGAAATGCTACAGAATAGTTTTCTGGGAGCAGTTAAATATTATTGGCTGTACCTATAGTGCCAAAGGAATTATGATGAGTGTGGTGGAAGGAGATAATTTCAAAGCTGTATTCTATCATCTCAGTGGCATTAAAGTCACCTGGCTTGAAGAGAAAGACTTTCCTTTTGCTGACTTCTCATCAGTCTTCTCTAATGGAAAAGAAACCCTTTGGAGAGAAGGCCCGAAGGAAGCCTCTTTTATAATATTAAGTTCTTTCAGGTTCATCTTTTGATTTTTTCAGTAGATCTCTAGCAGATAGTTCTGTGCCTCTGAAGTACAGTTGTTGGGAGTTTTAACTTGATGAAGCTGTCACTCAAAATTGTTGTTTATATTATCGATCCAACATCAAAAAGCTGCCACGCCATGGATCTGATGTCAAAAAGTTTTAGAGTGACAGCAGGAGCAGAGGGAGTATTAGAGCTTGGATGCTCATTTCTAAACCTCTCTGAGGTTCCCTCAACTACCTGTGGGAAACAGATCTTAGATTAACCTCAGGACATGTACAGAGAAAACTGAATAAAGTTTGAGTTGGGAGATCATTTGAACTGGTAGGTTTCTCAACCTTATATTTGAAAAAATAACTGGATTTCAAAATACTTTTTATAATAAACTTTGTATGTTGTAATAATTTTAGATTCAGAGAAAAGTTCCAAAGATGATTGATCTCTCTTTTACCCCTCACCTAGTTTCCCCTAATGGTTTCATTACCACGGTACATTTGTCAAAACTACGAAACCAACATCCATACATTTAAAGCCTTTGAAAATAGTACCCACTGTGAAGCTCCAATAATACATAACTACAACAGAAAATCTACAGAACAGCCAAGCTTCTTATGTATGCTAAGCTCTATTTATTTCTCACTTTGTTTATGCTATTCCCCTCTCTGCCCACTTCCTCCTACCTAACATTTAGATAAAGAACCTTACTAAGGCTCAATTTAAGACTCAGCTCTTCCATGCTCTACTCTTACTGTCAGGGACTTACTGTTCCCCAAACTCCTCTTCTGTATATGGAGTCCTACACAAATTCGCAACTATTTTATTTTTGATTCATATAAACATGTTTTCATTCATAAATATATTCTAAGCTGGGAGTTTGGGATATATTCTAAACCTGGGTTTTTATCCTGATTCCTCCATCTCCCATAGCTATATAATCTTGAGCAAGTAGGAATAGTATTACTGCCATCTACCTGATAAGAAATGTTAATATTTAACTCTTACAGTGTTTAGTACTTGGGACATAGGATAGGGCCAATAAATGTTAACTATACCTACTAATACGGTCATTACTACAATAACAGGGTTCAGCAAACTATGATCCGTGGGCCAAAACTTTCCCACTGTTGGCTTTGCAATAGTCCATAAGTTAAAAATGGTTTTACATTTTTAAGCAAATGAAAACAATTTAGAAGAAGAATATTTGGTGACATATGAAAGCTATGTGAAATTCAAATTCAGTGTCCACAAATAATTTTATTTCAACAGAACAATACTCATTGGTTTAGGACATTTTTATTGATGTTTTTGAGCTACAAGGACAGAGTTGACTAGCTGCAACAGATACCACATGGCTTGCAAAACTTAAAATATCTACTATCGAGAACTCTTCAGAAAAAGGTTGCTGCTGCTTGCTTTATAAGCTTTGTTTCCTATATTCCTCATATTGACATCTGTAGAAGAATAATGATGTCTTATTGGTTTATTTACTTTGTAAGCTGTGGATACTACCTGTCTTAGTCTAATGGGGCTTCTATAACAAAATACCATAAACTAGATCACTTATAAACAACAGAAATTTATTTCTCACAGTTCTGGGGGCCAGGAAGTTCAAGATTATGGTGTCTATAGATTTGGTACCTGGTGAGGGCTCACTTTCACCTTCTGTGGTCTCACATAGTAAAAGGAGCAAAACAGCTCTGTGGGGCCTCTTTTACAAGGGCACTAATCCCATTCTTAAGGGCTCTGCCCTCATGACCTTGTTGCTTTCCACAGATCCCACCTCTTAATGCCATCACATTGGTGATTAGGTTTCAATATGTGAATTTTGGAAGGAAACAAACATTCAAACCATAGCACTACTTAAGGGGAGCATAACTAGGTCACAGCACCACTCTGAACCAAAGTTTCTTCATCTTAAAATGGAGGCAATAATAAATATCACCTTCTCACATAATTAATGAGGATTAAATGAGAATGCATGTGAAGTACCTGTCAACGTTTCAATCACAAAGTGCTCAACGAAAAGAGTGTTTTTCTTTAAACCTCTCTGGGTGACTTTTCTAGATAATGGAAACCCCTTAGAGCTATTTATGACAAACCCACAGCCAATGTAATACTGAATGGGCAAAAGCTGGAAGCATTCCCTTTGAAAACCAGCACAAGACAAGGATGCCCTCTCTCACCACTCCTGTTCAACCATAGTATTTAAAGTCCTTGCCAGGAAAATCAGGCAAGAGAAAGAAATAAAGGATATTCAAATTGGAAGAGAGGAAGTCAAATTGTTTTTGTTTGCAGACAACATGATCCTATATCTAAAAAACCCCATCATCACAGCCCAAAAGCTCTTTAAGCTGATAAACAACTTTAGCAAAGTCTCAGGATACAAAATCAATGTGTGAAAATCACAAGCATTCCTACACACCAACGACAGACAAGCAGAGAGCCAAATCATGAATGAACTTCCATTCACAATTGCAACAAAGAGAATAAAATACCTGGGAATACAGCTAACAAGGGAAGTGAAAAACCTCAAGCAGAGCTACAAACCACTGCTCAAGGAAATGAGACAGGACACAAACAAATGGAAAAATATTCCATCCTCGTGGGTAGGAAGAATCAATATCATCAAAATGGCCATATTGCCCAAAGGAATTTATAGATTAAATGCTAGTCCCATCAAACTACCATTGACATTCTTCACAGAATTAGAAAAAACTACTTTAAAATTCATATGGAAGAAAACAAGAGCCTGTACAGCCAAGACAATCCTAAGCAAAAAGAACAAAGCTGGAGGCATCAAGCTACCTGACTTCAAACTATACTACAAGGCTACAGTAAGCAAAACAGCATGCTGCTGGTACCAAAACAGACACATAGACCAATGGAACAGGATAGAGAGCTCAGAAATAAGACTGCACATCTACAACCATCTGATCTTTGATAAATCTCAGAAAAACAAGTAATGGGGAAAGGATTCCCTATTTAATAAATGGTGCTGGGAAAACTGGCTAGCCACATGCAGAAAACTGAAACTGGACCCCTTCCTTTCACCTTATACTAAAACTAACTCAAGATGGATTAAAGACTTAATGTAAAACCCCAAACCATAAAAACCCTAGAAGAAAATCTAGGCAATACCATTCAGGACATAGGCATGGGCAAAAAATTTTATGATGAAATCACCAAAAGTAATTGCAACAAAAGCTAAAATTGATCTAATTAAACTAATGAGCTTCTGTACAGCAAGAGAATCTATCATTGGAGTAAACAGATAACCTACAGAATGGGAGAAAAATTTTGCAATCTACCCATCTGACAAAGGTCTAATATCCAGAATCTAGGAGGAACTTAAACAAATTTACAAGAAACAAACAACTCCATTAAAAAGTGGGCAAAGAACATGAACAGACACTTCTCAAAATAAGACATTTATGTGGCCAAGAAACATATGAAAAAAAGCTCAACATCACTGATCATTAGAGAAATGCAAATCAAAACCGCAATGAATACCATCTCACGCCAGTCAGAATGCTGATTATTAAAAAGTCAAGAAACAACAGATGCTGGCAAGGCTGTGGAGAAATAAGAATGCTTTTACACTCTTGGTAGGAATGTAAATTAGTTTAACCAATGTGGAAGACAGTGTGGTGATTCCTCAAGCATCTAGAACCAGAAATGCCACTTGACCCAGCAATCCCATTACTGATATAATGGGATTCCCAGAGGAATATAAATCATTCTATTATAAAGGTACATGCACACATATGCTTATTGCAGCACTATTCACAATAGCAAAAATGTGGAACCAACCCAAATGCCCATCAATGATAGACTGGATAAAGAAAATGTGGTACAGGCCAGGCACGGTGGCTCACGCCTGTAATCCCAACACTTTGGGAGGCCGAGGCAGGTGGATCAAGAGGTCAGGGGTTCGAGACCATCCTGGCTAATACGGTGAAACCTTGTCTCTACTAAAAATACAAAATATCAGCTGGGCATGGTTGTGGGCACCTGTAGTCCCACCTACTTGGGAGGCTGAGGCAGGAGAATGGCGTGAACCTGGGAGGCAGAGCTTGCAGTGAGCTGAGATCACACCACTGCACTCCAGCCTGGGTGACAGAGGGAGACTCCATCTCAAAAAAAAAAAAAAAAAAGAAAAAAAAGAAAGAAAGAAAATGTGATACATATACACCATGGAATACTATGCAGCCATAAAAACAAATGAGACCATGTCCTTTGAGGGGACATGAATGAAGCTGGAAGCCATCATCCTCAGCAAACTAACATGGGAATAGAAAGCCAAACATTGTATGTTTTCACTCATAAGTGGAAGCTGAACAATGAGAACACGTGGACCCAGGGAGGGGAACAACACACGCCAGGGCCTATCGGGGGTGGTGGGAGGTAGAGCATCAAAATAAATAGCTAATGCATGTGGGGCTTAATACCTAGATAGGGGCTGATAGGTACAGTAAACCACCATGGCACACTTACCTATGTAGCAAACCTGCACGTTTTGCACATGTATCCCAGAACCTAAAATAAAAATAAAAATAAAAGCTCAAATCTCAGACGATTCTTTCTTAAGCTGATCTCCATACTATACCGAATGCCAAATGATCAGGGTTTAGTATGTATAGAGTCCTAATATCTACAAACACTAAAACACATTCAATATAGCTCATAATACAGTACTGCCACTGAGTACTTTTTCAGTTACTACCCGTTGATTAAAATTCTCATTTCCAAGTGGCTTATCAGAGACTAATTGGTAGAAAATAATTACTTTTTATGTTAACTGAAGTTAGTATGGTTCTTGTTTAATCTTGATCACACACCTAACACATTTGCATTCATTGAATCCTGGACTTTTCAGAATTAATCATGTGTTTGTTATTTGAATTTATTCAATGAGTGCAACACTAGGCATAGTACTATTTGCAGGGAATAAAATAATGAAACCAAACAGACTCCATAGAATTTACAGTCTAGTGAGAAAACAGGCATTATTGATATGTCATACAAAGGCATACTATATCGTCCCTGTGTTAAATGCTATGATAAAGAAGTATAGGGAATTATGGAAACCTTTGAATCAGTCAGAGATAGGAATGAAGGATGACTTGGAGTTGACTATGCTGCAGGAGATGAGATTTAGAGTAGAAATAGCATTATATACAAAGGCCCAGTGGTTTAAGGGAGGACAGAGAACATGAAAAGTGCCAGGCTGAAGGACAATTAAAAGGGAACAACCTAGCACTTTGTCAAGTCTTCTTTGGTCCAGTCCCTAGTTTCTTCTCCAGTCGCACCAAAGAACTTGACCAAGTGCTAGATTGTTCTCTTTTAATTATAAGAGTAATAGATATCAAGGCACTATCACCATTGCCCTGGGTGTCTCTGCTGCAAAGTAAAACAATTCATTTATTTAGTAAATATTTGTTAAGTACCTACTATGTGTCAAGCAGGCTCTAAGCACTGAGAGTACAGCAGTGAAAGAAAAAAAAAACAGGCCTAAATTCTTGTGCTTAAGGAACTTAAATTCTAGTGGATTCCTACACAAAACTTAGGAAAGGATTATATCACACCATGTTTGTCAACATATTTTTTTATTACTATCCCCTACCCCCAACACACATACGAGGAGCCCTTGAGACATTTTTTATCTGATTATTCCCTCCATGAAATTTTAATACCAGAGATATACTTTGTATGTGTTTAGGTATTATATGTGTTTCTGTGTTTATACGAAAAACAAGTAAGAGATTTGGCCCTCCAAGAATCAATTTTTACTCCCTTGAAGGCAATATCACTTGCATGAAGAAGGCATGATATACAAGTATGGGCTTATGATAAAAAAAGAAATTTCTATTTGGTAATAGCTGACCAGAGCTTATCTATGAGGCCACTTGACTAATATTAATTCTGTATATTTGTCACTGCCTTGATTAAAAATGATAAATTAGTAATGTTTGTATTAGCTCCCTGTTATTGCTCAGTTTGCTTTCCTGACCCATTTCCCTATTCTATGTATGTCTATTTGTCTCAGTATCTCAAAGCGTCCCATCATCCTTGCTTCCTTAGTCACAACCTTTTTACTCTTAGCACTATCTACCTGAAGACCTACTTTCAAATTATTCTTTATTAGGATAAGTTTATAAAGTTTAGTGATTCTATAAATAATTTTATGTCACCAGTCTAAATCTATGCCCTAACATCTTCATTTATTTTATTTAGTTTACATTATTATTAATGAAAATAACATGTAAACAACAAGACTGTGGGTGGTTTAGGTGACAAAGAAAAGTTCAGGACTATGGATAGTTCATTTGTATGCAAATATGTTAGTCACTGTGCATATTTCAGTGAAAAATTAGTAAATGACTTCATAAAATGCAAGATAATTGGGAAACACCAAAACGGGTGAATTCTAAGTTGTTTTGCAAACTTTATATAGATGTGTTGAGCAAATCATATTTTAGGCTGCCAGTTTTTAGTCCTGTAAAATGCATTAAAAAGTGCTGGCCATATATCTTGGATTTTGTTTTCTCTTTGTAGAATTTAATTCCAGATTTGCTTTGATCTCATTCTTGTATTTACATCTTGCTCCTTTGTTTAAACTGTCTTCTTTTATTTACAATATGCAGAGAGGGAAGCAGGTTTAAGTCCAATTACCATAATTTCTGCTTGACTTATGTGCACTTAAGCAGTTTAAATCTTGCTTTGGTGACAGGAGACTTTTCCTTCAGGATTCCACAATAAATCCTTCCAAACTGATGAATAATTGGATTCACAGTCAGTCCCTTCAGTGCACAAAATACTTAGGTTCCTGGGTCTCACTAAGTTTGAGGAGCAGGCCTTGCATCTGGAACACAAGTCAACAGTAGAAACATCCCTTGGCTGTGCCAAGTCCCTAACACATCAAACTGCTATGCACAATTCCCTTTCTCTCTGAAAATATCATGAATTCTCAACTGCTGAATCAAGTGCAAATTCCTTAGCTTGAAATTTCTTAAGGTTCTTCATGAAGTGGCTCCCCACTTTTACTGACTCCTGTTGTATTACCCTCAGATCAAATGTTTGGCTTCGGTGGGGTCTTTCTCTGTTCCATCTCCAAGCGCTTGCTTGTACTGTGCACCCTACTTGGTTTACTATTTTGCATCTCTCTACCCAAATCCTACTCATCATTCAAGGGCAAGCTCACATTTAAATCTCCCTTGGCCACTTCAGCTCCTGTCCATCTAACCCTTCTCTAACTCTTATGGAAGTTTATTGATATTCATTTATTTTCACCAAAATCCTCACACAATTTTGTTTTATTATTACTAGAATGTTCAATGTGAGTCTGTAAAGGTAAGCAGTGCCATTATGCAAACTTGAATCCAAAAAGTCACCTGTCATAGTTTTACCATGTATGCACAATTCTTTGGGGCTCTTGTCTTCAAAAGGTGAACATAATTCTCATCCCCTTGAGTATAGCTGAATTAATGACTCATTTCTCATGAGGAGGACATGGTAAAAGTCAGTGTATGTGACTTCTGAGGCTAGTTTATAAAAGGTTACTGCAAGATCTAACTTGCTCTGTCTCTTGGATCACTGATTCTGGAAAAAAACAGCTGCCATTTTATAAGGACACTCAAGCAGCCCTGTGGAGAGGCCCATGCATGGAGAAACAGGAGGCCTCAGCCAGCAGCCATATGAGTGCGCCATTTTGGAAACAGATCTTCCAGCCCTAGTCAAGCCTTCAGATGGCTGAAGCTTCAGCTGATGTCTTGATTGTAACCCAGCTGACTGCACCCAAAATTCTAACCCATAGAAATTGTGATACGATAAATGTTCGTTGTTTTAAACTGCTATGTTAGGGGGTAATTTGTTATGCAGTAATAGATAACAATACAGCATCCTTTACTCTTCCTCTCTTAACTTGCTACATACTTCCTACCCATCATTAAAGCCTGCCTAGTTTTTCTCCAATATATATCTATAAACTGTGAAATTTTCTTCACCTCCACTGCCAGCATCAGCTCTCACTATGGCATTATCTTTCCAACTGTTATTCCTGTTTCATTATTTATTTTCTCTCACCACATTTTACTCCCCAACCCCTAGTAAATCCTTCCTACTGCATTTAGAGAGATCTTTATGCAACCCAGTTGTATAAAGTAGCTGTATTTTGCAATGGCTGAAAAGCATACTGAAATACGTAGGATTCTAAGATGACCCCAAAGATACTTGTCCCCTGGTATATTGCCTTGTATGATCCTTGTGGTTTGAAGGTGGCTAGGACAGTGAATATGAATATGGCTGTCACTCTTGTGATTAAGTTATATTGTAGGAGAAAGGTAAAGGGATTTGCAAATGTCATTAAGGTCCCAAATTAGTTGAGTTTTCATTAATCAGAGGTAATTATCCTGGGTGGGGCTGCCTGAATCAGGTGAATCCTTAAAAGGTACTGAGTCCCTCCTAAAGGGAGACATTTGGAGCATTCTCCTGCCCAATTTGAAAAAGTAAGCTACCATATTGTAGAGCGAATCATGTGGCAGGAAACAGTGGGTGGCCTCGAGTTGCTGAGGGCCTCCATTCCTACAATTATAAGAAGCTAAAGGCTGGGTGCAGTGGCTCATGCCTGTAATCCCAGCACTTTGGGAGGCCAAGGTGAGCAGATCACCTGAGGTCAGGAGTTCAAGACCAGCCTTGCCAACATGGTGAAAGCCCGTGTCTACTAAAAATACAAAAATTAGCCTGGCATGATGGCGGGTGCCTGTAATCCCAGCTACTCGGGAGGCTGAAGCAGGAGAATCACTTGAACCTGGTAGGCGGAGGTTGCAGTGAGCCAAGATTGCACCACTCTACTCCAGCCTGGGTGACAGAGTGAGACTCCATATCAAAAAAAAAAAAAAAAAAAAAAAAAAAAAAAAAGCAGCTAAATTCTGCCAACCAGTGAACATGAGCATGACAAGGAACTTATGCTTAACGTAAGATCATAGCTCCAGGTGACCTCTCCATTTGAGCCTTCTGAGATCCAGGCAGAGAACCCAGCTGTGCTATACTTAGCCTGCTGACCCATGGAAAATGTGAGACAATAAATTTGTCTTGTTAAGCTGCCAAATTTGTTATGCACCAATAGAAAACTAATGGATGTATAGAACCCATCACCACCCAAAAATACACAAGTACATCAGTAATCCGTTGGCGTAATTCTTAATTCATATATTGGATCTAGCAATTTCTTATTCACATTGCTGCACTTACGTCTAACTTGAAAAGGTATTTATCTCTCAATTCTCACATTCTTCACAATAGACTGTATATTTATTTAAGAAGCCATTTTATAGATCTTACTATGTTCTAGGCACTAAGGGCTTTAGAACTACTACCCCTTTTAGGAGAACTAAACTGCTGAATCAAGTGCAAAGGGTTACTATTATTATCCCCATGTCAAAGATGAGGATGCTGCCATACAGCTGTGATCTCAGTTACAAAGCTCTGGGGCTGACAAGAGGCTCTTGTTTATTAAGAGCCACTATTTATTTAGGGAATGAGGGTGTCACTCCTTTCTGGTACTAAGGATGTGGTCGAAACAGTGAAATAAAGAAAATTGAGAAACCTGGAAGATGTGAATCTAATAAAGTTGGCACTTGAAATCTGTAAGATTTTTTTCTCAATACATTAAAGATAAAATCTGAAATCCTTATTTTGCCTCCATGCCAATGCATAACTTGTCTTTTCCTCTTCATTACACACAATATAATTAGCAAATTTCCATGCCTTAGTTATATTGACAGATCTCTGTATACAGAGCAGGTGTATATGAAAAATTTACTATGTGCTAAATCAAAGGAATTCAAGAATTATGACATGGCCCCTACTCTCAAGCCGTCAGGTAGAGTGGATAAGCACATAAATGCTTATGGTATCGATTGATAAGCACATGCTGGAGAAATGAGAATCTCTGCAGAATCAACTTTGGCACGTTATATTCTTATTGGTCCTAATACAAAAACAGAAAGATTGTGATAACTTTTCAATCAGTGTTTTTTACACTCTAAAAAAAACCCATAATTCTCAGTAAAAAAAAAAAAAAAAAAAAATAGAGCAGCTATCCTGGTTTCACTGAGAATTAGAGGTTACCCAGGAAGTGGGACTTTCAGGGCTAAAATCAGGATAGTCCTAGGCAAACTGAGATGTTTGGTCATTCTGCATTTATACCACACCGAGTCCATACACATACATTCAAACATATTCCATATGTTTCCACTTACACGGATATAATTGGAATACGTTTTATCAAACTAATTATTCTTATGGCATGTATTAAATTCCAACATTTTCCTTTCCAAAATTTTCTTTTTTTAAATGATCTTCATGGCTTACTAAATTAATTTTTATAATATCTTCCTTGATTTTGATTTGAAATTTGAATAAAAGAGTTCTCAAAGTTTTGAATTTGTTATTTTTGTCCCCTAATTTGTAAGTTACTTGTAAGTACAGACTGAGCATTTCTATTTTATTTTTTTTCTTGGGACTTGACAGTGCAGGGTTAGATTTATTGAGGTATAGTTCACATAGAGTAAAATTCACACTTTTTAGTTAAACTATGAGTTTTAGCAAATACATACAGTTATGTAACCACCACCTAATCAAGATACAGAGCAGTTCCACCATACCCCCACCTCCATAAATCCTCTGTTTATTTTTTATCTTTCAAATGTATCGCATTATTTTTCTTTATTGCACTATTCTTAATATATATTATGTACTCTGTTAACTGTTGTCTTTGTCTTTGTTAATTAGCCTTTGTTGTTAATTTTATTGCAAATTAATCTCTGTTGTTAATCTTGCAAAAACAAGGGAATGAATTGTTGGTTGAGCCAGTAGCAGCAATCAGGCATGTATCACTAACTGTTATGGTCTTTTGTAAAAATTAGGCTTGGTTTTTAGCAGCAAGGAGGCTAGAATTTTGAAACTGCCACCAGAGATTTATTGCCGTGGCACTGCAGGGCATTAGTCCTTCTCCATGTGTTGTTGGTGAATGTCACATTCAGAGAACAGGATCTTCACTGAGAAAATACCAGATTTGTACTTACAGTAGAATCAATCCCAAGTATTTCCTGTGGGGTACTATGGCCCAGCACCTCACCTAGGTGCTCCAGAGCCGCAACAAAATAGCATTACCAGTGATATTTTGTCCTCAGTTTACAGACACACCAAGAATACAAGGGTAACATACAAAAGAGCAAATAATATATGGCCCTTAGTTCAAGATGTTCTGAGGAGAAGGAACCATTGAGTATGAGCTGGAAGAATCAGAACAAGCTTCCTTGGAGTGAGGGTGAAACTGACTGCACCAGGCATGGAACCCTTGCCCTCTGCTTGACAACATCCCATTTAATCTTGGTATCAGTAAGAATTCTCTTTAGCAGCATACAGCAGCAGACTTTTTAGAAGCCTTTTAGATAAGAAAGGGGCTTATTTTTTTCCTCACATAATAAGAAATCCCTAGGTAGAAAGTCTAGGCAAGTTGTAGTACCTCTAAGATATCATGAGGACCCCATCTCCTGTGTTTCTTGCTCTGCTATAATTTACATGAGGCCTTCATCCTCATGTTCTCAAGTTATTTGCTGCTTCCACTCCTAGGTATTTACCTAAGAGAAAGAAAATATATGTCCATGCAAAAACTTGTATATAAATGTTTATAGCAACTTCATTTATAATAGCCAAAAAGTGAAAATAAATCAAATGTCCACTAACTGATGAGTGAATAAATAAAATATAAACTATCCACAAAATGGAATATTATTCAGTCATCAAAGAAAATGATGCGTTGATGCATGCTACAACATAGATAAATCTTAAAAATGTGCTTAGGAGGCCAACCATGTGGGCTCATGCCTGTAATCCCAGCACTTTGGGAGGCTGAGGCAGGAGGATTGCTTGAGGCCAGCAGTTACAGACTTAGCACTGGCAATATAGTGAGACCTCACCTCTACTAAAAACGTTTTAAAAATTAACTGCATGTATGGTGGTGTACACCTGTAGTCCTGGCTACTCAGGAGGCTGAGGCTGAAGGATCACTTAAGCCTAGGAGCTCAAGGCTACAGTGAGCCATAATAGTGTCACTGCACTCCAGACTGGGTGACAGAGCAAGACCCTACCCTTAAAGAATTAGATCTTTCTTTTTTTTTAAATTTTACTTTAAGTTCCAGGGTGCACGTGCAGGTTTGTTACATAGGTAAACATGTGCCATGGTGGTTTGCTGCACCTATCAATCCATCACCTGAGAATTAAGCCCAGCATGCATTCGATATTTTACCTGATTCTCTCCCTCCCTTCATGTGTGTTGTTCCCCTCTCTGTGTGTTCTCACTGTTCAGCTCCCACTTATAAGTGAATACATGTGGTGTTTGGTTTTCTGTTCCTGTGCTAGTTTGCTGAGGATAATGGCTTCCAGCTTCACCTGTGTCCCTGCAAAGGACATGACTCATTCCTTTTTATTGCTGCATGGTGTTCCACGGTATATATGTACAACATTTTCTTTATCCAGTCTATTACTGATGGCAATTTGTGTTGATTCCACTCTTTACTATTGTGAGTAGTGCTGCAATGAACATGTACATGCATGTATCTTTATAGAATGATTTATTATTCTACTATATTATAAATATAATATATTCCTTTGGGTATGTACCCAGTAATGGGATTGCTGGGTCAAATAGTATTTCTGGGTCTAGGTCTTTGAGGAATTGCCACACTGTCTTCCACAATGGTTGAACTAATTTACATTCCCACCAATAGTGTAAAAGTGTTCCTATTTCTCCACAGACTCGCCAGCATCTGTTGTTTCTTGACTTGTTAATAATTGCCATTCTGACTGGTGTGAGATGGTATCTCATTGTGGTTTTGATTTGCATTTCTCTAGTGATCAGTGATGTTGAGGTTTTTTTATATGTTTGTTAGCTGCATAAATGTCTTCTTTTGAGAAGTGTCTGTTCATGTCCTTTGCCTACTTTTTAATGGGGTTGTTTGTTTTTTCTTGTAAATTTGTTTAAGTTCTTTGTAGATAAACTTATCCACTGTTGCAAAAATTTTCTCCTCTTCTGTAGGTTGTCTGTTCACTCTGCAGAAGCTCTTTAGTGTGATTAGATCTCATTTGTCAATTTTTGGTTTTGTTATAATTGCTTTTGACATTTTCATCATGAAATCTTTGCCAGTGCCTACGTGCTGAATGGTATTGCCTAGGTTTTCTTCTAGGGTTTTGATGGTTTTGGGTTTTACATTTAAGTCTTTAATCCATCTTGAGTTAGTTTTTGTATTAGGTATAAGGAAGGGGTCCAGTTTCAGTTTTCTGCATATGGCTAGCCAGTTTTCCCAGCACCATTTATTAAATAGGGAATCCTTTCCCCATTGCTTGTTTCTGTGAGGTTCGTCAAAGATCAGGTGGTTGTAGATGTGTAGTCTTATTTCTGAGTTCTCTATTTTGTTCTTAAAAAACACCCAAAAATATGTAAGGGAAAGAAGGTAGACACAAAGGTCATATACTGTATAATTCCATTTATAGGAAATGTCCAGAATAGGCAAAGCTATAGAGACAGAAAATACATTAGTCATTGCCCAGAGTTGAGGTCAGAAGTTGGGGAAATGAAGAGTCACTGCAAATGAGTTCAGGGTTCATTTGGGGGTGATGAAAATGTTCCCAAATTGATTATGGTGATGGTTTCACAACTTGTGAATGCACTAAAAACCACCGAATTGTATACTTTAAAGGACAGTTGTATGGTATGTGAATCACAGCTTAATAAAGCTATTACAAATATGTGGTAATATGAATAAATATGTACATATATATTAATTGCAAAATTCATTTTCATAATTGAAATAAACAGAATATACAATAGTTATTTTAAAAAGATATTTGCTGTATCTCTTATCATTATTTTCACCCTCTGGACAAGTTTAGTGGAGTAAGGGAAAAAGGCACATCCAGCCAAGTCTGACTCTTTAAGAAGCTTTCTGAGAAACCTCATCCAGAATCTTTGACTTCTGTTTCCTTGCCCAGAAGGAGGTCATATGGACACTCCTAGCTGCAAGGGAGTCTGGAGAATGAGAGTTTTAGTTGAGCATACTGTCATTACTTTTCTTTTAAAAGGAAGGAGAGGCCAGGTGTGGTGACTCATGCTTATAATCCCAGCATTTTGGGAGGCTGAGGCAGGAGGATTGCTTGAACCCAGGAATTCTAGACCAGCCTGGACAAGATGATGAAATCCTGCCTCTATTTAAAAAATAATAAATAAATAAATAAATAAATAAAAGAAAGGAGAGAAGAGACATTGAGAAGACAACTAACAGTGTATGCCACAATCCTCTAAACAGACAAAAATCTTGAAAAGTGTCACAGCTAGGAAGAGCTAAGGAGACATATGATAATTGAATGTAATGTTGTACCTAGATGAAATCCTGGAACCAAAAAAAAGGCTCTTAGGTAAAAACTAAGAAATTCTGAATAAAATATGGATTTTAGTTAATAATATGTGTGTATGTATATGTATATGGAATAATATATAATATCATATAACATATTGGTTCATTAATTATAAATATGCACTATAGATGTTAATAATCAGGGTACCCTCTGTGGGTATATATGGGAACTCTACTATTTTTGCAACCTTTCTGCAAATCCAAAGCTATTCTAAAATAAAAACTTATTTTTAAAAGCAGTCAGAAACACACTCTGATGTCACTTTTATTGCCTCCATTTTACTGTTGCAAAAACAGACTCCAAACATTGAAGAGGTTTATCAAGGTCAAACAGCAATTAAAGCCCAGCATAGTGGCTCATGCCTGTAGTCCCAGCTACTCAAGAAGCTGAGGCAGGATGATCGCTTGATCCCAGGAGTTTGAGGCTGCAGTGAGCTATGATCGTACCACTGCACTCCAGCCTGAGCAACAGAGATCCTGACTCCAAAAAGTAAAATAATAATAATAACAGTTTTAAAAACAGCAATTAAGAGCAGGATCTAAGCACAGTCTCAGTGTATTATATTGCATTATTTTCTTAAGAAGAATCCCTCTTGAGAATCAGGGCAAGTGCTCATCAAATTGCTAGAGTCCTCAGTGGATAAGCTGATTTCTCTTGTGACTGCCCCAAGTGTTTTAGATGGCAAAAGGCCTGTACCAAACTTGCCTTAGAAACAGGTTCTAAGAAAACCTAGGAAATCCAAGCCAGAGTAATTTATAAGAGAAATCAACATTTACAACAACAAAGTTCAGAGCATTTAAGGCATACTGCCTGCTATTAGACGTTTGCTAACACTGTGAACTCCAGGAGGACTCGGAAATTTGGACTGTGACTTATGCCCTTGATACTACCCACAGCATTTATTACAGATTAGACACACTTAAATGTGCTCATTGATTGAATACATCCATCCTAAACACCATATCGGTAAATCAAATACTGAAATGTACAGTGAGAGAAAACTCAGACTGAAGTCCAAAGATTTCATTTTCTATCTGAGATACTGAGTGCTTAAACTTCTTTGGCTGCCTTCTTCCTTCATCATATATTTAGGCTGTTTGCTGTCACATTACAAATAAAATCTAATTATAATTTTGTCATAAAATAGTGCCTTTCGATTCTTTTGTATAAAAAAGCCAGGATATCAATTTTATTATCTGCTGCAGAGCACCAACTTTTCCTTATGGGGCAATGCCTGTCTGAAGTGGCTGCTCTCTTGAGGTCTCCCTGGCCTTTCCTGTAAAAAGAAGCAAATTATTCCATGTATTCTAGCAATGATCATGTTATTAAAAAATAATTAATTAATTTAGAGACAGGGTCTTGCTCTATTGCCCAGGCTGGAGTGCAGTGGCATGACCACAGCTAACCACAGCCTTGACTCACTGGGCTCCAGTGATCCTCCCACCTCAGCCTCTCCAGTAGCTGGGACTACAGGTATGCACCACCATGCCTGGCTAAATTTTTAATTTTTTGTAGAGACGGGGGTCTTGCTATGTTGCCCAAGCTGATCTCGAACTCCTGGCCTTAAGCAGTCCTCCCACCCCAGCCACCTAAACCACTAGGATTACAGGTGTGAGCCGCTACACCCAACCTTGACAATCATTTTCTGACTGCTCATTCTGTGCCAGGCTCCATGCTAGGCAGTAGAGATAGAATGGCGAAAAAGATGAAGCGTCTCCTTCACAGACTGCAGCTTTTTGCAGGGCAAAGAGACAATTCACATATGTTAGACAAATAATGATATCATTGTCACTGTGACAAATGCCATGGTGGAGAGGGTACTATGGAAGGCTTTGAGAGCTTGTAGTAGGTGGTATAATAGGCTGGCATGTTGTACATTTAGGGAGCACACAGAATGAAACCCTCTCTCTTCTGTGCTTGTGATTAATTGCAACTGAGAGGTAGAAGAGTCATAAAGATGAAGAATTTTTTTAAAATTACATTTAGTAACAAAAGTATCAGAGCTGATATGTGGCTTCTGCAGAAAGGTAAGTCCCAAGCAGTCAGAGGGAAAAGAACGGTTGAGCCACACGTGTCCAGTTTCTTCTCCCAACTTTCCCAATCAGATAAGTGCATCCTCCTCTCTTAGGACAGGATGAGTGAGGCCATAGAGAAGTGAAGAACAGAATTCCAGGGAATGAAAGCTGAGGAGAGGGCAGGAGAGAAAAGGCCCACGGGAAACTCAGTTACGTTGTGCATGGGAGCTTGAAAGGCATATGGGCAGCAAGACCTGATCAAACAAGGTTTTAGGTCCTATTAAGAACTGGTTCCCCTTACATTCTATATGTACATATAATTTTTGACTGGGGAACAGAGTGCACATCTTCAGATTTCCTTTTAAGATGTAGTTCTTTGGTAAAAGAATAGAAAATTTTGACTTTTTTCATGGTACAGTGAGAAATGATGGTGGTTTGAACCAGATGATGACTGTGAAGACCAAGAAAATTTGTCAGCTTTGGAAATTATTTACAAGGAAAATATAAAGAGTAGTTTATTGGATGTCAGTAGACTGGTGAGGACAAGAAATGTACTAAGCATGGCATCTGGGACTTTAAGCAACAAAGGGAAAGGTGTTTCCATTTATTAAGGTGGGGGCCACTGGATGAAGTCTGGGTATAAAGATGTGAGCTTTGATTTCGACTGTTTAGCTTTAAGTGCCTTATGCTATCCAAGGAAGATGGAAGGTAGGCAGTGGGTTATGCCTATCAGGATTTCGGAAGACCCATTGCTGCTTCTTGCTATTGTGAATTTCTGGGTTGCCTTGCTATCCTCTATTTATATGCTTTGTGCTTTAAGCACTTGTGTAACAAAATCAATGTGTGAATTTTTTTTTGTCCAAAGCATTTACTGTGGTTTCTGTTTTAATGTTTGGACCCTGGATGAGGTTCAGGTTTGAACACAGAGCTGTCTCCATAAAAAGCACTAGGTGTAGTGGAGAAAGCCAGAAGACACTGAGAAAGTCTAAAAGAAGAGCGAACACTTTTAAGTGTTTGTTTTCATGGACGCTAAGAGAAAGTACTATTTCAATAAGGGAATAGGTGAATGTATTAAAAACGCCGATGTAAAATGAAAATGTCCTGAGTTTGGTAAGGTGGGTGTCATTGGTGATTTTAGCTGTGACAGATTTGGTATGATGGTGAATGCAGAAGCCAGATTTAGAATGGAAAGAAGGCCATGGGAAAGGAAGTACAGGATGTGTATATTCAACTATTTTGAGTAATTCTGCTATAACAGGAGAGCGAGAGAGAGAGAGATTGAGATTGCAGGAGAAATAATGGAGGGAGAGAGAGAGAGGAAGAGAAGCAACGTATAGGGTCTGGGAAGGTTTCTTTTGGTTATATTTGTGTTTGGGTTATTTCATTTAGTTTGGTTTGTTGGTTTGATTGTTGATTAATTTTCAGTTTTCTGCTGTTACTAATTACCACAAATTCAAACCAACAAATTACCACAAGCTCAATAAACACAAATTATTATGTTACAGTTGTGTAGGTCAGACAACTAATGTGGGTCTCACCAGGCAGAAATCAAGATATCTTTAGGGCTGCATTTCTTCCTGTAGGCTCTGGGTAGGATGCTTTCTTCCTTGCCAGCTACTTAAGGCCACCCACGTTCCTTCGCTCATCGCTCCCTTCCTCCATCTTTGAAGCCAACAAACTCACGTTGAGTCCTTCTCACAGTGCGTCACCCTGACCTCCTATGCTGCCTTTCTTGTCCACTTTGTAAAGAACTTTTATGGCTACATTTGGTCCACCTGGATAATCTAGGATAGTCTTCCTATTTCTGGGTGAGCTGATTAGCTAGCAACTTAAATTCTACCCACAACCTCAATTCCCCATTGCTGTGTAACTTAATCTATTCACCATTTCCAAAAATTAGGAGCTAGCTATTTGGCAGATGGGGGGAGGAGAATTATTCTGCCCACCACAACAATTT
Organism: Homo sapiens; assembly: GCF_000001405.40. NCBI lineage: Eukaryota > Metazoa > Chordata > Mammalia > Primates > Hominidae > Homo > Homo sapiens. The sequence continues at coordinate 105,617,036 of NC_000010.11, read as the reverse complement.
TTATATGCTGGATATAAAAATAAAAATCTCATCTGATCATTTTTTTTTTCATGAACAATGAAGCCAAGCCATTGACTGAAGGAGAAAGGTGGAGGGAGGACTCAGATGTCTGTGGGGTGTAGAGAAAATATGAAGTCATCATTTAGGAGAAGCTTAAGAGACAGACGGAGAACAAGCTACAAAACACAGAAGTATGCTAAGGGTCAAATAGCCGATTCCAACTAAACCTCAAAACTAGAAAAATAATTTTATAAATTCCTTTTTTATGTTCAATATTTACTTTTGATATGGACCAACCTAAGTTATATACAAAGTGCATCTTAATTTTGTGAAATGCTACTAAAATGTAGAAGAAAGAACATTAGAATAAAATGAACATCAGAAAAAAATAAAAATGAATTATTAGGTAGAAAATGAATATTTCCAGATATACTAGATAGTTACCTTTCTAGAAAAAGGGGATGAATAAATAGTCCATTGGCATTACAAAGACATATATGATGCCACATAATTATAAAAATTGAAATTAAAAAAAACCCACAAATGTATGCAGGAGGGAAAGGGTGAAACATGAAAAGATTTGAACTTTATTTTTTAATGTTTGCCCTGCCTGAGCAAGTTATGATCCAGAAATCTGATTATCCTCAAATACTATAAAAATGCTTTCTTTGGGAGTCCAAGGAAAGGTGCCAGGATATGCTCCACCAGGATCTCTCCTTATGTGCTCTCTCTAGCATTCTCCTTCTCCTTTTATTGAATTCTCTTATAAGCTTCACTCTCAGTGGTGACTATGGCCCATTCAGCTACGCTCACTTGAAAGGAATGGCTGACCTTCTTGATCACTGAAATGAGCATTGCCTAAAAACCTTAATCTGTAGACAGGCTTGGCCTCAAATCCTCATAAATAGCGGTAAGAAACATCAGCTGCATGCCACTGAATCTTTCATCCAAGAGAGAATAAATTGTTTTAATACCAGGAATGCAGAAAAAGAGAAAGAAAAAAAGCAGGTATTTGAACAGAAGGCCGACAAAAGTTCCTTTGATGCAGTTCCTGCTGACACCCTGGGCAAGATGTTCATTGTGTAAGATAGATCACAAAATGCATTAAGAGATATTATGTCATACACTCCAATTAGCATCACCAGTATCCTTTTGCTGGCTCACTGTCCATAAAAATTAATTTTATTGCTTCCAGAACTTTGAACAAACTCATATAATCCTTCAAGCAGATGAATGAGGCATTAAAAACCACAATTACATTACTTCAAAGCCATAATTAAAAAGTTTGGTCCTCGTTCCAGGCCTACCATTGATTTCTAAGAGAAACATACTTCAGATCTGATGTAAGCCTTAATAAATTATCAGCTTTGAGCAAAATAAGTTTAGCTTCCCATAAAGAATAAAACAGGGTTTTATTGTGGGAAAAGGGGAAGACTAAATGATTGTAAATTTGTATTGCATTTTTATAACCACTTGGGTTTGAAGTCAAATATAATTTGACATTTTATTGATATTTCCAGTGTTTAAAACTGACAAGAAGTACATTAAATTTTACCATGTAAATCTGATATGACAATAAAAATCCTTTTGCACTTCTCATTGGAATTGTTGCAGTAAAGTGAAATAAGAAGTGCCATCAAAAAATAATTTTTTTAAAGAAGGTCTGAGCTGTCAGGAGTTCAGGTGTCCATTTCTTTGGTAGGAATAGACTTTTCCTCCAAAGGCATGACACTTCAAACACTTATAAGTAGGCCCCACGATTCGCCTTACACCTAGCTCATCCCTCAGTGGCTCTATTCTATTGTTCTTCTGATAATAACAGTAAAAATTGTAACAATCTGTATTAGTTTCCTAGGGGTGCTGTAATGAAGTGCCACAAACTGGGCAGCTTAAAACAACAGAGTTTTTTTTAGTAATTTCAACTTTTATTTTGGATTCGGGGGGGTACATGTGCAGGTTTGTTACATGGGTATATTGTGTGAATGCCAAAGTTTGGGGTAAGGATTCTGTCACCCAGGTTGTCAGCATTGTACCCAATGGGTAGTTTTTCAACCCAAATCCACCTTCCTCCCTCCCCACTCTAGTAATCCCCAGTATTCCCCAGTATGTATTGTTCATATATATATACACATATATATATTTTTTTTTCCTGAGACAGAGTCTCACTCTGCCGCTAAGGCTGAAGTGAAGTGGCACAATCTCAGCTCAGTGCAAACTCCACCTCCCTGGTTCAAGCAATTCTCACGCCTCAACCTCCCAGTAGCTGGAATTACAGGCGCACGCCACCATGCTTGGCTAATTTTTGTATTTTTAGTAGAGACAGGGTTTTGCCATGTTGGCCAGGCTGGTCTGAAACTCCTGACCTCAAGTGATCCACCCCTGTCAGCCTCCTAAAGTGCTAGGATTACAAATGTGAGCCACCATGCCTAGCCTATTGTTCCCATCTTTATATTTGTGTGTACTCAATGTTTAGTTCATACTTACACGTGAGAACATGCTGTATTTGTTTTTCTGAACAACAGAAATGTATTGTCTTACACTTCTGGAGGCTAGAAGTCCATAATCAAAGTGTCGGCATGGCCACGCTCTCCCTGTCAGAAATAGAACCCTTTCTTGACTCTTCCTAGCTTCTGGTGCTTTGCTGGCAACCTTCAACATTTCTTGGCTCACAGCTGCGTAACTCCAATCTTTGCCTTTGTTGTCACATGATATTCCCCCTGTATGTCTCTGTCTTCACATTGGTGACCTCTTATGTGGATAACAGTCACCTAAGATTAGAAGCCACCTTATTCCAATATGACTTCATCTCGAGGTAACCAATCACAATCTGCAAAGACCCTATTTCCAAATAAGGCCACATTCTGAGGTACCAGGGCTTAGTTTCTCAATATATCTTTTTTGGGGGAAAGTGTACAATTCAACTGTACCACAACCTTTATTGAAAATCAACAATGCAAAGAGATCAACTTCCATTGCAGCACACAGATATGGTCCTCAGAGAGGTCTCTGCACTAAGCATGTGTTGCTGTCAAGCTGTTTTTAAAAAGTTATACTTAGTAAAACCAGAAGCTGAGGTTTCTCTTGCCTGGTGTTCACAGCCTGTCACATAGCCACCCATCTGAAGCCACACCAAAAACATTTGACATTGATGAAATTAAACATGAAGTAGGAATGTAATGCAATATACTCGGCAGCAGTCTCAACCAGAATTGGCCAGGACATATGATCTAGCAGGGTTGAGCGGGATCAAAAATTAAGCTTATTCCTGAACATAAAGGTAATATTTCCCTCTTTCCAAGACTAACAACAAAAAAATCCTCAATCTATGATTAAGGTTGCCAGATAATATACAGGACATCGGGTTATATTTGAATTTCAGATAAACATCAAGTAATAGGATTATTTTGTTATCTTTTTTGTGACAGGGTATCTTTCTGTCACCGAGGCTGCAATCCTCCAAACTCAGCCTCCTGAGTAGCTGGACTACAGGCACGTACCACTATGACCCATTTTTGTCGTTGTTGTTTTTGTTAGAGACAGGGCCTCACTACATTGCCCAGTTTGGTCTCAAACTCTTGGCCTCAAGCCATCCTCTCACCTCAGTCTTCCAAAGTGTTGGTATTACAGGAATGAGCCACCATGGCCAGCCCAAATAATAGGTTTTCAGCATATCCGAAGCAATATTTTTTTATATAAAATTAAAACTTAAATGGTATTTTTTTTTGATCTGGCAACCATATCTATGATGCAATGACTGCCTACTAAGTGTTTTTTTTTTAGTTTTTTCCTGGTGTGTATGTAGAGTATGGTGGTGGGTGAGAGGGAGCACATAAAGGAATAAGCATCTGCAAGGTTCACTCATGTTTTGCAATGTTTCACTTCAAAGGTCACACATTTACCAAGGTTGAGGATAGAAATATAAATGTGCATGTGTGAGTGTGTGTGTGTATGCATTCACATACATGTTACGCACTGAATTGCATCCCCCCCCAAATTCATATGTTGAAATCCTGACCCCCAATGTGACTATATTTGGAGATAGGGCATTTAAAGATGTAATTAGGTTAAATTAGGTCATATGAGCAAAGCCCTAATCCAACAGGACCGGTGTCCATATAAAAAGAGAAAGAATCACCAGAGAGCTTTCGTTCTCTCTGTGGCACAGGGAAAAGGACAGGACTCAGCAAAAAGAAGCTGTCTGCCAGCTCAACCTCACCAACCCCTAACCACCTTGATCTTGGACTTCCATCCTCCAGAACTCTGAGAAAATAAATTTCTTTTTTGAGCCACCAAGCCTGTCTGTGGTATTTTTGTTAAGGCAGCCTGAGCAGACTAATACATTAGTGGTAGCCATCAGAAAGACATTATTTCTGGAAAATTTTAGAACATTCAGAACTAAATACACTGCTTTAAGTTGAAAAAGTACTTATTGATAATCAATGACATCGGTTTCTGATGTTAACTTGAAATTATTTATTAACTATATGGATAGTTCTTACCTTTTTGTAAGCTGAAAACTTACCTTTTGGGATGGATTAGAATACATATATTTTTGCACTTCCTTATACAATTTTAATATCATTATTTTGTCTCCTTACATGAATTTTGTGTTTATTTCACATATGAGATTCATAAAAAGATATATTCAGTAGAATGCACACTGGATTAACGAAGAATTTATTTGTATGTTTAACTGTAAAGATTAGGTATAAAGATTTGGTTTAGTAGCTTTACAGTGGTGGCAATAAGGACCTACTTTTCTTCTGCTAGGTTTTCTCTGGTCATTTTTAAATGACTCTCAACCATTTTTAAGTATAGCCTTCTTCTTCTACAACCCAAGAGAAAGATCAGATGGTTTCAGAAACTCTCCAAAGAGCGAGGAAATTTCCTTCCCCTGAAGATGTCAACAAACTTCATTCAAATCTTAATAGCCTATCTTTGTATATATCTTCTTACTTGAATCAATAACTATGGCTAAGGGATTGGACTATCTGATTAGCTTAAACTTGAGCTGACTGTCTTGACCTATATCCCTAGGTACAGAAAAACACCAGCTTTGTACAAATGCAAGAGCTATACAAGTAAACTATATGTCCTGGATATTCTCAGCCTTCCCGAGGAGACATATTACATTGTTTTTATTTACCAATATTTTATTGTGAAAATTCTCAAACATAAAGAAAATTCGAAAGAGTTGTATAATGAACACCCATATACCTACTATATAGATTCTGCAATTGATGTTTTGTTATATTTGTTTTATTACATATCTAGCCATTGCTTGGGATTTTGATGATCAAATAAAAGTATTGGTGCTTACAAAATCCAACATATTTCTAAAGCCAATTACATTTATATGAGCTCATGTTTGTTCTCAAACTCCTTTCACAAGATAAGTGAAAGTTAATCATCAAGCTGCACATTTTGCATTCAAAGCTATCTAAACATGTTACAGCTTCCAATTTCTCAAGGTTCTGCTTCAACATTTGATCACTTTTACTGATTCTAATGGGTTTCAAATATTTGCTCATTCAAAGCTCAATTCAATTTTCACCTCCCCCCATAGAGTTCCCAGCCTTAGGCTAATCTGTCAGCCTGAGTGTAATTGTACATTTTGTTATGATAACACTTATCATGTTATAATTATTTGTTTATGAGCCTGTGTCCTTGACTAGAGTACTTTTATTATCTAGCTCTGCCTTTGTGATTCCTGTCACATAGTGGGTTGTCTGTAAAGGTTTGTAGAATTAAAGTCAACAGATATATGTTAGATATGGGATTCTTCAACATTTGAAACTAACAAGAAGGAAAGCTTCATACTTAATTACTTTTAAAAATCCCCATTAGATGCTTCACAAATCAAAATCAGTTTGGCAGTATGTCAACTTGTTATAAATATCACTCTTCCTAAAATCATGTAAGAAAAAATTACCCTAGGTATTGTACTTTTTTAAAGCCACAAATGGCATAGAGAATAAGATTAATCAACATGGAAAAGTGGTGGGTCCAAGAAATAAAGTGCTGGAGTTCAAGTACAGGCTGTGCTCCTTTTTAGCTGTAAGACCTTGAGCAAATTACTGAAACTTTTGCTGCTCAGTTTCCTCCTCTGTAATATGAAGATAACAGTACCTACTGCACAGGGTTGTTAGGAGCGTTAAGTTAATTCAGGAGAAATTTACAGTGCCTGACACACAGTAAGTGTCCAGTAGACATTGGGTTTTAAAAGAAAAGGTATGGTAGACAATATCGACTGTTTAAACAACATCCAAACCTCCCCAATCCCATTTCTCTCTTCTAACAAAATCCACATTTATTCAGGTGGCAGAGAGCCCTTGAACTCAGGATGGCTGGACTCCTCTCAGAGTATAAACCATGATGCTTCAATCCAGCCTTGCCACCCTCCTAACAGTTGGCTGTGATTTAAGTAGGAGTGGCCAACAGCTAAGTGGGAGGATCTGAGTGTGGCATCAAGGAAAGGTTATTCTTAGTTATTAAAATGGATAGATATGACTGTCTTGGGCCTCTCCCTTTTTCCCTTTCTCCTTGCTGCCTACATTGCCAAGGGAAGCGACTATGTGGTCACCATGAGGAAGCAAGAAGGAGGAAAAATGTCAGCATTCCAAGAAAGGTGGAGAAGACAAATGGAAAGAGTCTAAGTCCTCAACAACATCGCTGAGCCAGTGCAGCAACACTAGATCACCTACCTGCTAGACTTCTTGTTACATGGAAAACAATACCTGCATTTTGTAATCATTGTAGTGGAGTTTTCTAATACTCCTAGTTAATACAGCCTGACTGGTACAATGCTATACAGCCCAGTTTGGTGCTGTGGGACTTTCTGGGTAGTCTATGTATCTTTACATGATAATAACATTCTCAATGATAAGAGATTTTTCAAAAGCTAGACTAGTAGGCTGGGTGCGCTGGCTCACACCTGTAATCCCAGCACTTTGGGAGGCCGAGGCAGGTGGATCACCTGAGGTCAGAAGTTCAAGACAAGCCTGACCAAAATGCAGAAACCCCGTCTCTACAAAAAAAATACAAAATTATCCAGGCGTGGTGGTGCATGCCTATAATAGGAGGCTGAGGCAGGAGAATCTCTTGAACCCGGGAGGCAGAGGTTGCAGTGAGCTGAGATCATGCCATTGCACTCCAGCCTGGGCAACAAGAGCGAAACTCCATCTGAAAAAAAAAAAAAAAAAACTAGACTGGTAAATACCATGTTTTAAATGCTTTATTTTGATTTTGTTAGAGGTTCATTGGTCATTAAGAGTTCAGTCCCTGCATGATCCCTTAATTTCCCCTCTGCTACAGATAAAAGTTATACCATCAGTCTTGGAAGTCTCTTGTTTTCTCAGCTTGGCCTTTAATTACAATGAACTAGAGAGGAGGATAAAATAAGTGACTTGGAACAGATTCCCTACCCTCGACTGAAAAGATAAATCAAACAAATAGCCTCCTGTTTGAATGCATAAATAGTTTGAAGTACCCAGGAAGACATTTCTAAAGTGACATAATCAAAAACTTAGGAAATTGGCATTTATGTCAGCCAATGACAAAACCATAAAACAAATGTGAGAATATTCAACTTTGGAATTTGTTGAATATTCAACAAATATTTACTAGGTGTGTATTACATGCAAGGCACTGTGAGCAAAACAAACCTCATCTTTGTGCTCACTGAGGTTACTATCTTAGGAAGAAGAAATGTTTTGGAGGTTTTTTTTTTTTTTTTAGACGGATTCTAGCTCTATCGCCTAGGCTGGAGTGCAGTGGCACCATCTCAGCTCACTGCAACCTCCGCCTCCTTGGTTTTTAAGCAGTTCTTCCTGCCTCAGCCTCCCAAGTAGCTGGGATTACAGGCACCTGCCACCACATCCAGCTAGTTTTTGTATTTTTAGTAGAGACAGGGTTTCACCATGTTGGTGAACATGACCACCATGTTGGTCAGGCTGGTCTTGAACTTCTGACCTCAGGTGATCCACCCACTTCAGCCTCCCAAAGTGCTGGGATTACAGGCATGAGCCACTGTGCCCGGCCAGAGGTTTCTTAGTATAAGCAAGGGACACATTAAGGTTGAACCCTAAGTTATGAGGGATGCCAAGATGAGGTTGGAGACTAGCTTCTTTTCACATAAATGAAAGATGTGATCACAAGACAAGCTGTTAATATTGATGCCAACAGCAGAGAAAATGTTTGAACATCTGATAGGAATCAACTTCTGAAACTGTTTCTATTTATAGAATCAAAAGACCCTCACAGAATTTGCTCTCCACCTGCCTCAGTTATATACATTCCTCCCATTTTTTGGCTCATTTTTTTGAGTTCAGAAGTATTAAGTCTAGCCAGAACTCTGGCTGGACCTTTAGGGAATTTCCAGCTTGAAAGTACAGGAGCTGCTAAATATTACAAGTGCTATTATCTTAAGGGGGGTAGCAGTGTGTGGCAGGGTGTGGAGGAGGTTCTCCAATACCAGGATAAACTGCAACTACATAATTTGTAGAATTTTTGGCTTCTTCAAATGCACTTACACTGAAAGCAATATTTTGTTAAGTTTTGTAAAAGAAAAATTATAGCAGTCCAATTAAAAGGCAAGGAAGACTTTATTCAAGACTATTGCAGTAGAGGAGAGAGATTGACCTCAACTCCACAGAAATAAAAACTAGTGGTAAAGTACTAAAGGATATTAGCGGGAAGATTGTTTATGTGATTCAGCCCCCTGTGTTTGCTAATTGGTGTTCATCAAAGTTATTCTCCTACTCTCTCACAGAGCCTGGGATGTGGTGGGTATTTTTCTTGGTGATTGCATTTGAAGTAGATTTCTCCTGGGTCCTTAAGAAAGACATAATTTATAGAAGATTTACATCTCAAAGGGGCAGAGAAAGAATTTATAATTTCATGTTTTCTAAAGCAAACAGTCTAAGTAAAGGGAAGTTAGGTACTTTTAGTCAGGAAGAAACCTGTCTAAAGTTTAGTCAGTCTGAGGGAACTACTGAACTTAGAAAACCATTTTAAGGATGTCCGGTCAGTTTCTTACCATCATCAGCAGAGTTGGTAGCACCCAGCACTGTCCAGTGAAGGAAAGGTATCTTCCCTTTTTATTTATTTATTTATTTATTTTTTGAGAGGGAGTCTCGCTGTGTCACCCAGGCTGGAGTGCAGTGGCACAATCTCGGCTCACTGCAAGCTCTGCCTCCCAGGTTCACGCCATTCTCCTGCCTCAGCCTCCTGAGTAGCTGGGACTACAGGCGCCCGCCACCATGCCCGGCTAATTTTCTTTTTGTATTTTTAGTAGAGATGGGGTTTCACCGTGTTATCCAGGTATCTTCCCTTTTATTAAGCCGCTTGCCCAAATTACTTTTAAACTTATTCATTAAAAAAAAAAGTTCATATCTTATCTCTGTTACAAAGGTTTCCTTTCACTTTTTCCTTTACCTTTAAAACAGAAGTTTAAAGCAGGGTAGAGTCAGAATGGAAAAGATATATTGATACATGTTTAAATGCCTCAAAATAAATGAAGACATAGGTGGAAAAAGAAATATCCCCCAAAGCCAGACTTCTCCCTATTTCCTGCCCATTTTCTCCACGTATCTCCAATTGAATTAATTTTGTCTCTTCTATCACAATTCATTCCCAGCATTTAGAACAAACACATAATTTTATGTTCAGCAATGTCAATTATTAGCTTATGTTAGGTTACAAACCATAAAACTATAGTAATTAAACAGATGTTTATGTCCTTCAGTTAGGTTTATACAGGATTAAATACTAAGCAGTTTTATAAAAGTTTTCTTGACGAGTATTCTTATCAATCCTTAATTTTCTTCTTGGCTAAAGACAAATAATTCATAGGGATCTCTACCCCTTCTTTGTTCCTCTATTACCACACACCCCAACTGTTGATCACAGCATACCTCTGTCATCTGGGGCTTTATCTGACTTTGCTTGCTCCTTTTTTATCCCTCTCTGGCTCCTATTGTATTCTGTTCGGGAAAGAATATGGAAATCTGGGCCAGGCGCAATGGCTCATGCCTGTAATCCCAGCATTTTGGGAGGCCAAGACAGGTGAGTCACTTGAGGTCAGGAGTTCGAGACCAGCCTGGCCTACATGGCAAAACCCTGTCTGTACTAAAAATAACAAAAATTAGCCGACCGTGGTGGCACATGCCTGTAGTCCCAGCTACTTGGGAGGCTGAAGCAGGAGAATTGCTTAAACCTAGGAAGCGGAGGTTGCAGTGAGCCAAGATCATACCACTGTACTCCAGCCTGGGTGACAGAGCGAGACTCTGTCTCAAAAAAATTTAAAAAAAGAATATGGAAATCAGGGCCGGTCGCAGTGTCTCATGCCTGTAATCCCAGCACTTCGGGAGGCCAAGGTGGGCAGATCAGGACGTCAGGAGTTTGACACCAGCCTGGCCAGCATGGTGAAACCCCATCTCTGCTAATAATACAAAAAAAATTAGCCAGGCATGGTGGCACATGCCTGTAGTCCCAGCTACTGGGGAGGCTGAGGCAGGAGAATTGTTTGAACCTGGCAGGTGGAGGTTGCAGTGAGCCGAGGTTGCGCCACTGCACTCCAGCCTGGGCGACAGAGTGAGACTCCGTCTCAAAAAAAAAAAAAAAAAAAAAAGAATATGGAAATCTGTACTTGACTGTGGGAAGACTGATAGTTCTATGTGTAGCTATTATGAACCTCTATAAACTCAAGGAATTGGAGAGTGTGATGAAAGACACTGTTGCTAATCCTAAACAGGTTTTCTACTACCTCTGTCTCAGAAAAGAGAAAAATCACAAATATAACCTCTGGCAGGGTATCATGCCACATACCCATGCTTTTTTTCTTACAACATCTGCCTTCTGGCAATGCAATTCTCATTTGCATTTCAAAAGCAGCTCCTATTGGCTTTGACTACATTTCTAAAAATACTTAAGCTCTGTCTCCATTTATCTGTGAACCCAGATGACTCTGCCTACCATGTCTAGGGTTGCTCTCAGAAGGATAATGAAGGGCATATCTCTTTACAAGATAGTGGACAAAACATATATTATGCTTCTGTAAAAACATAGAGAAGAGCAGTTAGACTTGCCTAGAGATCAGGATTTTGGTAAAAGTTTAATATGTTTAAAAAGAGTAGTAGGGGGTGTGATTTGCACAAAGGATTCCTAAGAACTGAACTGATCAGAAAAACAAAGACATTTTCTTTTGGTCTCATAATGAGATGTATTTCACAAAAACCAGCCATAGTTGCTCAGGACTATGGAACTGTTAAAGGCAATATAAAAATAGAGCTGAAGCTAGGAACTTGCAAAAGAGAACATATGATAATGAAGATTTAACATTTGGCATGTCCTAGTCATTTCTCCAGAGTATTCACATCTAATCACAGACTGAGGTGATGAGTTCTCCAATACCCTCCAATAGAATTGCCTAAAATGTAATTAAAGGGTGCAGGATTAACTCGCTGACAAGAGTGAGAATTTCTCTTTCTCAAGGAATGTAAAATCAGTGTTGCCATTAATTCTTAAATGGCTTATGTTTATATTTGTTAAAATAAACTATTCATTGGAAAATAACATATATATATATATCTTTGTGGCTTTATAGTAAGGCCACAAATCATAAGCATACTCATATACTCAATGAATTTTCATAAAGACAACACACGCATATATATAACACCCCCTAATCAAGAGATAGAACATTCCGCACACAGTGGAATGGCACCTGTTGTCCCAGGCCAGTCACTACATGCACCACTTTCCTTAAGGCAACTATGAATATCCTGACCTCTCATACCACAAATGGGTTTTACTTGATTTTGACTGTATGTAAATGGAGCCATACAATATGTACTCTCTGTCTGGTATTTTCCTCTCAATGTGATATCTGCACATTTCGTCCATATTGCTACATAGGACAGTAGTTTATTCATTCTCATTGCTTATATTTTTCTTATAACATAATACAATATATTTATGTATACTACTATCATCAACATTAGTTTTTTTCCCCAGTTTGGGGCTGTTAAAATTAATGCTGCTATGAATGTTCTTGTTCATGCCTCTAGTATTCATGTGTTTGTATTTTTGCTAGATATATTCCTAGAAATTGATGATCTGGGTTATAAGGTAAAGCAGAGGCTCCTGGTATTTCACTCATAACCACATGGTTCTTACCATTTCTATCCTTTGCATGAGGGCTTTCTGTGGCCACTGGAGCTGGCTGAGCACCCTGCTCCCCAGACACATACACACATATACACACAGTCACACATGCACACGGTGGGCTGGAAGTCAGGGGATTAACATCTCTGGTAGCAGCCCTTAAACAATGACTGCCTCTAATCCCAGAGCATCTTCTACACTGTCTCCCAAAGCTCTCTAGTCAACTTCAGTTGTCAACCCTGGTAATTTGCTTAAGAATTCACACACTCTTTTTAGTTTCCTTCCCTACCCTGTCTCCCTTATGTGAAGAAACCTCTTGCAATAGGATTGTCTGTGTTTGATTTTAGGGGAGTGTAATCTAAAACAAAGGGTATGGATATGTTCAGTTTTAGCGATAGTGCTGGTTAATAACCCCACCAGTACTAGAGTGTATGTGCGTTATAGGTGCTCCACATCTTCACAAAATCTTGGCATTGAGTCTTGACAGTCTCTTATATTTTAGCTGTTATGATTGTGCCACTGCACTCCAGCTTGGGTGACAGAGCAAGACTCTGCTGCTAAAAATAGATAGATAGAGAGATGAGAGATAGAGAGAGAGAGAGAGAGATGATAAAGTTTAGCTATTTTGGTGGCATATGGTGTATAATTCAGGTTTTTTTTTCTTTTCCATATTTGTGTTCATGAATGATGCTGAGATATGTACACATGCATGTGTATTTGTGTGTGTGTGTGTGTGTGTGTGTGTGTGTGTGTGTGTGGTTTAGATATTCTGTTTTGTGAAATGCCTATTCAAAACTTTCTTTCTCTATTGAATTTCTCACTGACCTGTAAGTTTTTTACATGTTTTGTTTATAATCCATTTTCTGGATATTTGTGTTACAAATATGTTTTATTTTGCAGCTTTTTTCACGCTTGGAATGGTGCTTTTGAATGGATAGAAGTTTTTCCTTTTAATCTACCTAATTTGTCATTTTTTTAAAGTTTAGTGCTTGTTGTTTCACATATAAGTAGTCTTTGTCTAACTTGTCTTGAACATATTCACTTTTATTACCTTCTAGAAGCTTTATTGTCTAATTTATACCTATAATCAAGTTGGAATTGATTTTTTGTGTTGTATGAGGTAGAGTCAAGAAGTGTGTTTTCCCTACTGGTATCCTATTGACCCAGCTCCATTTATTTAAGAGGCCACCCTTTCCCAATGCTAGGTACTCTCCTCTTGGTATGATGTCCCATTGGTAACATCATAAATCAACCAATTATATGAGTGTGATCTATTTCTGTACTCTCTATTGTGTTCCACTGATCTATTTGTTTATCCTTATGAATGCAAGTGTTTTAACTATAGCTTTTCAATGTCTTAACATCTAATAGTGTGTTCTCTCATTTTTTGTATATCTAAAAATGTTTTTCATTTAACCTTATTTTCACTACATAAAGAACAATAGGCAAATTATTTTCTTTAAGCATTTAAAATTGTTATTTTCTCATGTTTGATTTTGTCATTTCTATCAAACTCAATCAACTGTCAGGCCTATTCTTCTTTGAAAATAGTATATCTTATTTTTCTCTGTCTTCTTCAACTAGAAATAGAGAGAAAAAGTCTCTTTTTTCTTTTCTGATTGTCTTTGGATTCACTAGTTTTACTCTGATTTTCTTAGAAATGGCATTGCTTATTTTTCTCCCTTGAGGTTTGCAGCACTACTTAACTATGTACCTTAGTCTCTTTCAATCTATTCAAAAATTTTTAGCCATCATCCCTTCAAATATCATATTCCCCCATTCTCTCCCTACTCTTGTCCTGCGACTCCTACCACAGCTTTTCACCACAGCCCACTTGTCTTTTATGCTCTTCTGTATTTTCTGTCTTTTTTCTTTTTTCTGTTTTCATGATTCAACTTGGATATTTCTATCAGTCTTTCATCTAGTTCACTGATATTCTCTTCAGCTATGTCTAAACTGATATTAAACATGTAAATTCTTCATTTCAATTACTATATTTTTCAGTTCTAAAAGTTCCATTTTATTATTTTTATAGATCTCTTTTCTCTGTTGAAATCTCCCACTCTCTCACATATTTTATTGAAGATATAAATTACTGATATTATAAATCTATGTCTGAGAACTCCAGTATCTGGACTGTCACTGGATCTGTTTATATTGAGGACATTTTTACCTGTTTTTCAGTTGTTTAGTTTTATCTTATGCTATATATAGTAAATTAATTAAATGATGAATATTGTATATAAAAATTATAGAAATAATTTAATAGTCTGGATGATATTGTGTTCCACCAAAGAGGATTTACTTTTGATTATTGCAGACTGATAGAGAAGGCATAGGTCAACTTGCTCCAGTCTGGGACTGGGCTGATTTAGAGCTGGCTGTAAGTCTTTATAAGGGCTGCCCTAATTTTGGCTGATCCTTAGGCCCTACTTTCCTAATGAAAGCTATGGTACAGCTTAAGTATTGTCCAGAATCCTTTCCTATAGGCCTTAACCCTCTCTCTGTACAGATAGATAGATAGATAGATAGATAGATAGATAGATAGATAGATACAGAGACAGATAGATGAGAGATGATAGACTTAATAGATAATAGATAGAATATAGATAATACATTATACATTTACATATATACACAGTCATCCCTTGGTATCCACTAATTTTGCATCTGTGGATTCAATCAACCACAAATAAAAAATTATTAAAACATACAGAATAACAATACAATAAAAATAACACAAACAATGCAGTATAACAACTTTTTTTTTTTTTTGAGACAGAGTCTCGCTCTGTAGCCCAGGCTGGAGTGCAGCAGCGTGATCTCAGCTCACTGCAATCTCTGCCTCCCAGGTCCTGGTTCAAGCAATTTTCCTGCCTCAGCCTCCCAAGTAGCTGGGATTACAGGCACATGCCAGCATGCCCAGCTAATTTTTGTATTTTTAGTAGAGACAGGGTTTCACCATGTTGGCCAGGCTGGTCTTGAACTCCTGATCTCGTGATCCGCCTGCCTTGGCCTCCCAAAGTGCTGGGATTACGGGCATGAGCCACGGTGCTCGGCCAACTGTTTTCATAGCATTTACAATGTATTAGGTATTATAAGTAATCTAGGGATGATTTAAAGTATACGAGAGGATGTGCATAGATCATATGCAAATGCTGTGTCACTTTGTATCGGGGACTTGCATATCTGAAGATTTTGGAATCTGCAGGGGTCCTGGTATCAGGCCCTAAGGCAAACACTAAGGTATACTTCCCTTAGTATTTGCCCTTGCAAATACTAAGGGAAGATGGTACATGTATACATGTGGAGAGACAGAGAGAGAGATCCAAAACTGCTGTTATCTCTGCTAAGTTTTTCAGTTTCTTAGCTGATATTATTTGTTGGTATTGTTTGTTCCTGAGAAAAGACATCTAAGGTTAAAAGGTACCAAATATCAGGTTCACCTCGATGGGATTTGGCTTTCTCTGTAGTAATAACCCCCAAGTCCTGGCTGTCTGAAGCTCTGGGCTACAATTTTTGTCTTCCCAGCTGAAACTGTTGACAAATTATTGGTTTTCTCAGTCTCTTAGCAACTGCTTTCACCTTGATTTCTTAGCCTCTTGGTTCTGCTTCTCTTGGAGATCTTTTTCCTTCAAGCCTTGGATCTGTAGTTAGTTCTCTGAGGATATCATGCCTTCATGCATAGTTTTAAAAATTATATTTATCTTGTATAGTTTATCTTGAGAGACCAGTTTCTCTGCTACAAGCTAATCTGTCATAGTTTAAAGAAGATATTTTTTAGAATGTAGTATTTATTCAGAAGAGTCTGCAATACCTAAATAGATAACATCTACTAATTTTCAAACCTGTGTATTCAGTACCCAGATTAAGAAATATAACAGCCCCCCTGACACAAGTTTACCTATGGAACAAACCTGCACTTGTACCCCTGAACTTAAAATAAAAGTTAAAATAAATATAACATGACTGGAATGCAGAAACCTTCTTTGTGCCTTCTGCATGTCACAACGTCCCCCAAAGGACCTTTACACTGACTTCTAACACCTTTGATTCATTTTTCCTGTTTTTGAAATTTATGCCAATGTTATTACAGAATATCCTTTTTTGATCTGGCTTCTTTCATTCAATATTAGGGATATGAGATTCACTCGTGCTTTTTGTAATATAGAATCATCATTCATATTATGTATAGTATTTCATTATATGTTTATACCACAATTTATTTATCCTTTCTGCTAAAGGTAGAAATTTGGATAGTTTCCAGTTTTTGGCTATTACTAACAGTTCTGCTTTATTTATGATTTAATAAATGTATTTTGATAGATCTACATATAAATTGCATTAGTTACATGTCTCTCATTTATATTTGATGCAAAGAAACACTCCTAAGTCTCCTGTTTGCAATTAGTCAAAGAATGCTTCCCCTCAGCTTTGGTATCTGCTTTTGTGATTGTGTTCCACAGGACCCTATCATATGATGCACTGGTTTCTTCCTAGAATTCATCTAGCATCATGTGGAAGAACCAACATTTTTGCTTGTGCCACTGCATTTCTAATTTGGCAAAATAGTTTAGAACTTCACATATCTCCTAAAATGACCACCCCCCTACTCACTTCATCACTTCAGCCTATGACCCATCTCTTCATTGTCAGCACAGATGGATGTTTTTCAGAGTGAAACAGGGGCTGTTTCTTTAGCAAATCATATCCTAGGGGGTCAGGATAGATATTCTACCTTTTCTACCTCTCCTAAAATATTCCCGACAGTACCCCATATCTGTTAATCCTGAATAATTGTTGTTAAACATCTTGGTCTCATCATTTCTTGACTTTTTCACCTTGGTCTCTCTTCTGTGTCTATGTCAACATCCTAGAACTTATCATTACTGAGGACTGGGACACCTCAGACATTCCAGTCTCATTTGATGAGCCTTTAAATTCTTCCTTCTCTCTTGGGGACTCACTCTCATGAAAATTTCCTTGGGCTGTTTAGTGTCCATAGCTGATTGACCTCTTGATGTTCTCAGGTCCATCAGACTACACAAGGATCATTATTGTTACCACACTCTCCACTTGTATTCTTGTCTCAGCACTTCCTTTCTTGCACCCCGTCCTTTAAACATATATCCCTTGCCTCTCCTGCCACAATCTACATTCAGTATAGTCCTACATAGTCTCTTGAGCATTGTTCAGCAAAGGAAATATGTAAGTAAATAAACAAATGGATAAATTAAAAAATTTCACAGCTCCACAGCTCTTCAGATTGCTGTCCTGAATAATTCATGGCCATCACACCAGCCAGGATCCTGACATCACTCAATGATTATTTGAATTATCCATTTCCTCTGCCGTTCCATTCAGCAACTATTTAAAACTTCACTACTCTTCTCAAGTTCCTGCTTAAGACCCAGTTCTCTCACTCTTACCAGGTAATTTTCTTCATAAAATTGACAGTGGTTGAGACAACTAGGAATGGATTTCCTTAATTTACTACAAACATTATATTTATTTTTATTCAGACTATCGTTTAGTCTCAAAAAACCTGGTATCCCTCTTGCAACTCAAGATCAATCTCTCTGTTGTTAAAGTAGATCTGATCCCATCTTAATTTCTCCATGCCTTTATCAGCTACTATCATTCTCCCCTCACTGTATTGTCAATATTTTAAATATTTCTGACTCTACTTGACTATGAAAAAGTTCAAATCAACCTAATAATAATTCTTTTAAATGCTGGTTTAAATTATTTTCTTCACTTTAGCTCCACCTTTCATTTTTCTCATTAACTTCATAGCCATGTGATTTGGGAACATGGTTTGTACTTATTATTTGTGCTTCTTCCTTACCTCTTAATTATGCCTTAGCCAACAGCAATTTATCTTCTGCCCCTAATGATTTCACTGGAACTGTTCTTGTCTATGGAAATGGCTTCCTCAAAACCTTCTCAGCACTCTGGGATTCCATAAAAACATATTATTTTAATTATTTTCCTAGAGTTTTTAATGCCATTCTTTCCTAAGCCATTCTTTTCATTCTTTCTAAATATGTCCCTTGAATACTGATGTTTCCTAAGGCTCATGATTGGCCCACTAATCTCATTTCAAACATTCCATGAAACAACTCACTTATCATCAGGACTTTTTTTTTCCTCCTCCTAATTATAAAATAATACATACTTATTATAGAAAAAAATAAGATATTAATAAAAATTTAATGAACAAACTTAATTAACTGTAATCCTGTCTTCAATAAATAACTGTAATTATTATTTTTACTATAATTTTTCAGTCTTTACAAGTCATTCAGGTGTTTTGGATTGAGCAGAGGGAGAAGTTGAGCTGCCATGCAGTTTTAAAGGAAGTCTCAGCAGACTAAGGAATTCTAAGGTTTATGCCTCAGAGTTGTTCCAAGTGGGCTGGGGGAAGCAGGCTTTTATGCTCCCGTATCACTTAGTCACTGGGTGTGGGCCATTCCAGGAATGGGGCATAATCTTGATTGAAGCAGCTCCATTCAGTAGAGGCAGTCTCTGCAAGGAGGTGACAGTCAAGGGATGGGGCTGCAAGTCCTTCACTCCTGAAGAAGATCTGAGCCATGTATTGCAATATCAGCCACAAAAGCATATAGTCATTTCTTCATGTTTTTTGAAAACCATTGCCATCAAGTTTTACATTTTAAAAGTGAAAAAGTTAAGTACTTTTGAGACATAGTCTTGAAAGATAATTAAGTACCTAGTACTCATTTTAGAAATGGAAGTTCCAGGTACCTCAGTAACCAGTGAAACATTTCAACAATGAAGTTATTTCTATTGTGATCCATCATTCACATTTACTCAGCATTTTGAGGTCATTCATAAAATAATCCAAGAGTCTTCTTTGTAAATGGAACTCAGGAACCCACATCATTGTTACCAGTGAGAAAACAACTGTTCTTCCTAAACTAAAATGTCGAGGTATCCTTGTGAAATTTTGTTATCTTCCCAATAATTATAATGTTTCTGTTTCCTTATGTGCTTTTCTGCTTAGAAATTTTAGAAATTGCTATGAAAGTTTGTATCCTCTTTTGTGAAAACATATATAGAGAGTGTGTATTCTTTTTTGCCATGTTCAAATACGGCAAAATGTAATTTGACAATCTTATTGCTTAATGAAGGTACTTACAAGTAATCCCTATGGTGTGTGCATATTTATTTATGTATTTTCTACAAGAGTGTAAAAAGGGAAGAAGAGAAAGCTGAGTGAATTTGGGGATGTAATTAGTCTTGGCATAGCCCTGGGCTACAGCACTTGCTCACTATACACTCAGTTGGGAGATATATAAATAAAGCTGGTATCCCTACACCAGTGATTGCACTATAAAATAAGCGTTCACATAAATTTGTCAAGACTGTTGTACATGTGAGCTATAAGCCTTGGCTTTAACCCAACTAAATCAGAAGTGTTTGGTTTAGTCACCAGTTAAGTTATATGGGAGGTCCAAATTCATTTATGGCTAACAAAACCATAACCCCTCCCCACTCCAAGGCATCATAAGGATGATATACAGGACAGAAATAATTTATATGCCTATTTTCTCTTCACTCCTATTCAACAAATAAAAAAAAAATCCCATTGAGGCATACAGAAAGTTCCTTCTAACAGATACAGACAAGAGCATTAATAAATTATGACCATCATTAGAATTCTTAAGTCAATATTTGCAATCAGGCGTGCTTCTTGTTATCAGTTTTAGAATTAGATAGAAATATTGCATATATGGAATTGTTAATTAATGAAATCGTCACAGTTGACTAGTTGCCAAAGATTGCTAGCAACACAATCATGGTTTAGTTTCAAGAAATTTGACTTGCAAAATGTCTGTGGAGACAGTTTGCTGCGAATAAATTTGCACATCTCATGCCCATACACACAACCCTTGGGCAGAGGGAGGTGACCCTAATTGTTTTTGTGTTTGTGCATAAGCTCTCCATCCGATCCCAACCTTAATCAACTGTGTCTATGAATTCATATGATTATATATGCAGATTGTGCTGCACAGCAAAGCCACATAGGTATAAACTGGGATTTGAAGAACCAGATGAAATTGTATCATTCTAAGTGCTGTGCAGCTTATAGCAGATGCTGAGAGCTAAAGTTTCTACACAAATAGCATTAGAAAATTAGTGATAGTCACAAATATGACACCAATTACATCAGCAAGCTCCACAATACCAAGCATAAGTTTCTGATACAAGATTTTAAAGAGGCCATACAATCAAATTAACATTTTAGCAGCTTCCGTATCCTTTAGTCTACTGAATCCTTCTTAATTCTAACTGAAGTGGAAAATATTTTTTTGTCTATTCTAGCTCTAGCTATATAGGGAACAATTTTAGAAAACTGGCCGGGCGTGGTGGCTCACACCTCCCAGCACTTTGGGAGTCCGACGTGGGAGGATCACTTGGGGTCAAGAGTTCGAGACCAGCCTGGCCAATGGGGTAAAACCCTGTCTTTACTAAAAATACAAAAATTAGCCAGGCGCGGTGTCAGGTGCCTGTAATCCCAGCTACTCGGAGGCTAAGGCGGGAGAATCGCTTAAACCCAGGAGTCAGAGGTTGCAGTGTCACGGCACTCCAGCCTGAACAACAGAGCAAGACCCTGTCTCAAAAAAAAAAAAAAAAAAAAAGAAAAGAAAAGAAAAGGAAAGGAAATTGTATTTATGTTTGTATTTAGTTATTTAAATTTATTTTTATTAAAGAGATCGGGTCTCATTCTGTCACCCAGGCGGGAGTACAGTAGCGCAAACATGGCTCACTGCAGCCTCGAACCCCTGGGCTCAAGCAATCCTCCCACCTCAGACCCCAAGTAGCTGGGACTACAGGCACAGGCCACTATGCTTGGCTGTGTCAATGTTTTAATAAGAAAAAATTATATAGGAAATAATAAACATGCATTACATGAAAGCCACCCATCCCTATCTGTCCTACAAGTACTGAAATGATTTTTAAAACTTTATTTAAAAAATTTTTGTTTTAAAATATGCTGATACCTTTAACTATTTATGATAAGCACTTATAATATTAAGGGGTTTTGTCTAAATGTGTTTTTCCTTGGAAGGATGGTATCTTCAAAGGCTCTTCACAACATGCTGTTATTCAGCCCCGTGTTGTGTCCACGTATTTGTCAGGTGAACATATAGTTAGGACCACAGTAAAGTGGGCATTATTTACTCAATAAACCTTAATAGGATTAGGAAAACACTCTAGATTTAGTTCTTATGAAATAGAGGTTGTTTACAGCATGGGAGTTTTTGTCTTTGATGGACTTTGTTCTAACAGAATTCAAATATCTGTAGCAAAGGATTGTTTCTGCAACAATTTGATCATAAGCGTAAATTGTCATTCATTTTCAAACTGCTTAAGGAAGTGAGGAGGAGATGGTAGTTGATGGTTTAACTTTAAAGCGAATTCTCTGTCATGGCAGGCTAGATTTTGGCAATTCTTTGAGTAAGATATTAAGGCCCTGTTAGACTGCCCTTTTCATGTTAAAATCACTCCCCTTTTCTGGGAATAGACTAATGAAAACATTTGTGCACAACGAAGAGTAACTTTTTAAATTTTAAGTCAGCTGGTGCTCAATTCAGAAATGATGTTTTCAATCATTATAAATATAGACTCAAGTACTATCACCAAGTGCAGTATCACCCTAGCTGTGGGAAGACCAGTACATATTGTGCAGACTCAAGTTGGAGTTAGTTATAAAGATTAAATCTAAAGAGATGTCTCTTGTCCTGGATCTTAAAACTTATTGTGTCCTCCTGTCTGAAAAGTTGTTAAATCTGTCCATATCTTTATTCTAGGTCACTTTGCCCTTGCTCTGTAATCTTTGTCTAATTCTTCCTCTTTTCATTGTATAAAGAAAAGGGCTGAGTCTTTAAGTAAAAGTAGATAACGTGTTGAGGTGCCCTAGCCTTGCTAACAAATTCTATCTTCTTCCTTTAATAGTAATCACCTTAAAGTGAATGGGAGCAGGGAGAGGCTGTTAGTCACTGAAGAGTGAAAAGGGAGAGAATTGCACTAAATTCTGCAGAAGAGAGAAAGAGGTTAAAAAAAAAAAAGGGTGATCACTCCAAATAAAGCGAGGTGGCTAGTAGCAGATACTTATTATAATTAGAACTTACTGTTTCACCCCTACAATGAAACAGAGACAAAGAAAATCTAAATTTTAAATTTGGGAAGCAATTCAAAAAATACATATCCAATAATGAGTGTTGGATTAATCATCTAATGGAAGTATCTTGACTCATATGATTAATGCTATACTTTGCTAGATAACAGAAAAATCTGAGTGTTATTAGTGATGCAGAAAATCTAGTTTCACCTTTAGCTAAGCAAGGGTTCGTTACCAGTCTTTTTACCTGACTCATTCATTATTCATTCATTCAAGAACATTATTCATTAAGGACCCACCAAGTGCCCAGTATTATTCTGGACACTGCGGATAACAATAGTGAGCAACAAACTTTCTGCTGTCAATGAGTTTCTAGTTTTGTAGAGGAGGAGAAGAAAATAAACCTGTATACAAATAGATGATTTAAATTTTCAGGTACTGGCCAATGCCCTGGAGGCTAAAGTATAATTGGAAGTATGGAGACAACATAAGATTATGTGGCCAGGGAACACCTGTCTGAGGAAGTGATGTTGGTGGTGAGACTGCCATGATAAAAAGGTGAAGGGCAGGGAAAGAGCATTCTAAGTGGCAGAAATGACAAAGGACTTGAGAAGGGAACAAGCTTAGTGTGTTTGGAGGTTAGGAAAATGGCCATTCAATGGACCATGTCAGCAAGGGAGGTGGTTTGAGACAGATGCAGAGGCAAGTAGAAGCCAAGACATGTAAAGCCTTGGGCACATGGTAGAAATGTGGATTTTATTAAAATGGTGCTTTAAATCCATTGAAGAGTCTCATTTATTCTTTAAGAAGAACATTTTCACTAGCTGTTGTGTGGACAATTAACTATAGAGAGAGCAAGATTTGAAGCGAAAAATCCATATGTAACAGTACTTTTGAACCTAGGAAAGTCCATGGTTTGGACTACAGTGATAACAACGTAGATGGAGAAAGCAGGCATATTCAAGATAGATGTTGGAATTAAAGTCAGTGGGAAACCCTGGGTTGGGGGGGTTGGATGTGGGACATGTGATTTTAAAGGACAACAATCATGGCCAGGTGCAGTGGCTCATGCCTGTAATCCCAGCACTTTGGGAGGCCGAGGTGGGTGGATCATAAGGTCAGGAGATTGAGACCATCCTGGCTAACACAGTGAAACCCCATTTCTACTAAACATACAAAAAATTAGCCGGGCATGGTGGCACGCACCTGTAGTCCCAGCTACTCAGGAGGCTGAGGGAGGTGAATCGCTTGAACCCAGGAGGTGGAGGTTGCAGTGAGCTGAGACTGTGCCACTGCACTCCAGCCTGGGCAACAGAGCAAGACTCCATCTCATAAACAAAACAAACAAAACAAAACACCACAACAGCAATCACATATAACTTGTAGGTTTTAAATCTGTACACTAATTAGAGTTACAAAGAAATATTACAAAGGATAAATTAAAGTGCAGATGCTAAAGACATTACTAAAAGTCCCACAGCTGGCTAATATCAGGGCTGGGACTACTACAATCCCCTGAGAATCTATTCCAGTTCATTTTCCTCATTTCAGGTAGCTCCCTGTGACCTTTTCTTCTACGATTTCCTTCACTTTCTTTTCTCTATGTAGAAAGAAAAAAAATCATTCTAATAGGTAAACATCGTGTGTTCCCAGCAATTATTTCCTTTACTTCTCTCTCTTCCCCACTTTGTTCATTTTCCTCTACTTTCCTTTGTTCAATTTCCTCTACTAGCATTAATCATTTTACAAGATCCAACTAGGGCTACGTAGGAAAAGAAAGCATTTATATCAGATTTATAGCAAAATATCAATTCACTTTTAATCAATTAATAGAGCCCATATGCTCAGGACAAGTGAGTCTCACATAGGGGGTTTGCTACATACAGTTCTTTGTCCCAGAAGGATAAGACCAAATTCTCAGTCCTGTTTCCTTTGTTTTTGATCATCTTTCTCCTTTAAGTGTCTTTTATCCTTTTGTGGTCTGACTCTGCCATCCTTACAAATTAGTAGCAGTATGAGTATAGAAAGCCAAAAGAAATAGGAGATGTGTTGCAATATTTCCTGTGTCTTCTTTTATCCCACTAAGGAGTTCTTAAGTGAGTGAAGGGAAAACCTAGGCATGCCACTAAATTTATGAACATAATAATGACTAGGGTATGTTCTTAGGGAAGACTTAACCAGTCCGTGAAATGTGAATAGTGGCTTAAAATTAAGGCAGTGATTAAACATGCATTTATGTTAAAGATATATAGAATGTTATACATGTAAATGTAGATTTGACATGTATTTAGCACTCTTTGGCCTATGTCTACTATAAATAATGTTTTTGAGATGCAGTGTTTAACCCATATCTTGAGTCTTCCTTTTAGCACATCTCTGTGAAACAACAAGTTGTTAGACTTTAAGAATTTATGAGAACATAAAACATTTTCAACCAATCTACAAAGTTTTGGGCACTATTCTGGGAGTTAGTATTTTAACAGTGATAGGAAAATGTCTGGTCATAATGCAGTCTGTATTTCAGTATGGGGACAGACAGGAAACATATAAAAATGATTTTTAGAGAGGGAGATTTATCAGTAAAATATAGTAAAAGAAAGAACAGAGGGTTCATCTAGGAGAGCTACTTTAATTAGGAGGGGATAGGGAAGGACTTTCTGAGCAGATGATTTTTCAGAGAAGACCTGGATAAGATGGAACAAGAAAACCAATTTAAGGAACCACATTCCAAGAAGAGTCTTTTGGCAAAATTAAAGGCAACATAAATGAGGTTTGGCTGTGATTTTCTCTTAATTCTCTTACTTCACTTTCAAGTACTTCCTGTCCTGTATCCCTTAACACTTGTTACTCTGAAATTTGAGTCCATTCATGACCCAGACTTGAAAATGACATCTCCCTCCTCCTTCCTCCTCACCCTCCCCACAACTGCCTACTGCCTGAAGAAGGAATTTAATCTCAGGAGTTAGGAGAAGGGGCTCACTGAGTCTATTTACAAAAAGTTCTAAACAAACAGAAGTCAACTAAATAACACTCCACCGTATTTTTAAAAGAGTCTGTTAACACTAAGAAAAGAGTTAACATATTCTGTTGGTAGAATCTGAGAATCTTTATTTTGGGGTGGTGAAATGAGAAAAGAGGCAGGGTCATGTGTACTTGTCTGGTTATATTGTATTGTGTGGGCGAATGGCTCATCAATTCCATCTGACTACACTGATTCCCATTTTTTGAAGGAATTTTCCTTTACACCCCATCCAGATATCTTCTGACATGTATTTATTACAGGAAAAAAATGTAATACAGTCAACAGTGAGGTAGACAGAGTAAGAAAAATCTGAAACAGACGCTAATGTAGTTATTTATGTCCTCTTGAGTTCATTTTATGTACAGATGCTTTGTTTTTACATACACTGAATAAACAAGATCCTTATCTTAAACATGATAATTTTAATTTTTTAATATTTATCTAAAAGTGGTAGGAGTTTTGTTTCAAAGAGTGTCCTCTTTACTGCAACCAATGTGAAGCATTGGATGTCATGCAATTATTTTAGTCTCAGCCAATTTATTGTTAACCTATTGGGTGTTTGCTGAGCTTAGGCTTAGTTTTAGGCTTTTAAATATTTTTAAATGAATCTTATGGTGTTAACTATCATATCTGATAAGTGAAAGAGCAGTGAGAGCATTGAAAGAGTTTATAGGTAAAGCCTAAAATTACAATAGAAATTTTGAAAATGGAGGTGACTCAAGGAGCAAACCTATGGGATGAAGTGTTTGGCAGGAGCTTTGTGCTTGCTCCAGGACTGAGTGTGTTCATGATCAGTTGTATAAGAAGTTTCCCAGCA
Organism: Homo sapiens; assembly: GCF_000001405.40. Classification (NCBI taxonomy): domain Eukaryota; kingdom Metazoa; phylum Chordata; class Mammalia; order Primates; family Hominidae; genus Homo; species Homo sapiens. The sequence continues at coordinate 105,590,885 of NC_000010.11, read as the reverse complement.
TTCAGCCCACATGACTGCACTCCACCTCACACTATGTGCAGATGTCCCCAGGATTTCTGTAGCACAATAATGTATTGGCATTTCCTATGTTAAACATTGAAGAGTCTAAAGGAAAACAATTGGAGGATCCCTCCTTAAGAGAAAGAATACAAAATTTCAACCATCAAATGTGATACAAATGTGATTACTGAGACAAATCAGAATAAAATCAGCAAGAATGTTTAAAGCTTCCATTGTTATCAAGAGGTTGGAAAAGGTGTTTTCAGCTTTAAAACTTATCATTGGTTATGCCGTGCTCACTTTAGGCCTCTTAATCACGTTTCTTTCGTATGTGACCTATAAAATTTCAAAGCACTTTAATTGTTCTTAGTAATGATTAATATTAAATAATCTTTCAATGATCATACTCATTAACCAGTTTGTCAATGACACACTCGTTGTCATAAAGCATCATGAATTTAATATATTCACTTACTTTAGTCATTTATTTTAAATTTGCAATAAACCCAAGGCTTTTTCTTTTACATTTACATGATTCACTCCTCTTCATTAACTGGGTTATCAAACAGTTCAAGAGCTTTATTTATTCATTTAATTACTCTTTAAAATTCCTAAAAATATGAAAATAAGGTGCACACAAAAGCAAGTGTGTGTAAAATAGTCACTACATACTACTGAGCCACGTAATTGCATAATCAAATAATTATCATGTTACATACATTAACTTACTGGTGAATACATGTGGAAGTTTTGTAATTGGCACACTTGTTTTTTCAGGCTTTTCCCCTTTGTTGGTAGCAATGTTGTTTGCGTTTTTGCCTGAACTAACAGAATTCTCTTCAGGATAAACTATGTCAGATATGCTCAAAGTCTCATATGTTGGGATGCATCAATGTTGTGGATACGCACAAGCAAACATACTTAGCTTTTGCAGTATTTATGTAGCTTCGTGCGTTACAAACACAAAATCTTGATTATATTTCATGTGACTTCAATAAAAAGTAATAAGCTATGTTTTTAATTGCATATTGTCGACATTATCAAGCATATTTCTTATAAATGTGAACTTTTGATTGATGAAAACTGATTCTATCACTTATACTTTCACATGTCGAAAGATTAGAAGAATATTCTACAGACTAGCTTATGGTCTGTACATTTCAAATCTGGTTTATTTTCCACTATGTATGTGCTTCTAGTGCCTGGCATCAAAGAACATATCATATTCCTACTGTACAACCTCTGCCCCTGTACGGTCATGCTACCACACCAGAGAAGTTGTTACAGTGGATGGCAGGAATATCCTTAGAAGCCATTCCTATACCAGAATAATTAGCAACAATATAATTAAACAGTCACTATAAACTTCATAGATGCATCCCACTAAATCAAAACTAAATGTATCTTTATTTCAACTTTCTCAGTTTAACTATGGTAGCCACTAGAGTCTCTTATGACACTTGGAAAGATCATTAAGAAAGAGATTACATCATTGAACATATTTTCAGAGCACTTTAAATTGGTCTATTTTGAAAAAATAAAAAACCCTATTCAAATTTTTCAGCAATAGAAAAGTGTGCCAGATTTTAAATTGCATTTAAACTTCTATTTTCTTTTCAACTTATGCTCATCAAAGACATCATTAAAAAAATAAAAACGCAAGTCACAGGCTGAGAGAAAATATTCACAATGTACATATCTGACAAAGCCCCTGTATCCAAAATATGTAAGACTATTATAACTCAATAATAAGAATACAAATAACTCTACTTTTAAAAATGAGAAAAATATTTAAACAGACACTTAATAAAAGCATATATACAAATGGCCAATCAGCTCATAGAAAAGATAGTGAACATCACTAATCATCAGCAAAATGCAAATTAAAATCACAGTGAAATGCTAGTAAATATTTACCAGAATGGCTAAAATTAAAATGACTAGCAATACCAAACTTTGGCAAAGATACGGAGGGAGCAACTAGAATTTTCATATTTTGTTAGTGAAATTGTAAAATAGTATGAAAACTTTGGTTTAAAAAATCTGGCAATTTCTTATACAAATAAACATGCCTATCACTCAGCCATTTTTACTCCTAGGTATTTACCCAAGAGCAATAAAATATGTCTACAAGAAAGATTTTTAAAGAATGTTCAAAAACTTTATTTGAAAATAACCAAAAGCTGCAAACAATCCAAATGCTTATCAATGGAAGAATGGATAAACAAATTGTAATACACTCACCAATTACAATTCAGCAAAAAAAAAATGAATGAACTATGATACTTGCAACAACATGCATGAATCTACAAGGCCAGTTTGTTAAGCAAAAGAAGTCAGACAAAAAAGAGTACACGCTCCAAGATTCTAACTAAATGAAGTTCAAGAACAGGCAAAATAAACAAACAAAATATCAGTCATGATATATATTAGAAAAGCAATTACTATGAAAGTGTAGGGGTTAGGGCTGACTGGGAAATGGCTTAACAGTACTTTCTGGTTTAATAAAAACGTACTCTATTTTGACTTAGGTGGTAGTAACGAGGGTGCATACATCTGTCAAAACTTATCAAACTGTACACTCAAGATCTGTGTTTTCCTATATATCCATATTATGCCTTAATTTTTTTAAAAAAAGTGTCTGGAGATGGCCAGCCTAAACAGTTTTTAATCTCCTTGAACTCACCAATAAATGCATTGATGCTTTTGAGATCCCAGCCTGTTTCTAAGAAAAAAAAAAAAAAAAAAAAAAACTTCTGTTTACAATTTCAGAGGTACAAAAATGGCAAAGAGAAGTCTAATTTGTATTTTACAAGCTTAAACATATAACTGCAAAGAATTTGTTATCTAAGCTATGATATCTAAAGTGGCACCTACCAATAACATTTTAGGCTTTTCTACTAGCTTTTCTCATACCGAGAGTGGGGGCAGAGGGAATCATAAACAAAAATCACTAGAACACAATACCATAAATCAGGATCTTGTCCTCTATGCAAAATAGATCATGGAGAAGAACAAAGAAAAGAAAATGGCAGAGATAGACTCACATCTTTAAAAATGTCATGAAACACGGAAATGCTCTCAAAGTCCTATAGAATTACTTTTGGTAGGAGAATTTTTCTAAGGTCATTATTATGAGATATAGTAACATAGATTTCTCTGAGTTGCCTATTATTCCCCTATTTCCTAAGAGATTTTGGATCTTTTAAGAAATAATCTTTGTTACAAAAGAAATAATCTTTATTGCTAGAAAACCTAGATAGAAAATGCAGTTTAAAACTGCAGGTAGAATCAGGCTGCCCCCTGTGAAAACAGAAATGGTGAACTTAGTATTTAAAATTCCGCTCTGGATAGAAAAATAATTGAGATCAGAGACTCAATTGTTGGCTAAGAAATTGTTAATGAAGCCCTCAAAAAATGTGAGAATGTTGACACACTTCTTAGGGAAGCAATCCTGGGCTATTATTATATCTTGTTAGATCAGTAGAGAAAAAGATCAGGTGTATATTTCCATACCTGTTTTCATAGAATTTCAGATAAATTTATATTTATTTTGTATCTTGTAAACATAAGTTGCATTTCTCTCTGACTTTTAACTACGAAACACAAAGGTCTTAGTTTCCTTAAATAGACAAGGATCACTGACTTTAAGCTTAAGATCAAAATTTGTTGTAAAAAGTCTCAAAGTTAGTATGAAGCAAACCATCCATTTATATTAATCTATGCTTTTCATAAGAAGTTGACTTTACTGACCATAACTTTGGTAGTAATTAAATTTTCATAACCTTATTATCAAGCTCTAATTAATTCAAATATATGTTAAAAAGACTGTACTTAGTCTTTTTAAAACGGTAACATAGCTAAAGGCAGTTTCTTCTTCTATAAATATAGTTTATAAGTAAAAACACAGTGACTCAGACTGAGAATCTCAATTTGCTTTGACATACTCTAGTCTAAATATTGGAACCAATGAAGGTTGAGAGTTGATTCATTAGTTTTACAGAAATGATCGTATTCACCCATTCAGCCACAGGCTCAGAAGGTGAAGAACTGTATTTCAACTTCCCAACCAGCTCAGCTTTCACCCCTGGCACCATTTCTATCACCTCAAAAGTGACTGCTAACTCCATGCAAAAGACTCCATTTCCAGTTAACAAGCAGGAAGATCCAGAAGAGACAGGTGGAGAGAATGTGCTGCCAATGCTCAGAACTCTTCTCCCTGTATTACCCACCACTCAAGTCATTCCTCCTCTGTTGAGCAGAAATGAGTCATCGAGAGGGCAGAAACAAGATTTTCATACTTCCCACATGGTACAGTTCCAATTTTATGGACCTGGGCAGGATAACCAAGAAAGAGGATAAATGTTTCTCCATAAATTTATCTGCCTCGGATGTGTTTCAGAAAATCTCATCTCTCTGTGATACAGACATCTATGGAAAACAGACTTACTTTAAAACTGATAAGGGGAGAGACTGTATTTATATTTTCCAAAATGAAGACTCATGCATATTTTATTCATATTTATTTTGCAAATTACGTTTCATTTAAGCTCATTTAGTTTGCTTTTCCCCAGAACATTCAAAGTGGGAAGCAAAGAAAACCTAAGACCACGCTGATTTAATATAAAAATTTTATGGAGCATCTACTATGAAAAAGAGAGAGAGAGAACTGATATTTGTAGACGATATTCATTAATTCAAGATTATTTAAAATAACTCCTGTATTCTTTCAGAACCGTGCAAGTTAGATTCTTTTGAATTGTGGGATTCTGGAAAAAAAAGATATCATTCCTTGTTCAAATGATAACAAAGACCCCAGTGATGTTGGTAATTGAGAATAATAACTCCTGGTATGTTGTAGCAACAAAATTCCTAGAATACTCACGTGTGACGCACTGGGATGATGGAGCAGTGGAAGGTGAAGTACTAGTTTATACAGTAACGCAGGAATGTAAAGACCTTCAGGAATGTAAACATAGTCGCTTTGGAAATCTTAAATAAAGAAAATGACAAGCTATGAAAATCAGAAGACATCCATAGCAGTGTTTGAAAAGATCCTTATCTCCCACAGCAAAAGAGCAGACTGGGCTGAAATTCATACCCAGGATTTAATTGTAGAGGTGGCAGAGCTGCAAAGGAGACTGAACATATAACTTAATAGGAATTGGTATCTTAGGTTATACAGTCAGGGCTGTTATAGGAGGATGTAGTACCTGTAATCTGAACTGATGACACTTGAGTGACAAGTCTGAGAATCTTAAATTTCCATCTTGCTCTGACACAGACGCCTAGCAGAAGTAGACCTCATCTCTTTACCTCTTTACCCTGCTTCTACTCATGGCCTTCAGACCACTAATGAAGGACAGGTTTCAACATAACCTGAACAGGAAAATATAATTCCTGTTTGGAGGAAGAATAGCTTGATTACCAAAATAACTGCAGGGCTTGGCTGATCCAGGGACAAGTGTAGGAGTGGGTCATGAGGGTGAAGAGGGGAGAGTATTACATGGGAACATTCTTCTATGACTCAGAATTTAATGTCACAGCAGACACACCTGGAGTCTATTCTAATGTGTTGTTGGGATGGTGGCTCATCCAGGAAATGAGGTGAAGACACTGCCACAACCTCTTAAAATGAATTACCTGAGAGCAAATAAACCAAAATGACTAAATTTCCTAAGAGGGCCCTAAGAACACCTCCCTCATCAAGACAATAAAAAATATAATGGGGAACCGCTAGCACACAATATGGAAGACCTCAACAGTTTTTTATATCTAGAAAGGGTAAGATTTTACCCTTGGAGGCAAGAGAGAACAAACTATTTATAATTTCAACATTGCTATCATAGATGATACAATTGATTCGTTCTTAAATTAGAAAGTTAAATTTAACCAAATTGGGGGCAGTGGTAGTAGTTAGAATTTAGAGACTGATTCTCAAGGTGAAAGAAAGCTATCAGAAAGATTTTGGGACAATGAATAACATTAGCAGACTGTTTGGGAAGATCCACTTGGCAATGATTATATTCACTTGCAAAATATTGGATGGGTAGATCTTAGAAGTAGGACGATTATAAAGTTGGCTTTTGGATTAGCCCAGGCTTGAGGCTTCCAGATCCTGAATTAGAATAGGAAGTATAAATTTTTAAAAAATTATGCATTTATTTCAAGTAAACCATTTTCCAGTGAGTTTTAACTATGTTTAAGACACGATCCAAGATACGAAGATACTATAAGTTGTGCTCTTGATTTCACTCAGATGAATATGTTTATATCTACAGGTAGTGGTTTATATTGAGAGGTAATCATCTTTTAAAAAGGATTTAGTGAACCTTTATTCTTCAGTGGGCAAAACTACCACTTAAATTATATTTAGAGGTAAATGCATTATTACCTTCATCTCCAATTTCCCCGCATTCATTCTCCAATCTTGAAGTAGAGCCAAGGCGGTACTTCAATACCAAGACCTAGAGACTTGGGATACATTTAGAAGGAGAAAATTCATGAAGCATTTGTATGCTGGTGCTTATGGTAGTATATCAAGCAATTTTAAAGGTCACCTTTCTGAGAAGGCATATTAGTTTTAACATAAGAAAGAAACAATTGAGTGGACAAATGTTAATCCTGGGTTTCTGGAGTTTCCACTTTGCTCCAATTTTTTAATGTAATTAATGTCAGACTATAAATGCTTCATGGGTGTGGGGGCAGAAATTGAATAGGCCAATTGATAGAGAGCAAAATTAAAAAAACAAGAAATAGATTTTACAGAAATAGATTACCATGTGTGTATCCATAGTTTAAAACAATAAAATAATTTGCTCTCTTGGATTGGTCAGTGATTCATTTTGCTATGGTGTGAAATCTATACTAATTAACACTGAATTCTTTTAACCCCAACGTCATAACACATAATCCCCTGTGCAAAAAAGAGTTAACACAGAAGGTCTGAGACTGCTACCCCTAAAAAGACTTGCTTGCAAGGTTGGCCCTTGGCTGGCATCTGAGAACGTGGCTCTTGGAGTATTCCCAGTCAAGAGCTAACTAAAAAGGGTGAATCATTGTGCCAGGCTGTTTGTGCAAACAAATATGGTTTATGCTGAACACCTGCTTTATTTCTGGGCATCTGGAATTTTGGTACATGTTAGGCAGACAGTGCCTTTGGGACCAGCCTCCAATAAAAACCTTGGATACTGATTCTCTAATAGACTTTCCTGGGTAGAAGCATCATGAACATGTTGCTGCATTTTCATTGCTGGGAGGAAAAGTGTGCTCTGTGTGACCCTTCATGGGAGGGAGAGAACATGAGGAAGACTATACGTGGATTCCACCCAACCCCACCTGTGTCTTTTCCCCTTTTGATGCAGCTGTATATCCTTACTACTATCCTGCTATAATAAATCTTAGCTGTAAGTACAACTATATGCTAAGTCCTAGGAGTCCTTTCCAACCAATCTCCAAACGTGAGGGTGGTCTACTCTTGGAGACTCCCAACACAACCACGTTCTCATGGATTTAATGATTCCAGGCAAGGGCATTTCATCATCTGCTAGAGTGAGCAATAGCACTTTCTGTATCTAGCTGAAGATCAGCTTTTCTTTTTTAAGTAGAAAAATAGATACTTCTTAAAGAAAAAGCCAGTGTTATCCAGAAGTACAGAATTTATTTTTCTACCTACTTGGGTTGTAAAATGCTATCCTCATTCACACACAAATGTTTAATTGCTTCAGTAATCTTCCTTGGCAATCTGCAGCCAGTCTCTTGAGTTCATTATAGGCTGTGAAGTTTCCTTTCATTTGTTTTAAACGTGCAGTTTTTTGATTTCCCCAATTGAGTGAGTGCCCTCTTGTTGTTCTGTTATGGGAAAGGGTGAATAAAAATGCCAACTGGACTTCCTCAAACCATCTATCATGCTTTACTACCTGTGTCATAATTCTTTCCTCTTTTCAGTACCTCTGAATGGTACTCAATTCCCTCTCCAGAAGAAAAAGCTGCTTTCCTCTTCTTCCCTGAATAACGTGACTAGAGATGCTGTAAACTATTCCCAGGTCATCATTTGGGTGGCTTCAGAGCAAGCTTTTAGGACAATTGTAGATTACAGATTGGCAGTCAAGCAAAGCATCTGGGTACTAAGGTACCCTATTAAGGTTAAAACAACTTCTACCTTCCCCTCTTCACCCCTCATCAGATTGCAATCAATTTATTTACCAAGGGTGCTGAAAGCTGACAATTTTGTCCAGGGCTCTCAGAAGCTATAACCAACAAAAAATAGAAGTCCGTCATCTCCACTCTATATTGCTACTTCTGATCATCCCAATATCATTATCAGAATCTTGAAACATTGTCTAAACAAAGGGTGTTTATATATTAGTAATTGTCACATATGTATGTTTAGCGGAATTTTCTATTAAATTTTGAAACTATACATTCTCAGCTCACACTCTCCTGGGACTCTGCTTTTGTACATCTAAAAAGGGACCCAGAAATTTATATTTTTTAACAAGTTCCCCTGATGATGCTCTATATAAAGGGATGTGATACAAATGTAAAAAATCTTAACTGCAATTTGAGAAAAATGTCAGAAAGAACAACATTTCCATGTATTTCTCTTGCTCTTACATGGTTATCTTAAAGAGATGAAAAAGAGAGGCAGGGAGCAAGCTGACCAGCCATGGCTTTTAAACCCAAGAGCTTTCTGCAATATGTTTACAGCAGGAAGACACAGAGAAACGAACTGACCTCTTTGGGAATTATCTTTTCTTCCCCTTCTCCTCCCACTCTTCTGTGAATTTGCATAGATTTTCATAATCTCCCAGTCTCTAAATAGAGCTGTTTCTTTTTTTTTTTTTCCTTAAGCATTAGCGATGAACACAGTTTGATGAGCACTGATGGTAAGGAAGGACCTGGAACAGCAAGTCCTCAAAGGACTAAACCTAAGAAACAAAGAAGGGGCACAAAGAAATCTAATCTATTTGCCTGCTTGTTTGGTGGCCTTTAAGGGAAACATGCAATGCACAAAACTACTTAGTAATTATAATGCATAAAAACAGATCAGACTTAATCCATCCTGAGCCACAAATGACATGACAAGCATATTTTATAAATACCTCTGCTAAATTAGAGATTCTTGAGACACCAACCTTTCAGGAGTTGGTGCAGATGCTTTCAAAAAGAAGGAAATCTACTTTTTCACTTTTCCAATTGGCCATGCTAATGCATGAAGACAGCTGCCCAGGATACACCTCATTTAATTGCAATTGTTGTGGATAAGTTTACAATTCTCTCTGAAATGTGGAGCCACCATTTAGACTCTCATTTGTTCCCACTATCTCTCAGACACTCTTGGTAACCTTCACTTAAGTTGTTTATTTTTTCTCCCTATGCCCTAGTGCCTTGTGCTCTCTCTCTCTCTGCTCTCAATATTTTGTTTTCTTCTGTCGCTATTACGTGTTCTTCTGATTTTGGATGGAATAATAGAATAAGGGAAAGAGCTGCCTCAACTATTTGACCTAAGTACAGACCCAGTCCAGATATCCATTGCATACTTCTTCCAGTATCTCTTTTGTTACTTCCATTGTCAGGGAGCTTACTAACTCTTAAGGTATTTTGCTCCACTACTGGGCAAATCTAACTTTTTTTTTAAAGTTGAGTTGAAATGTATCTCACTAAAATTGCCAAGGCTTGCCATGGTTCTGCTGTATGAATAATAAAGATTCGAAAGATAATTAATTAAATAAATGACTTGGTTTAGGCATAAAATAATAAATTATAGTTAAAGTATGGGGGAAGGGAGACTTTGGTGACATGAAATATGCATTTCCCTTCTAAGGGAGCTACCAGCCCCAGTAATTATTATGAAAAAGTGTGGCCTAGAGTCATCAGATTTTCTGTTTCTTTAAGAAAGACCAGGAAATTAGATTCATACATTAAAAATCCCAGTTTTTGAATATTGGTAATAAATTCAAATTTGAAACACTATGTAGGCTAATACTACTGGCCAAAGTGCACTGACACCTGGATTTAACCACTACCATTTCCCTTAAACTCTGTATCTTGTCTTGCCCAACAGCTTTAAAATGTTTGGAAAGACAGCTCTCAGATTCTAACTTCTTTTTTTTTCCAGGCTAAGTTTTGTACCGTTTCTTCTGATTATCAATATAAAAGCTCATTTCTAGAACCCTTATTTTCACTGTGGCCCTTCTTGGTCTCTCTTTTGTTTACCACAATTTCTTAAAATGAACTAGGGCAGACTCAGTACTAATGAGGGATCTGACATGTAACCTTTCTAACAGTGCATCACACTCTGCATCCATCTGGGAAGAATATCTATTAAGTCAGGAAATCTATCCTTCTCTGTGCATGCATTTATAAGTATACACACACATACATGCAGAAACAGTCACATGTATATGTGTGTATGTACTTTAACTTAATAGACAAGTTCATCATTTCCACAGTTAGATTATATCTTGTAAATATGACCTCTAATTATAGTGTATTTAATTCATATTAACTCTGATTCTGTCATTCCCTATTTGTACTAAATCATAGCTTTATGCCATCCACAAATCTAATAAAATATTTCTGATGGCAGCAGTGGGCTCTCTTGAGCTGCTGCTGCCATCATATCAGCTGCAGTAGGGAGGTGGGGCTGGGGCTGCAGGCTCCTTGGAGCCTGCAGGTACCAGGGACAAGCAGGAACTGCAACCCTTCCAAGTTGGGGCAGGAGCTCCTTGGGTGCCACTACAGCTGCCAAAATTACAGCTGGGGACCCAGGCATCCCTGCATTCTTGGGGGCCAAGGAAAGCCCCACCCAATCCTACCCTCACAGGCTCAGAAGTGTCTGCTCCCATTGCCTGGCTTTTCCCTGCTGTCAACACCCGCTCAGATTTTGGAGCAAAGTCAGGCCAAGCCCAGGCAGCCATGAATGGCAGCAGGAGGCAGATTCCTGGGCAGAATGGGGAGGGTCCCAGTGAGGATCCACCTTCAGGCCAGGGAGCACCTGAAGGCTGGGGCCAGGCTGCCAGTCCCATGGACTTGGGTGGGGACTTGTGGTGCCTTTTCTTGGCCTGCCTATGGCTGCTCATGGACCAATCAGTGCACACTTCCTCCCCTCTGAGGCCTATAAAAGCCCCAGGCTCAGTCAAAGCTGAGCTGACATCAGTACAACCAGCTGCAGAGAGGAGCTTCCCACTCCAGGCCCTGCTCTGAGCCATTGTAGCTCAATAAAGCTCCTCTTGCTCACCCTCCATTTGTCTGAGTACCTCATTCTTCATGGGCACAGGATAAGAACTCAGGACCTGCCAAATGAGGATAAAAGAACTGTAACACAGACATGGCTGAAACATGGCCTTTGCTCACCATGTTGCAGTCAAATAGGAGAGAAGAGCTATGTCCCTTTGGGAAGCCCAGACCTGAGAGTTCCCTGAGTCAAAGCTGTGACTCCCTCTTTGAGCCCTGTGGCTCCTGGTGTCTTCAAGCTGCCGGGTGCTGCCATGTTCCCTGGTGCCAGCTGTGGAAGCTGCTTGTGGTGTGCCTGGTCTGGCTGCGCCCTTGTAGAGAGCTGGTGTCCATGTCGGCACCTGGAGCTGCCTGCCCTGCTGCAGCTGCTGGCATGTGCGCAGTGGCTGAACCCCGTGCTCACTCACACACCTCTCACTGTTCCATGCCTGACTCTCCCTTGGCAGATGTGGGACCTGGGCCAGTAGCATGAACTGAACTCATCCTGCCAGGCTGAGTGGGTGAAATGAGCCCAGCAGGCCCAAGCAAAACTTGGGCAAAGGTGCCACTGGCCACAGGTTTCCTGCCAGAACAACGACACTCCAAAGATCTCGTAACATTTCCATGTCTTTACTCAAAGAATTGTTCAGCGTTGACTATGGTGAGTACAAAGATAAAACCCAAAGGCATAATATTAAAGACTAACTTACTTGTAATTATTGAGCTATTAAACATAGAGTTTCAAGGTATAGTGATGAAGCACTGAAAGTCTACCTAACTTCTCTACCTCTTCTGTGAGGATATAATGCTTTACTGAATTCTGAATGCCCATTATTTCCCCAGTACTCTAGTTCAGAATGGGAATCTTAGAAAACACAACTGCACCCAGGCCGTATACTTCTCCTCACTACCCATGGTCCCACAGAGTCCCAGGCCACCATGGAGAAGACCAGAAATATTGACTTTCAGAATTTTTAAATTTGGGGACCTCATGTTTTCTGGCAGTACTTCATGCAAAAAATATGATGTCCCAAAGTTACTTCAGTGAAATACCGTTTGATGAAGAAATTCCAAGAAACCTCTCCATTCTGGCCTTTTCATTCCAGAAATAGGTCAAGCACTTTCATTGTGAGAAATCTGTACTTGATTTTCCCTCTGACTTCCATGGATGGCGTCTTGTCATCCTGGTTTCAGCTCAAATGTCACCTTCTCTAGAGGCTGTTCTTACTATCTTATCTCAGTCTTTTACAAGCTGTGAGACCCTGCCAAGCTATTTAATGTCTCTAGGCTTCTGTTTCCCCCTCTATAAAAGAAGAGTAAAAGTTCTACCTACTTCACTGAGCTTTTGTGAGAATTAGATGATTAGTCAATGTAATTCTCTTCAAACAGTATCTTTGCATGTTAAACACTATTATAGTAATAAATTGCTATTATTACTGTTGCTATTTGAACACTTACTTCCTTTTCTCCCAGTGACTGTCACACTTTTACCTATTTAATTTTCTTCGAAGCATTATTACTATCATCTCAAATGACCTCATTCACTGTTTGCTTGCGGATTGTAGGGCAACCTCAACCTGACAGATGGGTGCCTTGAGAACACACTTGTCTCTGCATGGCTGCATATCTGTTGACTAGAATGGTGTCTGGCATAAAGTAGCACTCAACACTGTCAGTTGATTGAAAAATGCAAGTACAAATGAACGAAAGACAGTCTCCTCTAGAATAGTGTTATATCTCTACTATTTCTTGGCATATGGAAACACCAGATACATTGTTTGTCAAGTTGAACTTGGGAAACTTCTAGCCATCCTAGACTTCATGGGATCTAGGAGATTTATGTTCCTAAATTTGGCCTGTATGTGTCTCATAATTATCATATCAGATGAGGAAAGAAGAAACAGGATTATATTCATGATTGAGAATGATGGACTATTTTTGCAGAGAAAAGTCCTGCGAGTATGACTTGCCAGCATGCTGGATAAAGCAATTCGGTAGCTCTCAAAAGTAGAACACATCAGACAAATGGAAACACTGGACTATTTGCGGCTAGGTTATCCAAAGAAAATGACCCAATCTGGCCGGGCGTGGTGGCTCATGCCTGTAATCCCAGCACTTTAGGAAGCTGTTGCAGGCAGATCACTTGAGGTCAGAAGTTTGAGACCAGTCTGGCCAACATGGTGAAACCCCGTCTCTACTAAAAATACAAAAAATTAGTCAGGCATGGTGGCGGGCACCTGTAATCCCAGCTACTTGGGAGGCTGAGGCAGGAGAATCCCTTGAATACAGGAGGCGGAGGTTGCAGTGAGCTGAGATCACACCACTGCACTCTGTCACTGGGTGACAGAGTGAGACTCTGTCTCAAAAAAAAAAAAAAAACCCAAAAAACAAAAACAACAACAAAAAAAACCCCTTGATTCACACACAAAAGAAAAGTAAGAAATACGTTTTATAGTATTCTGATGAAATAAACTGTGATATTTTATACAATGAAATATTCTGCAGAACTCAGTAAAAAAACTTAGATCTTTATGTTTTGAGAAATATGTGTTAGTATTTTTGAATAAAATATTCAGAATAGTTTTAAGAAAATATGACATATTTTGTGATAAAAATTTACTCAAAATATTTATTAATATTTATTTTATCCACTCATGAGTGTGTGTGTAAATAAATTGGAGAGAGAATGAAAATTTACTCAAAATATTATTATTTTATCCACTTATTGAGTGAGTGTGTGTGTGTGTGTGTGTGTGTGTAAATAAATAGGAGAAGGTATGGAATAATACAATTTCCAGTGGTGATCATTTTTAGGAAGGGGCTGAGGAGAACAGAATTGGTCGAGGTAATCATAGGAGTCTTTAGACTCACTGATAATATTAAATTTTTTCACAAGGAACTATATATTTGTGCCTTGTTTGGTTGATGAATTGTTTTTAATTGAAGAGTAAAAAATAAAATACATTTTCCATATGTGTGGGTATTGCCCTCAAATTCTCTTTGCATATTAGAGTTCTATATGGTTAACACAACCATAATACTTATCAATACCACTTAACAGAAAGGAGATAGTTTGGCACATATTATCCTGAATAAACTTATGGTATACTGAAATGAATGTAGTTTTCTTTTTCAAGTGCATATAAACATCTGTTTATATGTTTTAAAATTTGGCAGTAGGCTGCTAGCAAACTAATGAGGATTTCTTCCCCACGATCTGTTTTTCTGTCCCTTTAAAAATAAACATTTTTTTTCTATTTTCAGTTATGGGGCTTCCCTTCCAAACTCAAAAACCCATCAAAAATTACTGACTGTTTCAACATGAAAACCTTTATTAATTTTTCTCCACACCCTTGAATTAATTCTATCTGGATTTGGAGACATAAGCTCATTTACTATGGCTGAAAAAAAAGTATTTCTCTATGCAAATCAAGATCATAATGAGATACCATCTCATGACAGTCAGAATGGCAATTATTAAAAACGTCAAAAAATAACAGATGCTGGTGAGGTTGTGGAGAAAAAGGAATGCTTTACACTCTTGGTGGGAGTGTAAATTGGTTCAACCATTGTGGAAGACAGTGTGGTGATTCCTCAAAGTTCTAGAGGCAGAAATACCATTTGATCCAGCAATCCCATTACTGATTATATACCCAAAAGAATATAAATCATTCTGTTATAAAGATACATGCACACATATGTTTATTGCAGCACTATTCACATTAGCAAAGACATGGAATCAACCCAAATGCTCATCAATGATAGACTGGATAAAGAAAATTTGGTACATATACACCATGGAATACTATGCAGCCATAAAAAGGAATGAGATCATGTCCTTTGCAGGGACATGGATGGAGATGGAAGCTGTTATCCTCAGCAAACTAATGCAGCAACGGAAAACCAAACACATGTTTTCACTTATAAGTGGGAGCTGAACAATGAGAACACATAGACAAATTGAGGGGAACAACACACACTGGGGCCCGTCAGGCCATGGGGAGGGAGAGCATCAGGAAGAATAGCTAATGGATGCTGGGCTTAATACTTATGTGATAGGATGATCTGTGTAGCAAACCAAGATGACACACGTTTACCTATGTAACACACTTGCACATCGTGCATATGTACTCCTGAACTTAAAAGTTGAATAAAAAATATAAACATTTAAAAAACAAAAAAGTATTTCTCTTTCTACATTGGATTTCTCTTTCTTTCTCATAACAAGAAGCAATGCTTGTTGTAGGTTTTTCAGTTGGGGATAAAAATATCTGGAAAAGGTTAGAAAAATAAGAATATGTAGATGTGTCCCTTTCTGTCACAGGTAAATATACTGCTCTGTCCCACTAGATGGGCTGTCTCTCTTTCTTTTTAGTTTGTTGCCCTGCTTGTTACAGAAATCCCAGTTAATTTAGTCCTTTGCACCCTGGTTCTCTCTTAGATCTGTACTCCTTTTTAGGTTCAGTCCTTTCTTCTATCGGATAGAGTTCCCATTTTTAATGGAACTCACCCAGAGTTCCCTAAGATGTGGCATTGGTTTTCTTAGCTGATTCTCTCTTTTCTTCCTGATGTGGAATACTTGTGATGGATTATATGGTCAGATTTTCAGTTTTTAATCTTCTGTTCCATTTGAGCCACATCCTGTCATAACCACTAGTTACCAAATCCTCCTTTTCTGTGAACGTTTTGAAATCTGCTCTTCATTCTCCTGTTGCCCACAATAAAATCTCCACTGACATGGTCACTTTCTCCCACAGTTCTCATACCCACAGACACCAGTACATTCTTCTTTGTTGGCCATAATTATATCCAGAGGGGTGGCTACCCTCACTTCTTTCTCCACCACTGACACTGTCAGATGCTTGGCTCTAATGCAAATGAAATTTGCAGCCGGTATAACTGGTGTTTGTAGCATTATGATGTTTGACAATGTTTGTATCTTTTTCTGGCAAGAAAGTCCCTTAGAAATTATCATTAGTGGGTTTTTTGTTGTTGTTTCTATTCCTTTAAACTTCATCCAAATACTGTACCATGTGTGGGGCCTGAGCATTTTGACAGCTACACATAAAGATTTTTTCTCCAACTGGAAAACGAATGGGATTTAAAAAAAAAAAAAACTGCTGCTGTTTTTCTGTTCTTAAGAATCATCTTTGTGCCTCTCCCAAGAGATAAGCTGCAATAAGGAAGAAAACACATGCAAAGGCTGAAAATTCCCTGTTACATGTCTCTTTTGCTTATAATTTTTAAAAATAATTCTGTAAAAGAATAAGGAAAAACAGCTGTGACAGACACTGCTGTGTGTTCACTATTTGTATTCCTGTTTCTTCTTCCTCCTGTGTGTGCAGGTCCATTACATTTTCCAGTTGCCCTGGCAGGTATAGGTGATTGTATTAGTCTGTTTTCACACTGCTAATAACGACATACTCGAGACTGGGTAATTTATAAAGAAAAAGAGGTTTAATGGACTAACAGTTCCATGTGGCTGGGGAGGCCTCACAATCATGGCAGAAGGTGAAAGGCACATCTTACATGGTGGCAGACAAGAGAGAATGAGAGCCAAGTGCAAGAGGCAACCCCTTATAAAACCATCAGATCCCATGAGACTTATTCCCTACCACCAGAACAGTATGGGGGACCACACCCATGATTCAATTATCTCCCTCTGGGTCCCTCCCACAACACATGGGAATTATGGGAGCTACAATTCAAAATAAGATTTGGGTGGGGACAAAGCCAAACCATATCAGAGGTCATGCAACTGGGTTCTGGCTGGTAGAATGTAAGTGATGGGATGAGCATAATTTCAGGGTCTTGCCCCTATAAAACTTACCACGTGGTCCTCCATGCTCTGGCTTTCCCACTGCCTCTGAATGAATCATGGGATGATGGTGCCAGATCTAGAAGATGGTGGCAGAGCCATACCATGGAGGGAGCCTATGTCCCTGCATGGCGTATGAAGCAGAACTCTCATTCTGTCAATTAATCCACTTCAGTCTGGCGCCAGTATTCACAGCCCACCCAAACCTTATTTACTGACTTTATGGTATTAAATCCAAGTTATTTTTTTTTAAATTCGTGAACTCTTCCTCCCTCATTGTATTGTTCCCATTGGCCAAACCTTGCTTCATCAACATCTCTCCATCCTTGAATGCCATGGTATTACCTTTTCGAGTTCTCATGCTCCCTCTCTAAAGATTTTCTATACCTCTATGAGTTCTTCTTTCAGTGGGGATATTTGTGAAGTTCTGTTATCATCTAAGTTTGTTCAGCATGCTCTTTTCAGTGTTTAATTCTATTTCTATTGTTTTTAACTAACAATAGCACATTTCAAAATCTGGCCCCAAGCTGTCACCAATTTCATATTTTTTTAGAACATACTCTGCCTTCACCCTGTGTAGTGGTAATAGTGTATGTCTTACACTTCCATGGATATGCCACATTATTGTATGCCTCTCTTTTCTCATATAGGCTTCTATGCCTTTCATTATCAAACTCTTATCTTCTCAAGGATCACCTTGAGTTTCTCTGAAGCTTTTTCTGTCACTCTCTAAGTAGAATTGGGTTCTTCTTTATGATCTAACAGTAATATCCCCTCATCTATATTATTAACACTTTTCACAATTATTTTTACATACTGTATTTATGCAGCCACCAAACCTGTGAATTCTTCAAGGGCAGGTTTTATATCGAACTCATTTTTTTTGTATCTCATTTTTCAGCATAGCACCTGCCTGCCACATTAAAGGAATCCAGTGAAGGTGAATGAAAAAATTATGGAATGAAATTGTAGCTCACTGAAACTATTTTCTGTATATACCAAAATCTGAAAGGATTTGATTTCCTGGGCTAGACCGAAGCAATCTATGGATAACATACCCTGCTTTTGTCTTCTTCCAAAAATACCAAGAAATATCTTTTTTTATTAGTCTGGTGTAATGTGGTTTCATTGGTGGTTGTGATAGACACAGAATGGTTTTGCTTCCAGTCTATACTTCAGGCCTCTATGGAAAGCATTGGGTTTTACAAAGTGTTTGAGCATTGAAGAGTAAGGAGAGATGTATAGGAATAGGATGTCTCCTAGGGACAGAATTTATTGTGAGTACATAATTATGTTTTTTATAATTATCTGATTTCACTTGGGAATCAAAAACCAATATATTACTTAAGAACATTGACTATAGTAACCAAAAAATTTAAAACCCAAGTAGTTATTCATATCACAGTAGGGAGAACAAGTCTAGAGAGGACTCTATCTATAGGCTTGAATAAAAGAAAGGAGAGATGGAAATCTGCAATTGAGTAAGGAAGATAAAGATAGAGAAATTTTATTTTACTTCCTTCACTACATCCCTCATTGGTTTCGGGATAAAAATTGAGCACATTACTACTGAGGCTATATTTTCTTTAACTTTTATTTCAGGATTAGGGGTACATGTGCAGGTTTCATATATAGGTAAATTGCATGTCACAGGGGTTTGGTATACAGATTGTTTCATCACCGAGGTACTAAGCATAGTACCCAACATTTTCAGTCTTCTCCCTCCTTCCACCCTCCATCCTTAAGCAGGCTCCAGTGTCTGTTGTTCCCTTCTTGGTGTCCATGTGTACTCAGTGTTTAGTTCCCACTTGTAAGTGAGAACATGCAATATTTGGTTTTCTGTTCCTGCATTAGTTCACTTAGGATTATGGCCTCCAGCTCCATCCTTGTTGCTGCAAAGGGCATGATCTCATTCTTTTATATGACTGTGTAGTATTCCATGTTATATACGTACATTTTCTTTATACAGTCAGTCATTGATGGGCATTTAGGCTGATTCCATGACTTTGCTACTGTGAATAGTGCTGCAATGAACATATGACTATCTGTGTCTTTATTGTAGAATGATTTACATTCTTTTGGGTATATACCCAACAATGAGATTGCTAGATTGAATGGTACTTCTGTTTTATATTCTTTGAGAAATCACCAAACTGCTTTCTACAATGACTGAACTAATTTACACTGCCACCAGCAGTGTATAAGTGTTCCCTTTTCTCCATAAACTTGCCAGCATTTGTTATTTTTTGACGTTTTCAAAATAGCCATCCTGACTGGTGTTAGATGGTCTCTCATTGTGGTTTTGATGTGCATTTCTCTAATTATTAGTGATGATGAGCATTTTTTTATTTGCTTATTGGCCTCGTGTACGCCTTCTTTTGAAAAGTGTCTGTTCATGTCCTTTTCCCCCTTTTTAATGGGGTTGTTTTTTGCTTAATTTGTTTAAGCTCCTTATATATTCTGGATATTAGACCTTTGTCAAAGCATAGTTTGCAAATATGTTCTCCCATTCTGTAGACTGTTTATTGATAGTTCCTTTTGCTGTACAGAAGCTCTTTAGTTTAATTAGGGCCAATTTGTCCATTTTCGTTTTTATTACAATTGCTTAGGTGTCTTTGTCATGAAACCTTTGCCTGGGTCTGTGTCCAGAATGGCATTTCCTAGGTTATCTTCTAGGGTTTTTATGGTTTGAGGTTTTGCATTTAAGTCTTTACTCCATTTTTAGTCGATTTTTGCATATGGGGAAGGAAGGAGTCCAGCTTCAATCTTCTGGATATCACTAGCCAGTTATCCCAGTACAATTTATTGAACAGGGAGTCATCTCCCCACTGCTTGTTTTGGTCAACTTTGTCAAGGATGAGATGGTTGTGAGTATGCAGCATTGTTTCTGGGCTCTCCATTCTGTTGGTCTGTGTGTCTGTTTTTGTACCAGTACCATGCTGTTTTGGTTACTGTAGGTGATATGATTTGGCTGTGTCCCCACCCAAATCTCATCTTGAATTGTAGCTCCCATAATTCCCATGCATCATGGGAGGGACCCTATGGGAGGATGGGAGGTAATTGAATCATGGGGGTGCATCTTTCCCATGCTATTTTCATGATAGTGAATAAGTCTCACAAGAGCTGATGGTTTTATAAAGGAGAGTTCCCCTGCACACGCCCTCTTTGCCTTTCACCATGTAAGACATGGCTTTGCTCCTCCTTCACTTTCCACCATGATTGTGAGGCCTCCCCAGCCATGTGGAACTGTGAATCCATTAAATCTCTTTTTTCTTTATAAATTACCCAGTTTCAGGTATGTCTTTATTAGCAGCATGAGAATGGACTAATATGGTAGGCTTGTCGCATAGTTTCAAGTCAGGTAACATGATGCCTCCATCTTTGTTCTTTTGCTTAAAATTGCCTTGGCTATTCAAGCTCTGCTTTGGTTCCATATGAATTTTTAGTTGTCTGTGCTTGTTGGGTATTGCTTAAGAAGTCTTTGTCCAGGCCAGTGTCCTGGAGATTTTCCCCAGTGTTTTCTTGTAGTAGTTTCACAGCTTGAGGTCTTAGGTTTAAGTCTTTAATCCATGTTGACTTGATTTTTGTCTACGGTGAGAGACAGGAGTTTAGTTTAATTCTCTTGCAAATGGATATCCAGTTTTCCCAGCACCATTTATTGAAGAGATTGTCTTTTCCCCAGTGTGTGTTATTGGCACTTCTGTCAAAAATGAGTTCACTCTAGGTGTGTGGATTTGTTTGTGTTCTCCATTCTGTTCCATTGGTCTATGTGCCTGTTTTTACACCAGTACCATGCTGTTTTGGTTATTATATCTCTGTAGTATAATTTGAAGTTGGTAGTGTAATTCTTCCAGTTTTGTTCTTTTTGCTTAGGATAGCTTTTGCTAGCCTGGGTCTTTTGTGGTTCCATATAAATTTTAGGATTTTTTTTCTATTTCTGTGAAGAATGCCAACTGGTATTTTGATAGTGATTGCATTGAATCTGTAGATTGCTTTGGGTAGTATGAACATTTTAACAATATTGATTCTTCTAATCCAAGAACATGGAATATCTTTCCATCTTTTGGTGTCTTCCTCAATTTCTTTTATCAGTGTTTTATAGTGCTCATTATAGAGATCTTTCCCTTCTTTGGTTAATTCCTAGGTATTTAATTTTCAGTGTGGCTATTGTAAATAGGATTACTTTCTTATTTCTTTTTTACATTACTCACTGTTGGTATATAGAATCATATAAATTTGTAAATAGCTTTTTTTCTAATTTTATGAAAAATGTCATTTGTAGTTTGAAATAAATAGCATTGAATCCATAAGTTGCTTTGGACAGTATGGCCATTTTAACAATATTGATTCTTCCTATCCATGAGCATGGAATGTTTTTCCAATTGTTTGTGTCATCTCAACTGAGGCTTTCTTTATTAAGAGGAGGAACACAACAAGAATAGGTAGTTAAGGAAAATTCCAGGAAAAAAAGACAGTGATAGTATCCACATTTTATTTTGTTTTTAACTTTTAAGTTCAGGGGTACAAGTGCAGGTTTATTGCATAGGTAAACTTGTATCATGGGGGCTTGCTGTGCAGATTATTTCATCACCCACGTATAAATCCTGGTACTCATTAGTTATTTCTCCTGATCTCCTGCCTTTCATCCTCCACCCTCCAAAAGGCCTCAGTGTGTGTTGTTCGCCTCTATGTCTCCACATTTTATATGGTAGGTTAGCTTTGGCTAGGAAGAGATGCACCACAAGATGAAATTAAAAACTTTGTATCAACCAACAGGTAATTGTTTTAAGCAATACTGATGTTGTTACCAGTGGATGGTGTCCAGATTCTTGGTGTTTTGAACAAAGAATTGGACAAAATGCACACACAAAGTAAAGAAAGAATGAAGCAACAAAAACAGAGACGTATTGAAAAACAAAGTACACTCCACAGGGTAGGAGTGGGCCTGAGCATAGGGGCTTAAGAGCCTAGTTACAGAATTTTCTGGAGTTTAAATACCCTCTAGAGGTTTCCCATTAGCCACTTGGTGTACACTCCATGCAAATGAAGTAGTGGCCCACAATCACAGGCTGAAGTAAAGTTACAAAGTTACATTCCACATCGCCTATGGGGAAAGCAATCAATCAGAGGTACTTTCAATTTTCCATCTGCAATATAGAAATAGGGGGGCAGGGGTTGCAAACGGAGTGGCCTCCCATCCTTTTGTTACTTAGGTGTGGAAACTTGGAGTTTTCCTTTTCATTTAGTTCTAGTAAGTCAGTGTGAATTGGCCTTAGATTCCCTGCTTCCAACCCTGTTCTCCTGCCTCAATCTTACCTATGTGCAGAAGATAACCAGCTCAAATGCCACCTCTTCTATGAAGTCTTTCTTGGTTCTTCCTAACCAGGGGCAAACTTTCCCTGTTCTGAGCTCAATAGTGTTTAGATTCTGTTTCTCTAGTGATATTTACCACAATTTTTATTACCTTGGCATATCTGCTATGCCACTCTGATAACTCTTTAAGTTCAGGAACAATATCTAATTTTACATCTTGGTATGATCAATAGTACCTAGGGTGGTGTCTGATGCATTGTAGTTTTCAACAGGTATTTATTAAATTCACATTAATAACCAGTTTTTTCTTACATCAGAATGAAGCCTATAAAAAAACTATCCTCCCTTCTTCCTGTACATGCAAATTTCCTAGCAAGAAAATTTAAGAATATTTATCATAGGCACTTTTTTGTGTGAAATGAAACTTCAAGCAGGCATCTTCTGGAATTAAACCAACATTGGACACCTAGTGAAAATGAAGGATTTAAAGAGACTGGTGTTTAGAATCAGCCTTTTGAAATTTCAGACACTTGTATCTGGGAAAAATGAAATTCCTTTAGCTAGTAACTGTAACCACTTGGCAATGATGAAGAGGAAGTCCTTGATTAGATGTTGTATACGTGTCCCAGAGAAATTCAGAGAGAAAAAATAAATGATTCTTGGAAGATCTAGATTCAATGGTCCAGGTTAAGATGCCCTACAGAGGCAACTACTGTGTTTTGCATCTTTGTACTCTCCAGTTAATTCAAACAAATGCTGAGTGGAAACGGAAAGCTGGTTCGTTTTCACTGAACGTGAGTGATAATGACTTTGGAATCGATACCTGCTGAATCTTTCTCCCTTTTCTCTTTAAACATACAGATGCTGCTCAATCAAAGGCAGGATTGTTACAAAAGGATTGATTTCCCATTTCCCAATATACGTGGCTTACCTTGCAGCCAATTATGTGAGCTATCTTCATCGCTTTCCTGGTAGGAAGAAGGCTCTAAGTAAACAAATAAGGGGGCTGTGTTTTTCTACCTTCATAAGAGTGGATTTCTGAGCTCCTTTCTTTCTGGAAAAATTGATGCAGTATGTTCCGCTTCCAGCTCCTCACTGTAAATAACATTTTGACTTTGGGCATCTTGGTGAAATATACTTAAAAATAAATCAGATGGGGCTCTAGGCAAAGATAAATTTGGAAGTGGATACCTGCTATGGCTTTACACTTGGTTGCCATAGGGCTATGCAGCCCAAACTGTATTTCTCTTTAAGCCGTAAAAAATAGAAATGTGTGTCTGCAAATTATTGTGTGGGATTTTTTTTTTGCCTATTGCTACCTCGTGCATGGGTTTCCTGGGGATGTCAATAGAATGCGTTAGCAAAATAATGACAGATGGTAGGGAAATACTTCTGAATTTTTTTGTTTTTATTATTATTGTATTGCAACTATTATAGACACTCAACTGCACCCATTTTTAGCAAGAGATTTTGCCATTAATTTTCTTCACTCCTTAGAGTCCGTTGCAATTCCTTGCTCTAACAAGGGCAAGGGGTAAGCCCTTTGATACTCTTTCAGACTTTTCAAAATTTGAGAGAAATGACTATAAGCCAGGGACTCAAAGTGCAGGAGACAAACTAAGGTGACAAAATGTCTAGTGTGAAAATTGATTGCAAAACTAGTTTACATTCTCTATCCTTCCCTAGACCCATGTACTTTGGGTTACGAACTTCCCTATTCCTGTCGTCAAGGGGTGGAGATTATTTTCCTGTTCCTCGAATCTGGCTTTTGTGACTTGCTTTGCCCAGTAGAATTCAGTAGACAAATAGAAAGCTAGTTTTGAACTCAGAGCTCAACAGGCGTTGCAGGCTAGACTCTGCTTTCTCAGAACTCTGCCACTACCATGTAAGCAAGTCAGATCTGTTTTGTTGGGAGTATAAGAGATGACATGGACGATAGCTCAGTTGTCCCAGCTAAGGTGATCCCAGACTAGCCTATACCAAGCCAACCTGGAAACGTATGAGAAAATATGAGAAAGACCAGCTAAGAGCAGCAGAATTGCCTCTCCCAACACATACTGACAAGAGATACCTGGTTGAACCCACTGTAGACCAGAAGAACTAGCCAGCTGAGCCAAACCTTGAGTGCTGAGCTAAAGCGGCATGAGCTAATTCAATGGTGATTGTTTTAAGCTATCAAGTTTTGGGGTATTTTTAATGCAGAGATAGCTAACTAAAATATATGATATAATGAAAATGGAAGCAGCTATTGAGTTAGATAGCTGATGTTCAAATCCTGGCTGTAGTATGCAAAAATCTTGCTTTGTAAAAAATTTAACCTAATTTTCTCATTTAAAAATTAGTGATAATAATAATATTTACATTTGTGTTGTTTCTATGGAGAACAAATTATACATGTAAAGCCCTTAATCCTAAGCATATGATAGCTATTACAATTAAAGAGAAGTAATTATGGGTGAATTAGTAGAAAGAACAAGAATGAGAGAGGTATGAGAATATCATAGGATAGAGAGAAGAGAAAATAGTAGAGGGAAAAGAAAGAGAGAGAGAGAGAGAGAGAGAGAGAGAGAGAGAGAGAGAGAAATTTAAATATTGAAGTAGAATAATCCAGGATATAGAAAATTGAGATTGGAAGACTGGCTTCAGCTGTTTTCTCAAACTGATCCTATGGTTGCCATCTGTGTGCATACACCATATTACTAGATTAATAACAGAAAAACACAGCTATTATTTATCGATCTCATAATATAATTTGGGAATCTTTCAGCTAAGGCCTTCAGAAATAATATTTCACTTAATCCTTATGGTACTCCTATTAAGTAGTTATGATTGTTATCCTCATATTGCCTATAGAAAACTGAGGCTTAGAAAGTTTAAGGGCCTGCCTGAGGCCACACACGTGGTGAAGGACAGGGCCAAGACCTGAGTTCTGAGTGACGATGGGTCCTTAAGCACCATAAAGTACCCCCCTGCTTTTGTAGAAAGGCTGTGTTCAGTAGGTAATCTGAGATTACCAAATCTATCATAATAGATCAAGAAAAAACTCCTCTATAATCAAGAAAGCTTTGTAAATCAGATTTCTTAAGTGCATATGAAGCTTCATAAATTGGACACATCCTTAATTGCATTGACCAAGATGTTAGGCTCATCTTTAAAACATCAGGGAACCTGATGGGGGCCTAGTTGGTTCTTGGTGACAATTCCTTTGTCTTCATCCTTCTCTTCTCTTAATCCTAAGCATATGATAGCTATTACAATTAAGAAGAAGTAATTATGGGTGAAGAAGTAGAAAGAACCAGAATGAGAGAGGTATGAGAATATCATAGGATAGAGAGAAAAGAAAATAATAGGAGAGGGGGAAAAAAGAGAAAAAAAGAGACCTTTGCATTAGAGGCAGAACTTGGCAAGTTGGCAGGTACATATTTTATAGCCATTAATGCAGGAACTAGAATTTTAGATGAACCAGGTCAGAAGCATTACTTTGAATCTGAACTTAGAAACCAGTTACATGTTGCTATGGTTTGAATGTTTGTCCCCTTCAAAACTCATAATAAAACTTAATCCCCAGTGTGGCAGAATTGACAGGTGGGGCCTTTAAGAGGTGATTATTGGGTCATGAGGGCTCCACTCCCATAAATGGATTAATACATTCATGGATTAATGGATGAATGAGCTAAAGGATTTATGGGTTATCATGGGAATGGAATTGGTGCCTTTATAAGAAGAGAAAGAGAGATCTGAGCTAGCACATGCAGCCACTTTACCCCGTGATATCCTGTGCCACCTCAGGACTCTGCAGAGAGTCCCCATCAGCAAGAAGACCCTTAGTGGATGCAGTCCCTACACCTTGGATGTCCCAGCCTCCATAACTACAAGAAATAAATTCCTTTTCTTTATAAATTACCCAGTTTCAGATATTGTGTTATAAGCAGCATAAAATATACTAAGACTCGTAATATTTTAGTTAACACCACATTTGCTATTTGACATCTTTCCCCAACTGGAAGAAAGGTAATCTGAAACAAACTCAGAAAGCCCAAGGGATTTTGCTCTCTCACCTTTTGAATATGGAAGTAAGAGACCAAATATGTTTTATTTCTAAGCCTTGACTATTTTCCACAATTCTGAGCTGTCATTTTCTTTACTCCATTCAACACATGACTCTCCTTACCATTACACAATTCAGTGAATACATTTCTGTCTCTGAATTTGTGTTTCAAAAAAATTATTTTACACATTGCTAGAACACCAGACTGGTGAGTTTTTGTAAGTAATTTAAAGAACGTATAATCATACATACACACATATATATATATATAAATATAAAATACATATAATATGTGTCATACATGCACACACACATGTATGTATGTATTTGAGCTGATTTATAACTTCAAGGTATTTATTTATTACATGGATGAACCCACATTTGAAAATTGCAGTCTTATTGCCTTCAAATAACTTATAATTCAGAATTGTGATGAAGCACCACAATTTCCAGTAAGTAAGAGAAGTCTTACACTGGCAAGGGTTTCAAGTGATCCATCTTAGACAAAATCAAATGTGCTGATAAAATTATCTCCAAAGCTCTTATGCATATCCCAGAGTGTTGTCCTCTCAGAGAGAAAAAGCTTCTAAGCACAGCAGGATCTGAATTGATGGCGAGACCATTACACAGTTGATTGTAGCAGAACCAAAGAAAAGGGAAAGGCATCTTTCATGTTTTTCAGAATGTGAAAAATCAAATGTAAAAACTTGAGTGTTTCAGTCACTTTTCTTAGAAGGGTCTCCCCATGACTTAACCAAAAAATATCCTCAATATTCAAAGAACCACAAATTTAAATATACAATTTTTGCCTTCCAGAAAGATTTGCCCAGAACTTTCCTCTTTATGCATTATTTATTTTTAAACTCAACTTTTCAACTGACTAAGGAAAGCTTCTTAAAATGAAGACTCCCTTGAAAAGCCACAGCCAGACTTCTATCTGGTTGTTGACTTCATGGCAATGCTATTTTATAAAACCAGGTATCCTTTGAGATGCTGTGACTGCTCCCAAACCATTGCCATTTAGGACAAGGGGCATTTCTTTTTTTAACTTAATTTTATTTTCTTTAAGTTTCGGGGTACATACGCAGGATGTACAGGTTTGTTATATAGGTAAACGTGTGCCATGGTGGTTTGCTGTACCTATCAACCCATCACCTAGGTATTAAGCCCAGCAGGCATTAGCCCTTGTCCCTGGTGCTCTCCCCCTCCTGCCTTCCCTTCACAGGCCCCAGTATGTGTTGTTTGCCTCCCTGTGTCCATGTGTTCTCATTGTTCAGCTCCCATTTGTAAGTGAGAACATGTAGTGTTTGGTTTTATGTTCCTGCGTTAGTGTACTGAGGATAATGGCTTCCAGCTTCATCCATGTCCCTGCAAAGGACATGATCTCGTTCCTTTTTATAGCTGCATAGTATTCCATGGTGTATATGTACCACATTTTCTTTATCCAGTCTATCATTGAAGGCATTTGGGTTGCTTCTATGTCTTTGCTATTGTGAGTAGTGCTGCAATGAACATATGCGTGTATGTATCTATGCCGGTCAGGCTGTGGAGAAATAGGAATGCTTTTACACTGTTGGTGGGAATGTAAATTAGTGGAAGACCATGTGGTGATTCCTCAAAGACTTAGAAATGGAAATACCATTTGACCCAGCAATCCCATTACTGGGTATATACCCAAAGATTTTCACTTAATTCTAATAACTACCCACTGCAATAGTTATTACTATCCCCCATTTTAATGCATGAGCAAATGGAAGGCAATCACTTGCTTAAGGATGGGTGGTACTAAGGAAGTCCTAGCATAGAGATCCCCATCTTCGTCCATCTGGGTCCCAATATCCTGTTCCTTCCTCCTCATCTTGTTGCCTTTC
This sequence comes from Homo sapiens, assembly GCF_000001405.40. Taxonomy (NCBI): domain Eukaryota; kingdom Metazoa; phylum Chordata; class Mammalia; order Primates; family Hominidae; genus Homo; species Homo sapiens. The sequence continues at coordinate 105,562,618 of NC_000010.11, read as the reverse complement.
TGAGTATATATGTTACTGAATAGACTCCTTCTCCCTTGAGAACTTAAGAAGTGATATGAATGAAGTAATCAGATACTTGCTTGTTTCTCAGTTCTACTAGGAAAAAAAATGTGTTTGATCCCCTCTATTTTCTACTTTGCTATCCTTTTGTCCTTGTTACTTTATAACCCTAATTTTAATACTGTCTGGATTTCTGTTCTACTAAAAAATGCACTTCTTCTGTGCAAGTAATCTTCCCACTGCTCCCAGAAGACCCAGGTTTTTCCTGTCATTCTGGAAGGCAGATAATAATCCAGTGACTATGTAAATAGCACTGTACACAAAACAGGCCTAGGAAATCAGTGAACCATGAGTACAACAAGAACAATGAACCTCAAAAATGCAGTTATTAATTCACACCATCAGGATTATTGCTTTCTGTAAAGGTATTTTTAATGAGGGGAGATAAACAAAGCTTTAAAAAATGTGTGCCACTGTAACTCTGGATCATTGATTTTTAATGATTTCCTGGGGGTGTAAGTGTGCTCATAAAATTTTTTTGGTAGGGGTGAGATGTTTGTATTACATAAACTGATGTGGGCAGACAGGTGTTCTGCTTTCTTAGAGACAAGGGACATTTATATTATTATTCATTTTTATTTATGTAACTGTTATCATAGACTTCCCAAAGAAAACCTGAGTGCATACATGCATGAGTGTGTATTCTTTTTAACCCCTCTAAATTCCCTTATGTGGAAAGAAGAACACTCTTTGAATTCTAATGTGTAAGACACAAGTCTCTATCAGTGTCTAGCTCTAAGTGTGTGTGTGTGCTCGTGTGTGTGTAAAGTGTATGCTTAAAGGCTTGCATTTTTATTTATGCAACACTCAATGTGCTTATGAGATCCAGTGAGTCCTCCAAGAGTTTATAAGAACAGTTGCCTCAGGGATGCCGGTCTTTACTCACTCTTGTGAAATGATCAGCCATACTGTATTCCTCCTGGTTTCTTCATAACACTTTTGTTTTGAAATACTACAACTCGCTTATGAACATAGCTTGCCGGACTTGGCAAATGGTATTAGGATAACCATATGTGTGTAGCTAGAAGTTCAGATAACCTGTCCCAGGTCCTGCAAGACATAAGAACCATGAAGAGATCTGACAACAAATCTCATAATCTTCCTGTTGCTCTGAACTGAAGCTTGAATGAGGACAATTATGCAAGATATACAGAAAGAGTCCCTTAAAAACTTGGATCAGACTCTCTATCACTGGCGCAGAGAAAGCCCTTGGTTCAGTCTATAAAATCCAGCAGGACTAGGGCCACATCTAGCTTACTCCCTACTGAATCTCCAGCATTTAGGACAATATCTAGGACATGGTCTTGTTTTAAAATATTGGTTGTATTATTATTCACATATGGTGAGGCTAACAGATCAGAAGACAATTGTTACTAAAAAGATAGTTTCTTTCTTTCTTTTTTTTTTTTTTCCGAAGTTTCGCTCTTGTATGGCCAGGGTGGCAGTCGCAGTGGCGTGACCTCAGCTCACAGCAACCTCTGCCTCCTGGGTTCAAGTGATTCTCCTGCCTCAGCCTCCCAAGTAGCCGGGATTACAGGCACTCACCACCATGCCTGGCTAATTTTGTATTTTTAATAGAGATGGGGTTTCACTATGTTGGCCAGGCTGGTCTCGAACTTCTGACCGCAGGTGATCCACCCCCCTCGGCCTCCCAAAGTGCTAGGATTACAGGCGTGAGCCACTGTGCCTGGCCCTAAAAAGATAGTTTCTTACTCATGGTTCCCAAGAAGAAGACAGGTCATGCCATGCTATACAGGAACACATGGGGAAGCACCAGGGTTAGTCAGGAGGCAGGGGAGTGAGGGAAAACTGTGGGCAAAATTCTTTATTGTGATTTTTGTGGAAAGGATTAGGGGAGGCAAGGTAAGCAGGTTTGGGATTGTATAGTTTGAATAATTTCAGTGAGCTATGGATTATAGGGGCTGTCCTGAGTTGTCTGGTGCCTGAACCCACATTGATTAAGGCAGGGGAATATTGACTTGGCAAGTGAGAGTTCAGTAAAGGAAGTGGTTATGGAATATGGGCAAAAAAAGATTAATGCAACCAGCAATACTTATATATTAAATGAATGAATGAATAGCTGATTGTTGCAACTCTGGGTTATAAACTTTGTTCACATCTTCTCTGACTCCTCTGAAAATGAACAAATGATGTTAAAGAAAGCTGACTACAGACATGTCCCAAACTTTGCCATTCCAAATGTCATTTGAATTATTCAAGTTAGAGATTGTATTCTCTCCAGAAGCAAATATGCAGTATCTAGGCATGTCTGCATCTAAAAATCAGAATCCCCCAACGCTGACTACATCTTGGTGCTGTGTGATACTAAATGATTCATTTTTCTACCCTGAGTCTCAGGTTCCCACCTATCAAATAAGTCAGATCCTTATATTAAGTAAATGTCAGGGGCACTGAGACAAACTGTAAGCTTTCAGAGAACCAATTTGAAGTGAATATTTTAAGAAATAAATGAAAGAAGAAGGTACTTATTTTAATTTCTGGAGGCCTTTAATGACTATATGGTACACATTGAAACCACCAAATAGTAGCACTGCTATTGGAACTTTGTTCACATAAATAAATTTGCAAGGACAGTTTAATAACATTTGCAATTAAAATTGTTCTCCAGCACTGGAAGGACGGCTTTCAATTACATGTAGATCATTGGATTCATTTAATTCATATGGCTTGTAAATTTGAGAGCCTGTGCTTCTAAAAATAAAGCCATGAAATCCTTCCTGAATATACACAACTCCATTAACAACTTCCTTAATTAAAATTATCAACAGTAAATACGTTTGATTACAGTTGCTATATATCATGCCTTATTTAATGTTCCATCTATTTTATATACTATCATATTGGAATTTCCAACTATTACCTTCATCTTCATATATTCAGGCTTAATAGAACTTTATTTAAATTTTGTTTCCTTTTTGAAATGGAAAAGTTTATGCACTGTGTTTTACTCACAAGCATTTATGTTGAATCCAGTGGAAAAAATTAGTCAAGAAGTAAAAAATAGGCCATTGGTCAGTCTACGTCAGTAGGTTAGCCTAGTCAAGAAGGATCACAAAAGGTCAGATGCTTAGATAGGCAAATCCAGAGCCTGAGAGGAAGGATGCAGAGAGAATGGCGATAGCAAATGGAAGTGGGCTTTTAGAAGCTCTCAGCTGAATGGGTATGATTGGGATTTGCTATATGTGTGAGACAGAAGATTTGCAGTGAGCATCTTGTTTCTGCCAGATGCAGAAAGAAAGGTTAATCTCATAGAGAAGCTCTTACTGCCATTTTGCAGCATTGCCAAATAAGCGAAATGGCATATACCTAAGGCAGAACAGCTAAGGTTGGTTTAAGAGTGATTCTTTGTTCATCTCCAATGAGATTCATGTGTATTCCATTAGTCGAGTTTGTGTATTTGGCTATGGTTCTCTGGCAGAAACAGGCCTTGTGGCAAACTGGCAAAGGAGATCTGCAATTTAATGACTGGATTTATAAAAATTATTTTCAGATTAGAAAAACATCAAAGTATATTAAGCTAAGTTCCTTTCAAGTAAATAATTTATTTAATATCATTAATAAGAGTGCATCTTGAGATGAATAGGAGTGGTCTTGGGATTCAGGCATAGCCAGCAATGTATGGGGCATGGTCACCAGAAGTCTGCTTACATGAGGTTGAAAAAGCTCCCTGGAAGAAACTCATCCTTGGACAAGTGACCTGCAGCTACTGTCTCGTGTTAATAACAGCAGGTGATTGAGTTCATTACAGTACTTGCCATACAAATTACCCTGTTGCCCAGCCACCAGGGAGTTTTGCTTAGGATAAAGAAGAAAAAAAATAATGCTAAAAGAATATCTCTCTACAATGCCCATGGATCATGGAGCTCAGCCCAATGTTAACAGGATTGGCATTTCAGCCTCAACAACATTATTGGAGAGATCTGCATTAGTACCAGAGGTTTTTGCATGCTGGTATTAAGAAGAATTAGAAAGGGTTAGAGGAAGGCCTGAGGAATGTGGTACAATAGAAAACAACAAAAAGATTTTTCAAAGAGGAGCAGATTTTTGACTATGTACAATTACAATACTATAGATATGATACACACACCTCAGTGAGAGGTCAAGTAAGAAGTATATATATGTACAGGATTGCTATATTGAAGAGGAGGTGAAGGGACACTGTCTCTACTATAACAAAAAGGAAGAATAAAGGTAGATTTATCTGGTCACTGGAAGATTAGAATGTATAATAGCAGACATATTCCAGTTTAATTGAACATCAAATTAGGAAATAACAAGGAGACCCTACAGCTCCTTATTTATAAAAACCTATTTTAAATTGGAGACAGTATTTTTCTTTCAGGAAAAGAAATACCAAAATAAAGGGACTTTTTTGGGGGGGAGATATTTTGTTGTTCTTATTGTCTTATTTTCCAACATGCTTCTTCTGTTCTTCCTACCTGTGGTGCTGAATGTCTCAATGTACTCACTTCCTAATAGAGGCATCATTATATATTCCATAAAATCTTGTCAGGTACGATTTAATTCTGAAAACTCATCGAGGGGTTTCTAGCCTCTGGAACTTAAGGAAATCAAGGTGTATTAGGTCTATAATTTGGAAATAAATATAGCCTCAGTCATGAATCGGGAATTTGTTAAAAGAGAAAATTCCCTGTGAACTGAGAGAAGCACAATCTCACACTTTGTAAAATATAGAACTTTTGGCCAGATTTCCCTAAAACGATATCAAGTATATCTTTCTTTGGGAAATTCCTGCACATTAAAATTATTAAAAGCAGATCATCAAAGCATGTGAATTATATTTTTATCCTTCATTACTGAATGTAGTTTGAAGTAGTAGCAATATATTATTAGAGTTAATATTTAGAGAGTATGGTATTAGATGCTGGAGTACTAAATGGTAAATTCACATAGAACTTACTTTCAAATGGCTTATTAACTTAGTTGATAGCAGCTTAATTAGATATTTTAAAACAGAAGCTAATATTATCGTTTTTACTGATAATTTTAAAGGCTTTAGTGCTTTAGGAATTAAAGGGTTGCATTAGTCAGGATTCTCCAGAGAATCCTGGAGATGTAGGTATAGATGTAAATATAGATATAGATGTAAATATATAGATATAGATACACAAACTTATCATAAGGACTTGGATAACATGATTATGAAGGCTGAGACATTCCAGCCTAGGTCCAAAGGCCTGAGAAAGAGGAGAGCCAAATGGTTTGTAAGTCCCAGTCTAAATCCAAGTCTGAAGTCAGGAGAAGACCAATGTCTCAGCTCAAGACTATCAGGCAGAGACAAAGAATTCTTTTCTCTTATTTCTTTTCTTTTCCTTTTCTTTCTTTCTTTCTTTCTTTTTTTTTCTTTGAGCGAATTCCCTGTCGTTCAGCCTTTTGTTGTATTCAGGCCTTCAGCAGATTGGAAGAGGTCCATCCACATTGGGGAGGGCAATCTGCTTTTCTCAGTCTACCAATTCAAATATTAGTATCATTCAGGAACACACTCACAGATACACCCAGAATATTTAACCAAATCAGGGAACCCTGTGGCCCAGTCAAGTTGACACATAAAATAAACCATCACAGGCGTGGACAGTCATTGAGAAATCAGATACTCAAGGAAGGCCTTACTGAGAAATCTTAGCTGGCTGAGTAACGTTCCCTAACATTGTCATTCTAGGTCTAACAACATGCAGGAGTATCCACACAGCAGTGAAGTTCTGTACGTGTTTCTAATGCAGTTCTGCCATTTATTACCCAGAGCAGGCACAGCCTTCACAGGCTGGGGGCACAGTCCTCCATAAGGCTCTTATCACTCCAGATGCCAGCTATGTATTCTCAGGCCACCCACACTACAGACCAACTAGCTACAAATTTGAGGGTTCCCACTACCTTCGCAGGTTGAATAATTACCTGAAACAACTCATAGGAGTCAGGAAACTGTTTTACTTATGATTATAGTTCAACATCCTAACCCCCATGTAACTGGACTCGGAGATAGGACCATTAAGGAAATAATTAAGGTAAAATGAGCTCATAAACATAGCCCCCTGATCTGCTAGAACTGGTGCCCTTTTAAGAAGAGGAAAGGACACCTGTGATCAATCTCTCTCTCTCTCTCTCTTCATGTGCACAGAGGAAGGGCCATATAAGAACACCGTCAGAAGATGGCTTCACCAGAAAACAACCCTAATGGCACCTTGATCTTGAACTTCTAGCCTCCAGAGCTGTCAGAAAATAAATGTCTGTTGTTTAAGCCACCCAGCATGTGGTCTTTTATTTATTTATTTATTTTATTTTATTTTATTTATTATTATTATACTTTAAGTTTTAGGGTACATGTGCACAATGTGCAGGTTAGTTACATATGTATACATGTGCCAAGCTGGTGTGCTGCACCCACTAACTTGTCTTCTAGCATTAGGTATATCTCCCAATGCTATCCCTCCCCCCTCCCCCCACCCCACAACAGTTCCCCAGAGTGTGATGTTCCCCTTCCTGTGTCCATGTGTTCTCATTGTTCAATTCCCACCTATGAGTGAGAATATGCAGTGTTTGGTTTTTTGTTCTTGCGATAGTTTACTGAGAATGATGATTTCCAATTTCATCCATGTCCCTACAAAGGACATGAACACATGATTTTTTATGGCTGCATAGTATTCCATGATGTATATGTGCCACATTTTCGTAATCCAGTCTATCCTTGTTGGACATTTGGGTTGTTTCCAAGTCTTTGCTATTGTGAATAATGCCGCAATAAACATATGTGTGCATGTGTCTTTATAGAAGCATGATTTATAGTCCTTTGAGTATATACCCAGTAATGGGATGGCTGGGTCAAATGGTATTTCTAGTTCTAGATGCCAGAGGAATCGCCACACTGACTTCCACAATGGTCGAACTAGTTTACAGTCCCATCAACAGTGTAAAAGTGTCCCTATTTCTCCACATCCTCTCCAGCACCTGTTGTTTCCTGACTTTTTAATGATTGCCATTCTAACTGGTGTGAGACACGGTATCTCATTGTGGTTTTGATTTGCATTTCTCTGATGGCCAGTGATGGTGAGCATTTTTTCATGTGTTTTTTGGCTGCATAAATGTCTTCTTTTGAGAAGTGTCTGTTCATATCCTTCGCCCACTTTTTGATGGGGTTGTTTGTTTTTTTCTTGTAAATTTGTTTGAATTCATTGTAGATTCTGGATATTAGCCCTTTGTCAGAGGAGTAAGTTGTGAAAATTTTCTCCCATTTTGTAGGTTGCCTGTTCACTCTGATGGTAGTTTCTTTTGCTGTGCAGAAGCTCTTTAGTTTAATTAGATCCCATTTGTCAATTTTGGCTTTTGTTGCCATTGCTTTTGGTGTTTTAGACAGGAAGTCCTTGCCCATGCCTATGTCCTCAATGGTAATGCCTGGGTTTTCTTCTAGGGTTTTTATGGTTTTAGGTCTAATGTTTAAGTCTTTAATCAATCTTGAATTGATTTTTGTATAAGGTGTAAGCAAGGGATCCAGTTTCAGCTTTCTACATATGGCTAGCCAGTTTTCCCAGCACCATTTATTAAATAGGGAATCCTTTCCCCATTGCTTGTTTTTCTCAGGTTTGTCAAAGATCAGATAGTTGTAGATATGCGGTGTTAATTCTGAGGGCTCTGTTCTGTTCCATTGATCTATAGCTCTGTTTTGGTACCAGTACCATGCTGTTTTGGTTACTGTAGCCTTGTAGCATAGTTTGAAGTCAGGTAGTATGATGCCTCCAGCTTTGTTCTTTTGGCTTAGGATTGACTTGGCGATGCAGGCTCTTTTTTGGTTCCATATGAACTTTAAAGTAGTTTTTTCCAATTCTGTGAAGAAAGTCATTGGTAGCTTGATGGGGCTGGCATTGAATCTGTAAATTACCTTGGGCAGTATGCCCATTTTCACGATATTGATTCTTCCTACCCATGAGCATGGAATGTTCTTCCATTTCTTTGTATCCTCTTTTATTTCCTTGAGCAGTGGTTTGTAGTTCTTCTTAAAGAGGTCCTTCACGTCCCTTGTAAGTTGGACTCCTAGGTATTTTATTCTCTTTGAAGCTATTGTGAATGGGAGTTCACTCATGATTTGGCTCTCTGTTTGTCTGTTGTTGGTGTATAAAAATGCTTGTGATTTTTGTACATTGATTTTATATCCTGAGACTTTGCTGAAGTTGCTTATCAGCTTAAGGAGATTTTGGGCTGAGACAATGGGGTTTTCTAGATGTACAATCATGTTATCTGCAAACAGGGACAATTTGACTTCCTCTTTTCCTAATTGAATACCCTTTATTTCCTTCTCCTGCCTAATTGCCCTGGCCAGAACTTCCAACACTATGTTGAATAGGAGTGGTGAGAGAGGGCATCCCTGTCTTGTGCCAGTTTTCAAAGGGAATGCTTCCAGTTTTTGCCCATTCAGTATGATATTGGCTGTGGGTTTGTCATAGATAGCTCTTATTATTTTGAGATATGTCCCATCAATACCTAATTTCTTGAGAGTTTTTAGCATGAAGGGTTGTTGAATTTTGTCAAAGGGCTTTTCTGCATCTATTGAGATAATCATGTGGTTTTTGTCTTTGGTTCTGTTTATATGCTGGATTACATTTATTGATTTGCGTATATTGAACCAGCCTTGCATCCCAGGGATGAAGCCCACTTGGTCATGTTGGATAAGCTTTTTGATGTGCTGCTGGATTTGGTTTGCCAGTATTTTATTGAGGATTTTTGCATCAATGTTTATCAAGGATATTGGTCTAAAATTCTCTTTTTTGGTTGTGTCTCTGCCCAGCTTTGGTATCAGGATGATGCTGGCCTCATAAAATGAGTTAGGGAGGATTCCCTCTTTTTCTATTGATTGGAATAGTTTCAGAAGGAATGGTACCAGCTCCTCCTTGTACCTCTTGTAGAATTCGGCTGTGAATCCATCTGGTCCTGGACTCTTTTTGGTTGGTAAGCTATTGATTATTGCCACAATTTCAGCTCCTGTTATTGGTTTATTCAGAGATTCAACTTCTTCTGGTTTAGTCTTGGGAGAGTGTATGTGTCAAGGAATTTATCCATTTCTTCTAGATTTTCTAGTTTTTTTGCGTAGAGGTGTTTGTAGTATGCTCTGATGGTAGTTTGTATTTCTGTGGGATCGGTGGTGATATCCCCTTTATCATTTTTTATTGCGTCTATTTGATTCTTCTCTCTTTTTTTCTTTATTAGTCTTGCTAGCGGTCTATCAATTTTGTTGATCCTTTCAAAAAACCAGCTCCTGGATTAATTAATTTTTTGAAGGGTTTTTTGTGTCTCTATTTCCTTCAGTTCTGCTCTGATTTTAGTTATTTCTTGCCTTCTCCTAGCTTTTGAATGTGTTTGCTCTTGCTTTTCTAGTTCTTTTAATTGTGATGTTAGGGTGTCAATTTTGGATCTTTCCTGCTTTCTCTTGTGGGCATTTAGTGCTATAAATTTCCCTCTACACACTGCTTTGAATGCATCACAGAGATTCTGGTAAGTTGTGTCTTTGTTCTCATTGGCTTCAAAGAACATCTTTATTTCTGCCTTCATTTTTTTATGTACCCAGTAGTCATTCAGGAGCAGGTTGTTCAGTTTCCATGTAGTTGAGCGGTTTTGAGTGAAATTCTTAATCCTGAGTTCTAGTTTGATTGCACTGTGGTCTGAGAGATAGTTTGTTATAATTTCTGTTCTTTTACATTTGCTGAGGAGAGCTTTACTTCCAACTATGTGGTCAATTTTGGAATAGGTGTGGTGTGGTGCTGAAAAAAATGTATATTCTGTTGATTTGGGGTGGAGAGTTCTGCAGATGTCTATTAGGTCTGCTTGGTGCAGAGCTGAGTTCAATTCCTGGGTATCCTTGTTGACTTTCTGTCTCGTTGATCTGTCTAATGTTGACAGTGGGGTGTTAAAGTCTCCCATTATTATTGTGTGGGAGTCTAAGTCTCTTTGTAGGTCACTCAGGACTTGCTTTATGAATCTGGGTGCTCCTGTATTGGGTGCATATATATTTAGGATAGTTAGCTCTTCTTGTTGTATTGATCCCTTTACCATGATGTAATGGCCTTCTTTGTCTCTTTTGATCTTTGTTGGTTTAAAGTCTGTTTTATCAGAGACTAGGATTTCAACCCCTGCCTTTTTTTGTTTTCCATTTGCTTGGTAGATCTTCCTCCATCCTTTTATTTTGAGCCTATGTATGTCTCGGCACGCGAGATGGGTTTCCTGAATACAGCACACTGATGGGCCTTGACTCTTTATCCAATTTGCCAGTCTGTGTCTTTTAATTGGAGCATTTAGTCCATTTACATTTAAAGTTAATATTGTTATGTGTGAATTTGATCCTGTCATTATGATGTTAGCTGGTTATTTTGCTCGTTAGTTGATGCAGTTTCTTCCTAGTCTCGATGGTCTTTACATTTTGGCCTGATTTTGCAGTGGCTGGTACCGGTTGTTCCTTTCCATGTTTAGCGCTTCCTTCAGGAGCTCTTTTAGGGCAGGCCTGGTGGTGACAAAATCTCTCAGCATTTGCTTGTCTGTAAAGTATTTTATTTCTCTTTCACTTATGAGGCTTAGTTTGGCTGGATATGAAATTCTGGGTTGAAAATTCTTTTCTTTAAGAATGTTGAATATTGTCCCCCATTCTCTTCTGGCTTGTAGGGTTTCTGCCGAGAGATCCACTGTTAGTCTGATGGGCTTCCCTTTGAGGGTAACCCGACCTTTCTTTCTGGCTGCCCTTAACATTTTTTCCTTCATTTCAACTTTGGTGAATCTGACAATTATGTGTCTTGGAGTTGCTCTTCTCCAGGAGTATCTTTGTGGTGTTCTCTGTATTTCCTGAATCTGAATGTTGGCCTGCCTTGCTAGATTGGGGAAGTTCTCCTGGATAATATCCTGCAGAGTGTTTTCCAACTTGGTTCCATTCTCGCCATCACTTTCAGGTACACCAATCAGACGTAGATTTGGTCTTTTCACATAGTCCCAAATTTCTTGGAGGCTTTGTTCATTTCTTTTTATTCTTTTTTCTCTAAACTTCCCTTCGCTTCATTTCATTCATTTCATCTTCCATCCCTGATACCCTTTCTTCCAGTTAATCGCATCAGCTCCTGAGGCTTCTGCATTCTTCACGTAGTTCTCGAGCCTTGGCTTTCAGCTCCATCAGCTCCTTTAAGCACTTCTCTGTATTGGTTATTCTAGTTATACATTCTTCTAAATTTTTTTCAAAATTTTCAACTTCTTTGCCTTTGGTTTGAATGTCCTCCCGTAGCTCAGAGTAATTTGATCGTCTGAAGCCTTCTTCTCTCAGCTCGTCAAAGTCATTCTCCATCCAGCTTTGTTCCATTGCTGGTGAGGAACTGCGTTACTTTGGAGGAGGAGAGGCACTCTGCTTTTTAGAGTTTCCAGTTTTTCTGCTCTGTTTTTCCCCCATCTTTGTGGTTTTATCTACTTTTGGTCTTTGATGATGGTGATGTACAGATGGGTTTTTGGTGAGGATGTCCTTTCTGTTTGTTAGTTTTCCTTCTAACAGACAGGACCCTCAGCTGCAGGTCTGTTGGAGTACCCAGCTGTGTGAGGTGTCAGTCTGCCCCTGCTGGGGGTGCCTCCCAGTTAGGCTGCTTGGGGGTCAGGGGTCAGGGACCCACTTGAGGAGGCAGTCTGCCCGTTCTCAGATCTCCAGCTGCGTGCTGGAAGAACCACTGCTGTCTTCAAAGCTGTCAGACAGAGACTTTTAAGTCTGCAGAGTTTACTGCTGTCTTTTGGTTTGTCTGTGCCCTGCCCCCAGAGGTGGAGCGTACAGAGGCAGGCAGGCCTCCTTGAGCTGTGGTGGGCTCCACCCAGTTCGAGCTTCCTGGCTGCTTTGTTTACCTAAGCAAGCCTGGGCAATGGCGGGCGCGCCTCCCCTAGCCTGGCTGCTGACTTGCAGTTTGATCTCAGACTGCTGTGCTAGCAATCAGTGAGACTCCGTGGGCGTAGGACCCTCTGAGCCACATGTGGGATATAATCTCCTGGTGCGCCGTTTTTTAAGCCCGTCAGAAAAGCGCAGTCTTTGGGTGGGAGTGACCCGATTTTCCAGGTGCCGTCTGTCACCCCTTTCTTTGACTAGGAAAGGGAACTCCCTGACCCCTTGCGCTTCCCAAGTGAGGCAATGCCTCGCCCTGCTTCAGCTCATGCACGGTGCATGCACCCACTGTCCTGCACCCACTGTCTGGCACTCCCTAGTGAGATGAACCTGGTACCTCAGATGGAAATGCAGAAATCACCTGTCTTCTGTGTGGCTCATGCTGGAAGCTGTAGACAGGAGCTGTTCCTATTCGGCCATCTTGGCTCCTCCTCCCAGCGTGTGGTATCTTGCTAAGGCAGCCCAAATATACTAATACAACATCTATTAATGTTACAAACTCAACAATTACTATTCTAATTATTACTTTACTCTCTCTTATTTCCTCAGCCCACTGCACTTTTGCTTCCATCCACCTTCTTTGTGCTGTTATGGATAAAATTTTTTCTTTGAGCACTTTGTTAATCTGCTGCCTTCTGGCTCCATTGTTTCTGCTGAGAGGTAATCTTTTAATCTGATTGGGGTTCCTTCATAAATGATGAGTCATTCTTCTCTTGCTGCTTTCAAGATTTTCTCCTTATCTTTGACTTTCAGCATTTTTGCTATGTGTCTATTGGTGGACATCTTTGTATTTATCCTAGTTGGAGTTCTTTGAGCTCCCTGGGATATGTAGGTTGTTGTTTTTCAGTAAATTGGGAAGTTTTATGTCAACCATGAGTTCCACATCTAACAAATCTATCTTTCGAAAACAAAGAAAAGAGAAGGACTTAGATAAACACAAACTAGGAGAATTTGTTGCTAGCAGACAGTGATGGTTAATTTTATGTATCTGGTTAGAACTATAATATATGGATAGGAAATTTATGTAGATTTGCCTTTCATCTCAACCTTCGCTGTTCTTAAGGGCACCCTTAGGTTTGAACTTCTCCACACTCTGTATAAATGAAATCAGTTATTTTGGGAAGAGATTAGAAGCTATCTTTTTAATGGGCTTGTTCTCACCAAGGCAAAAACTTCTGAGCCAGAGATCTGGAGCTGTGGTTGGGAACAATGGCAAGCTTCTCTTTGAGGCACACTTTTGAACTTGGTGCTGAGCACATGGTAATGAGGAGCAGCAGCAGCCTGAGATCCTCTGGGCCTGTCTCTTCTGATATGGAAGTTCCTCTTCACAAACCAGGATATAAACAATCAGAGCCCTAGAATTCTCAACATTGTTGAACTTCTAGTAGAACCTCCATTCCATGAGATAGAAAGGAGGGGCCCCCAACCTCTCAACTGCACTTACTCAGGATTTAGCCTCAACTTTAAGAGGCTTGAGTCAGGATAAAAATAATATAGTCCTACTCTTCTCAGGAAGATAGCCCTACAACTGGGACTGAGAGAGAGAGAGAGAGAGAGAGAAGGAGAGAAGGAGCTTGTGTGTTTTGAGATGAGGGAAGGGGGTAGTTTTGATTCAAGTACCACAGACTCTTGCCTTTCTTACAGAATTTTCGTAGTTTTTTTTTTTTAATAAATATTTCTTCTTTTGGCATTTACCTTATGGCCATTTCAAGAAGCTTTAAATTTTTAAACTTTATTAGAAAGCAGGGTAGTGGAGATGCTTTCAGTGTCATTATACCAGAGATTAATTTGTCATGACCTTAAAATCTTTTACATTAAATAAAGCAACAATGTGATTAATAAACATCTTGATATAATAAACATTCCATAAATTATGATGTATAATTAGTATTAGTCTATTCCTGCTGACATATTTTTTACCCCAATTTCACTCTTCATATTTAACACTTGGCATTTTTTTCAAGTGCCAACTTGGATCCCTTTAGTAATAATTCTTGTTATCAAACTCAGTTATACTGCTTCAGACTGAGGTAAATACAATTTTTTGTCTCTAAACAAATGATGTCAAAGTTCAGCATTCTCACTAGATTTCTCACCTGTTCTCAAAAAAAATCCCACCAAAAACCAGATAGGAAGAAAGGGATATGTGTCTTTAGATGAGGTTAATATTTGGAGCAAGGGAGAGATGGGAACATGCGTGAGATAGTCACAGAATATGAGTCAGTTATTTTAGCAGTAGATTCTTTTTGGTAGGGAGCATGTGAAGTGAAGAAGAAACTGATGGCCTTAAGTGGTACAATGAGGAGTTAAGACAATATTCTGAAAGAAACTTAGGAGCTATAGCCCAAAAGACCAATAGTGAAGGAAGTTTTTCCCAACTATCAAAATCCAACAACAGTACTAAAATCTTAGGTGGACATTGTGATTGTAGGTATAATTTAAAATTTTTTATCCCACCCATTCAATAATTAGCTAAGTACAGTGAGAGGCCATAAGTTAAGTCAATCTTCCACATGTAGGCCAGGTATCACTGTTAGATGCTATTGCAGACATAATATACCTCTCTGTATTAGTCCATTCTCACACTGCTACAAAGAACTACCTGAGACTGGGTAATTTATGAAGAAAAGAGATTTAAGTGACTCACAATTCTGCAGGCTGTACAAGAAGCATGACTTGGAGGCCTCAGGAAACTTACAATCATGTCAGAAGGTGAAGGGGAAGCAAGTACATCTTATCATGGCAGAGCAGGAGAAAGAGAGAGAAGAGGGAAGTTCTACACACTTTTAAACAACTAGATCTCATGAAAACTCACTCACTATCATGAGAACAGCAAGGGAGAAATGTGCCCCCATGATCCAATCACCTCCCACCAGGTCCCTCCCCCAGCATTGGGAATTACAATTTCACATGAGATTTGGATGGGGACACAGAGCCAAACCCTATTACTCTCATTCATGGTAGTGTTCACAGCTATAACTTCACATTTACTGTATGTTTATTTGATTTATGTCTACCTTCTCACAAATATGAAATCCAGAGGGCAGGAAATGTGTAGTGTGTATTTATTTGTCATTTATATCTCCACTGTCTACTTCAATGTCTAGGTAATGGTACCAGCTCAATACACATTCCTTGCATAAGTGAGTAGATAGGTAGACAGAAGATGCATAAACTAATAAATGAGTGAGTAGATGTTTTTAAATCACCAATCATCTTAGTTTGCTGCATGTTAAATTTGAGATGTTTGAGGCCTTTTTCCTATTGTCAAACTCAGTGAAGAAAAAAACCTATATTCCTTTAATTGCAAAAAGACCTTATATGTCTTTCCTTGGAGATGGTATAGCTATTCAGAGGTTAGTGAAGCTCACCAAATGAGAGGTACCCCTGGAGACAGGTAAAGGTTTATGTTATCGAGTGTACTGACCATGCTGGCTAGGGCCATGTAAAATCATTCTAAGAACTCAATCTTTAAATAATCATTTTTATTCTTAATAAAATATAGATAGCTTCCCCAATGCAAAACTGCTGAGCACTGTTTTTCCAATCCATCAAAGTGTAAAGCTAGTCTATACACAAATCAATTTTGGGGGTGTGCAAAGGGGAGGAAAGGAAACTACCAAGACAAAAATATCCATTAAAAGTGCAAAGTGCAGTAATGATTAGGAGTCTATACATACTCAACCCTCACAAATGGCAGCAACCAAATTTCTCAGTAATCCTCCCTTGAGTAGGTCAAGGCAGAAAGGATTAGCTGAAGGTGAATGGACAGTAATGGAATCTGATCAATTGCCCTCAGTATGCTTTAGACATCTCAAAGTGTCAAAGCAGCTTGATCCAATTGGTTGTGTCAAGGGTTGTCTTGTCAGAAATTCAATTCACGTAAGTTGAGAAACCAAACAAACTTACACTTCTCAAGGGCAAGCTTTGTTGGAAATAGGAAGCAGATACCCTGCAGATTTCAAACAATTTGCATGGGATGCATCCTAATATTAATGTTTTCCATTTACATGAAAAAAAAATGGTCTCATCTAACACCACGTCCCCAAAGTCTCCTGCTATCTTTAGATCCAGTTATGGTGGGTTTTATCTCACTTAACATTGGCAATCAAGTTTTATTTCTTTTTTATTTTTTAAGCTCATGAAACCAAGCTAAAGAAGTATTATCAGTCCAGGTGTGGTGGCTCACACCTGTAATCCCAGCACTTTGGTAGGCCAAGGTGGGCGGATAACCTGAGGTCAGGACTTCAAGACCAGCCTTGCCAACATGGTGAAACCCCGTCTCTACTAAAAATGCAAAAGTTAGCCAGGCATGGTTGCACAAGCCTGTAATCCCAACTACTTGGGAGGCTGAGGCAGGAGAGTCACTTGAACCCAGGAGGAGGAGGCTACAGCGAGCCAAGATTGTGCCACTGGACTCCAGCCTGGGCAACAGAGTAAGACTCTGTCTGAAAAAAAAATTAAGAAGCATTATCAAATCTTGGGTCTATGCCTACCATAGCCAGATAATTTCTAGCAAGTACAGACTCAGAGATCTAGGACTTAGCAGAAGACTAAACATGCCCAGGAAAGGGGTTCACTCTGGACAGAGCAGCTCTAAATGCTGGTGTTGAAGGCAGCATCACTCTGACTGGCTAACCTGACACAATGTTGTGGCATAAAATGAAGCAGTCCTAGCTGGGAGTGGTCTACTCTAGAAGATTAGAGTATAGCATATAAAGAGAGACCCAGCAGAGAAAGACCTTCATGGATCCTAAGAAGCAGGCAATTAACATTAAAGATAGCACCTTAGGCATGACTATAGTCCTAGCAAGCATTTTTATTCCTTCCTTCCTTCCTCCATTCACTGACTCAACAATATTTTTGAGTACCTATTATGTGACAAGCACTAGGAATATAATGTGTTTAAAAAGGTGGTTGGTTGCAGTGCCAGTTACATGGAAGGCTGAGGCAGGAGGATTGCTTGAACTCAGAAGTTTGAGTCCAGCTTAGAAAACATAGTGAGACTCCCATCTCTATTTTTATTTTACCGTGATTCTTGCCCTCATATATTTCACTATCTATTGGGGAAGATGGGCATTCTTATAAAAAGCACGCAATAGATGCATTATCATAAACAATGTTTAAATATAAGAATCAGAATCTCATAGGACTATGAGTGTGATAATAAGAAGCCCTGGAGTAGACTGGTTTGTATGGTGAAGACTTGTTTCACAGGAGGAGACATGTGAACTAAGATGTGAAGAACCAGAAAGAAAATGGGAGCCAGGAGACATTCTTAAAGGAGGCTCAGGGCTCTCATATGGAAGATGATTGTGCATTTGAAGAATGAAAGGAGGCCAGGGAAGGTGAATCACAGAAAACAAGGAGATTGACAAAGGGGCTGAGGAGGAAGCAAGCTTGTGAATCATGGTAAGGATTTTGGTCTTTATTATAAAATAAATACAAAGATATTGAAGGTTTTAAATGAAATGATGACATGATTGGGTGTGTTTTTAAAAGATGACTCTGATTGAAACCTGGGGAAAGGCTTGTGGATCAGGAGGGTGGAAAGAGAAAGAAAAAAGTGATCCTGGGGGTGGGGGAACTTAGAAAGCTTTTAGTGTTTATTTGTTTTCTGATGAGAAATGATGGCAGTTTGGATTAGGGTGCTGCAGGAGATGATGCAGGGAGGTGGACATATTAGAGGAGGTAAGATCAACAAGAGTGGTGATGGATTGAATGGGGTGTGTGGGTGGCTAATAGAGAGGTGTCAGAATTACTCCTCCTTTATTGCAGAAGTACCTAGATAACAGTACGGTTTACCAAAATAAAGAAGACGAGGTTGGGATGGAGTAAAAGAGAGGATTGAGTGCAGTTTTAGACACCCTAAATATGAATTCCCTTGAGACAATCTAGGAGAGATGGAGAGAAAATAGTTGGACATTTGAGTCTACAGCTCAGAGTAGAGATCTGGGCTAGTCACATAACATTGGGAGTTATTTGCATGCAGGTGATTGTTGATGGTGGAAGCATTTGGTGAGTGTCAGATTGCCTAGGGAGAGAGTACAGATTGAGGAAAAAAAAGCTGTAAGAACCAAGCCTTGAAAACTACCAACACTTAGAAGTTAGGAACAAGAAAATGAACCAAAAAGATACTAGAAGTAGTGAGCAGAGTTATAGAAAAGAAGTCAGAAGTGTGCGTGATATATCACAGAAAACAAGGAAAGAGTATTTTAAGAAGGAGGGAGTGATCAACAATATTGAATACTGGTAAGAAATCAAGTACGATGAGGACTGAAAAAATGTTCATTTAATAGTGACATGGAGGTCACTAGTAACTACAAAGAGCTTTTTTAGTGGAATTTTTGTGATTGTTGATATTGTTTTCTCTCCAGATCAATGAGCCTCTTTCTCTCGCAATCAATAAACCTATTGCCTTGCTGATTAATGAATTAACAAAGAATTTTAGCATAAAGCAAGTTTGAAAGGCAGAAGGTAGGAGGCAGATGAGGGAAGGAAGGAAGATGTGCTGTGGAGATATTCTAGGAAGTGTGTTAAAAATGCAGATAACCTGTATCCAACTTCCAAAGATTTTTACGCAATAGGTCTAGGGTGGGGTAAAGGAAGCCCTCTGTAGATAGGTCCCGTGACCATGTCTCCCAGTATTCTTGTCCTCATGGGGTTCTCCATACTGGCTCTGGGGCTTGTCCTTCTGGTTGACTTAGGCCAGTGGGACATTAATGTGAAGCAAGTGAAGGCATAAGAAGGGCTTACCTGCTGGAGCCTGTCATCTGAGAATGTTCCTTCTTGGAACCCAGCCAGCAATGCTGAGAAAGTCCTGATTGCACTGTGAAGAAGCCCACTGGGGGAACTGTAACCTAGCTAAGCTGAAAGCCCCAGATGAGCTTGCAGCAAGCAATGAGTACTAACTTGTTGAGTGAGGCTATTTTGAGCCTTTCCCAGATCCCACCATCTCTGTCAACCTACTTGATGCAGAACTACCTGTTCGGCTCACAAAATCACGAATACATAACGGCTTGTTTTTGTTTTACAACATTAAGTTTTGGAATGCTGTGTTATGCATCAGTGGAAACTGAAAGTGTCCCCATTTTAGCAAACTCCCCAGGTAATTCTAATGATACTTTTCTACAACATAATGTATTAGCCCATTTCACATTTGCCACCATCTTCTATCCTCTTGTTCCTTCTCTCCCTTCTTCAGATTCTGCTCTTTTCAGCTCTCTGAATGGAGGCATGGAAGATGAGAGGATTGAGCAGAAATCTGAAATATTCCCTCACTAATCCATAGCCCCTCTTTCCTCATTTCTAAAATACAGATGGCATCCACTCTATCACAGGGAAAAGTGAGGTGATATGAATGTGGGATCTGACATTTGGGAAACTTAGCTCCCTTTTCCCTGTCACCTGTTTGTTTTTTCCCTTGAAGTACTCCTTAGCATATACATCCAAGCTATTTTACTAATCTTTGACAACCTCCACTTTTATTGTCTTCACAGTTATCTATGCTTATAAACAGTAGGGCTTTTTATAGATTTACAAATACAGTATTAATAGGATTTCCGGAGGGATTAGTCTCTTTCCTGAAAATCATCTATACTAAAATGCCATCTTATAGTAAAGCAATCATTTGATGAAGTCAGGTGTGTAGGGGCTGCAGGATGAGTGCTCTCTCCCTGCACCTGAAGGTTTCAAGCACTGTGGATTTTGCATAATAGAAAACTTCTGGCTTTAGAGACACCCAGGAGAAGCCAAAATTCCTATTATGTTTCTAAGCTCTTCTTTTCTGCTTGAACAAGTAACAGCATCATTCACCTATACAAGCTATCAGTAGGAAATTTTGATACTCTCTCCCTCAGGACAAATCTAAAATAAATCATCAGGAGCCTGTAATGGTACCAGGCTCTCAAACAACTGGAGTCCCCAGGCATTTCTCAGGATGGATAAGGAACCTGTGAAACTCACTGTGTTCCCCCTTCCCCTCTGAGCCCTCGGTGACCTGTTATTGTGGCGGATCGCTGGTTGTTCTGCTTCAGAGTTGCTCATGCAAGTGATTGGAGGTAGAGCACAGGCTGCAACCTAATCAAGCCAAGGGCTGCACAGCTGGGAATTCACTTGTGTGGCTGGGGTTAGTAATATGCATCATAGTCACACTGGACAGCTCAAGGAACTTAGTGGGGAATTTGGATTACTGGGGAAGTGGGGGAAGGTTTTAGTTTTCTAAAATCACTAAAGGGGGGCTTTGTGAGATCTGCCACCAGCTTGCTAGTACACCATTTCACACCACTCATTTGACACATAATCCTTTAACAGGTAAGAAGGTGACACGGCTGACATGAGTTAGAGAGAAAGATGGTAGGCAGGATCACTCTAGAGTTTGAATCACTTAAAAATATTTTTTCCTGAAATTTATTCTAGAGAAAAAAAAAACAAAAAAACAAAACAATAGTCCCTTGTTCCCGAGTAGACTAAGAGGTGCTGTAGCTGAATTGCAAGGAAATGCAGATTCCTGGTCCTCATATCCAGAAATTGTAATTCAAAGGGTCTAGGAGGGGCTTAGAAATCTGTGTTTACTAAGCCTTCTTAAGGCAGTGCTGTTGCAAGGGATGGTGGCAATATCATCTGTCTTACTCAATGTCTTTCTCTGGGATACTAAAGGAAGTTTGTTAACAGCATCAGCTTCTCTTTGCCTCTACTCTTAACCCTCCAGTCACTGATAAACAAATAATTATTCATTCATTCATAAGTATTCACTATGTGTAGACCCTATTAGATGCTGAGGATACAGAAATGAATATGACATGGTCCCAATAAAATAAGCAGACTACTAGGGAGAATAGACATGTAATCATGAAAGTTTATACAAGATAAGTGATAGTTCCAAAAGCAGAGTGATTAACTCTGCCTGAAACTGTCAAAAAAAAAGTCTTTGGAAAAATGATGCTACTCGATCTGAATTCCGTACGAGGCATGGGAATTCTCTGGGAGACAGAGGTAGAACTCACCTCGTTGCGAAAACACCCCAAGTATCATTTCTTTCTCCTCATAACCAATGACACATCTGCATTCCTGGTTTGTGGCCTGGGAACATTTAAGAATCACCAATGGGGCTAAAACCAAACCAAACAAAATTTTACTCAGTGTGGTGGACACTGTAAGGTGCTGCTTATATCTACCTTCAGGTTTCTAGCAGAGGGCCTTCCACTGTGAGTCCCTATGTAGATTTCTGAGGCTAAAGACTAATGTCTCATTTCCTTCCCTGGGGGAGCCAGCTTTCCATGACTGATCAGTGTGGAGGTTTAAACATCCAGTTCCCTCATCCCAGATAATAACAACTCTAAAAGGTCATCTGAGGTTCACAGTCCTGTGGATTGTCTAAGGCCTCTGTTGAGATTGCTTCACAGCTCATCTCTCTCTGCCCAATCTCCTTCCCTTTCAGAGATGTCACTCTCCAGAGCCCTCCTTAATATATCCCCTGAATGCTAATCTTTTTTCCTGGGGAACCCATTCTATGACACTGGCCTCCTTCTGCAGAACCCTGAGTACAATTGTTCTGCCAGCAGTAGCCGGCATAGTTTTGTGAAGCTCCATAGGTGATTCTGAGGCATATCTCTTTAAGAACCACTAAGTGGTCTTCTCAAAATAAGATCTGAAAACCTCTTGCAACAGAATCATCTTAAGCACGTTTATTAAATGAAGATTCCTGGACCCCCTCCTAGACCCTTTGAATTATAATTTCTGGATACAAAAACAGGGAATCTGCATTTTTAACAAGTTCCTGGCTTTCTTCATATGCACACTGCTGTGTGAAACCACTAAAGTTAATCCCAGGCCTTCATGAAGTATGTATTCTTTCATAGTTAAGCAAATAAAAGAATAGGATTTTCCTCCTCGACCATAAGACTCTGCTCCTTGTATCACATGCAGACTTGGGTAAACAAGATTCAGCAAGAGAAATGCTGGGGTTACACCTGGACCACCTGTTATCCACCCATGCTCAGTATCTGGGTCTTGATTCAGTGAACTCTGGCCATGTGCCAGAAGAGGATGTGCCTTTTAAGGACTTTTTTTCTTTTTTTTCTTTAGCATCTGAACATTTCTTTTTGGTAGCCCTAGTGCACACTAGGTCTCTGATTTTGATCATTGCATTTTTCCCTGCTGGCAAGCAGTCAACGTCAAAGATAGAGAGACATTGCTCAATGTATCCTAACCCTTTCAAATGGAAGCCTCTGGATAATCAAACATGACTCCTGGCAGCTCTTCCAGGCCCTTTCTCTGTCTTTTCCCCTAATATACTTTGCTAATATGTTTTAAAATTATCCTCAGCCATGTTGCCTCAATAACCTTTCCTTGGCAGGCACTCCATTGTCTGAATGGACTCCTAACGTATTTTCCTTCTTACTTCCATCTTTGCTCACTCTTTACTCTTGAAAGGAAGAAGGAAAGAAGGAAGGAAGGAAGGAAGGAAGGAAGGAAGGAAGGAAGGAAGGAAGGAAGGAAGGAAGGATAGAAAGAAAGAAAGAAAGAAAGAAAGAAAGAAAGAAAGAAAGAAAGAAAGAAGACAATAACGATAAAAACAAAGGCTATTGCTTCTCTATGTTCTTTCTTTTCTTCTTCAAATGTTGCTCTAAAGACAGAAGAGAAATAGAGACAGGGTGGTGCAGTTGTTAGCTAAGCCCCTGATATCAAACTCCCAGGGTTCGAATCCTGGTTCTGTTGCTTACTAGCTGTATGATTTTGAGGAAGTTGCATAATCTCCTTGTTTCTTTGTTTTTTTGATCTGTAAGTTTGAGGTAATAGTGCCTACCACCTGGAGCTGTCATGAGGATTCAGTGAATTCTCACATATAATGAACTTTAAGCAGTACCAGGCATGGAGGAGGCAGTGTTCAATACATCCTGTCATTATCATGAATGTGGGCGAATGGGAAACAAGCTACTTGCCTGTTTTTCATTTCTTGGTTCTGTTTGCATCTTTCAAAATTAATTCAAAATAAAACTCATCAAATTCATAAGAAATGGGCAGAAAAGATTTGATCAGAGTGACTTTTCACAGACACCAATAGAATCATGGAGGGTAAATGTACTTAACCCCAGTAAGAACCCAAGAACATGTCAAGATTAAGAGGTTTCAGATCTAATGCCCCTGAAGACAATTTTTTTACCCAAAGCATTAGAGATCAGTGTAGGTTTGAATCCTGTGTTGCAAAGCTATCTGGGTAGTTGTGGGCAAATTATTTAACCAATCAGAACCTCAGTTTCATATTTAAATTGAAATCACTCATCTGCTCCTCATTGGAGGGTAGTAAAGGGAAGTGACAGGTACATGCCAGCTCTGGCCACAGAGATGGCATTAATTAAGCATGAGAGAAATCCAGCAAATATTAAGACAGAGGGAGTTGGAGATGCAGGAAGAAGCAGAGAACACCCACTGTGAATGCCAGAAAGGAAGGGCTTAACGCTGGCCCTGCATGAGCCATGGTGCTACAAACCCAGCATGGGCTATTTAACTCCTCTCTGTTTTGATACTCCCAGCGGTGGCTCCCTCAGGAGTAAATACTGAGGGCTAAGAAATGTATTTGACAAGTGAAAGTCAGTGACGGTCACTCTCCTACACAGCAGGCAGCCCCCGGAACAGGCAACTGTGCCACAGTCCCTGGAGGGAATCATAGCAGATCTTATTTTTAAAAGGCAAATTTCTGACTGTTCACCCCTGCTTTGAATTCCACACATCATTGGGCTTTAATGAACAAAAGGAGCTGGCCCCAGGATCCCCTGCACAGGACTCATTAAATAGACCTGAGTAGATGCCACAAGGTTGCTTTTTTTTCCCCCTAGACAATTACCCTGATGAATTACACATATCCACAAGCTTGGGTACATGTCTCCTCCCCCTGGATTACCTTTCACTGTTATCTTCAGAGATATGTGGGCAAAGAGAAATAATTAGCGCATGTAAAAATAAAAACAGTGTTTCCTAAGTATTTCCTATGTGTCAACACCTTTATGCTTTATCTTTAATTTTCACAACAGCAACAACTTAATATAGTTAGTCTAGTCCCAATTTTACAGCTGAGGATGCTGTAAATAGGTGCAGAGGTGTATAGTCATTTGTCCTAGGTCATACAGCTAGTGAGTAGTTGGCTGGAATGCAGAAGATTTTTTTTTTCCTGGACTCAAGGCCCCTGTTATTTCCATCACAGCATGCTGCCGTTCCTTGGAAATCATTGAGGCTGATGACGATAATAAACAGGAAAGAGAGAGAATAGAGTTTCCCTCATTTGCAAGTAGTCCAAGAGTCTCCCTGGTCATTTTAAAACTAGGTTGACTGTTTCTGCCTATAGACTCCCTAAGAATCAAATGGCAAATAAAACCATTACCTAAGGGCCATGCTTGGGATAGTCTTGCAGTGCTTCTTTGGTTGTAAAGTGATTCAGAGAAATCCAGTAGTGAAGAATTTGTTCTACTTGGCCTCTTGGAAAAACAGAGTTTAAGCACTTCATTTCTGGCATTGCATGAATATATTTAGTCAAATATTTTCATCTTTGTTATCCAGATGAAAGGGATTCAAACATTAAACAAACATCTACTGAGCATCTACTGTGTGACAGTTGCCATTCTAGCACTTGAGGTGTATCACTGAATAAAACAGATAAAGATGTCTGTCTTCAGTGAGCTTATTTTGTCAAATACTCATAAATCCCAAGAATCAGGGAGTCTTAGAAGAGAGGTTGAAGCGACTAGTACTATGAACTGAGTTCCAATTTTTGATACATGGGAATAGCAAATATGCTTTATGTTTCCACAGTTCTAGGTGTCTATGACATAGTAAGCCAAGAGCTGTTGCCAATGGGCCTTCGTAACATACAAAAAGACGTTCTTTGACACTTGCAATGTGTTCAGTAAAGAAGACAAAGGCATAAGGTGTGCTTAGAGGGAAATGTCTGGTAGCAACAGCAATTCAGTGGTGTACAACGATAACAACTCTGGGGTTATTTTACACCTAGACCTGTTATAAGATCACTTGCCTGTAGCGACCTGTGCTATGGTACAAAGAGGAGCTGATGCAAGTCCAAATTCCAACTCTGCCACTCGTTGTATAACCTGGGACAAGTCAATTGGCCTCTGTGAGCTTTTCTCATCATCCAAGAAAGATGAATTGTGTCTACATCATTTTGATTTCATTTTTTGTGTATATGTGTGTCTTTTTTCTTTCCAAACAAAATGAAAGGTGTGCATAGTGTCATACATTTGCATAACTCTTTATAGCTTATGAAGTAATTTTTATCACTAATGACACCAGGGTAAATTTCTTGTCATCCTGCCATCTCCTTTTCTTATCATAACAATTCAGTCTTTTATTTATGTTGTTTCACAGTTTATTTTCTTTTCCTATTGCAGTAGTGCAGGTTCCCAAAGTCTCACTTCTGGAATGCTGTAATAGCTGAGCAACTTTTTGGCTGTACTCATTGCCTCTTCCAATTCCACCTATTTTTGACAGATGAGTCTAAATTAAAATAGTTCTTTCATTGGAAACCCTATTTTTCTAATATCTCTCAATGTCCTGTGTTATACATAAAATAAAGCACAGAGTTCGTATATTAGGTCATAACTTATTTTTCTAGATTAATATGTCTTTACTCATCAGACACTAAGATTCGCTATTTCTGAATATGTCTCATAATGTCTTACATCAGAATCTGCTCAGACCCCTGTCATTGAGCAGAATCCCGCTTTCCCCATCACTGTGAGTTACTCTTGACTATGTATGTGTCTGACATCTCTGAAACATATAAGAATGTTCTTTTATTCTTATCACTGTCACTAGTGCCTGGTACCAAGTAGGAGTTCATTGAATGCTTGTCAAGTTGAAGAGAAAATAACGTATCAATGCATGTTTAATTGATGAATTGATTGATTCACTTTTCTCAGTGTAATTTCCAGGTATTCTATGAATTTATGAAATTTCTGGGTATTTTTGGAATTTTCAGTTCATTCTTTGATCACATAAAAAACTACATTTCTATGGCATTGTTAGCATCTGACAAATTATCTAATGACATCATGAAGACCACCAAGATGAATTCAATAATTCAATTCTATTATTTCTTTGGCCTGTAAATCATTGTATTTCCCATCATTCAACACCTAACTCATTAGGGACAAACAACAACACTCAACATTGCCTAATTATCTTGTTTTTTTAAAACATATAATGATATGGAGTAAATACCTTATTTTTATTTCCATTTAAATCCCAGGAAAGGAGTATCATTTTATCCTTCTTTTGCAGGTAAAAATTTGAAACAATAATTTAAAAAATTATTCAAACTCATACATTTGTCAGAGGCAGAGCAAGATTTGAACTCAGATCTTTATAACCCAGTCTGTATAATTATTCAATAAATAAGATGACATGTCTATGTATGATTATCCATTTAGGTTATACTGTCTCTTGTCTTGCTCCCTCAAACAGACATTCCATAATGCTTTCAGAAATTATTTTCGGATAGCAAATGTTTCTCCTCCACTGGACATCCTTTAGAGGCTCTCCAAGGCCTGCTAATGTTCAAATTCATAAAGCCCTTCCTGACATGGGTCCTGCCTTTCCAAACACCCCAGGACTCCTCCACAACCACTCATTCCACTAAATATACCCCTTAAGATTCTGTCTTCCTTTGAGTTCTGTTGCCTTTGGGGCTTGCCCCAGGCTCATTGGCTGGACAGTTAGTTAGCTTCTCATGGATCAGAAGAATGCATAACCCTGACCCCTCCATCCAGAACGCAGGCCTAAGGGAGGCTGCCTGGACAGTGCAGCTCACTCCGTGAGTGGAGCCCAACCCCTATTATTTGAAAAAAAAAATCATGGTTGAACAGAACACAACCTGACAATATCTTTGTATGTGCATAAACATTTCAGTCATTGGAAAAAATGTCTTCATTTTGCTTGACAGACATGCAGCATCTATCATAAAAGAAAAGCAAATGTGTGACAGGTTGTAAAATGGAAGGCAATATCGCCTCATTAGAGTTCATTTTAAGTTGGGTTTCAGTGATGCTTTGTCATGCATCTAAATGACTTAAGTGGGTACCAGGAATATGTTTATCATATTGCTTGGAAGAAGTTTTTTTTCTTTCCTCCCCTAAATATATCTCTTCTCAGAATTGCAAAGGGAATAAAGAAAGAGCCTGCTTCCCTACGGGAGGCTGTAGTGTAATCAGGACTTTAATGACATTTTCCCCTCAGAGCCTGCCCTTGTTTCCCCTCCGAGTCGCCCCAGGAGTGACTCTGAGCAAGGAAAGCTAGGAAAGTCATTGTTCTGATGGTTTCCTTCTTCCTCTTTTAGGCTCGTGTCTCCCTTCGTGTTTTTATAAAATTTTGTTGAAAACACCAAAAAGATGCAGTATATGGAGTGGCTGAGAATGTGGACCCTTCGTGTCAGGCTGCTTTGGTTCTAATTCTGGCTCTGCCACTTAATAGTTATGTGACCTTGGACAAGTGACATGTTCTTTCTGTGACCCACTTTTTTTTTTAAATAACAACTTTATTGAGATATAATTCACATACCATACCATTTCAGATGTACAATTCAATTATTATTTTTTAATTTCATTTTGCAAATGCTTTTAATACATAGATTTTTTTCTTTTTTCTTTTCTTATACTTTAAGTTCTGGGGTACATGTGCAGAATGTGCAGGTCTGTTACATAGGTATACACGTGCCATGGTGGTTTGCTGCACCTATCAACCCGTCGTATACATTAAGTATTTCTCCTAGTGCTATCCCTCCCCTAAACCCCCAACCCCCGACAGGCCCCAGTGTGTGATGTTCCCCTCCCTGTGTCCATGTGTTCTCATTGTTCAACTCCCACTAAAAATATGGAACGCTTCACGAATTCGTGTGTCATCCTTGTGCAGAGGCCATGCTAATCTTCTCTGTATTGTTCCAATTTTAGTATATGTCTTACCGAAGTGAGCACACAATTCAATTATTTTTAGTTTATTGGCAGGGCTGCATAACCAACACCACAACCCATTTTACTACATGTTCATCACGCCTTAAAAAGAACCCTGTACCCATTCATTAGCAGTCACTCCCCACTTCCTCTCTTCATTTCCCCCAGCCCTAGACATCCACAAATCTACCTTTTGTCTCTATGGATTTGCCCATTCTGGACATTTCATATAAATGAAGTCATGCAATGTGTAGTTTTTGTGACTGGCTTCTTTTACTAAGTGTGATTTTTTTCAGGATCCATCTATGTTATAACATCTATCAGGGATAGACTTCATTTCTTTTATACAACATTTTTTGGCTTACTCATCAGTTGATGGACATTTGGCTTCTTTCCACGTTTTGGCTATTATGAATAATGCTGCTAAGAACATTCATGTGAAAGATTTGGGTAGACATATGTTTGTATTTTGCTTGGATATATACCTAGGAATGGAATTACTGGGCCATATGGTAATTCTATGTTTAACCTCTTGAGGAACTACCAGAATGTTTTCCAAAGCAATTGCTTGATTTTAAATTCCCATCAGCAGTGTATGTGGGTTCCAATTTATCCACATCCTTGTCAACACTCATTATTATTTGTTATTTTTTATTATAACCATTATTGTTGGTGTGAAATGGCATCTCATGTGGCTTTTGTTTGTTTGCTTTATAAATCATTCTACTATAAAGATGCATGCACACGTATGTTTATTGCAGCACTACTTACAATAGCAAAGACTTGGAACCAACCCAAATGTCCATCAATGATAGACTGGATAAAGAAAATGTGGCACATATACACCATGGAATACTATGCAGCCATAAAAAAGAATGAGTTCATGTCCTTTGCAGGGATATGGATGAAACTGGAAGCCATCATTCTCAGCAAACTAACACAGGAACAGAAAATCAAACAGCACATGTTCTCACTCATAAGTGGGAGTTGAACAACGAGAACACATGGGCACAGGGAGGGGATCATCACATACTGGGGCCTGTTGGGGGGTGGGGCAAGGGGAGGGAGAGCATTAGGACAAATACCTAATGGAGGCAGGGCTTAAAAACTAGATGATGGGTTGATAGGTGCAGCAAACCACCATGACACATGTATATCTATGTAACAAACCTACACGTTCTGCCCATGTATCCCAGAACTTAAAGTAAAATTTAAAAATAAAAATTAGTAGATGTAATGTTTTAAATCAGTTTAGATTTATAGAAAAAAATGAGCAGTTAGTAATAGTACAGAGGGTTCCCATGTAACTCCCTGCCCTCCAACACACACAGTTTCCTCTATTATTAGCATCTTACATTTGTATGGTACCATATGAGTTTTCTAGAGCTACTGTAACAAATGATCATACACTCAGTAGCTTAAAACAACAGAAATCAACCCTCTTCCAGGTCTCAGGGCTAGAAGTCTGAAAATAAGGTGCTGGCGGGGCCATGTACACTCCGAAGACTCCAGAAAGAATCTCTCCTAGCCTCTTCCTAGCTGCAGGTGGTTGCTGGCATTCCTTGGCTTGTGGCTGCATCACTCCCATTTCTGCCTCTGTCTTTGCCTGGCCATCTTCCTTGTGTGTGTGCCTGTGTCTCTCATGGCCTTTTTAGAAGGATACTAGTCATTGGATTTAGGGCCCACTCTAATCCAGTATGTCTTCATTTTAACTTAATTCCATCTGCAAAGACTTCATTTCTAAATAAAGTTACATTCACAGTACCTAAGGTTAGAATTTTAACATATCTTTTTGTGGAACACAATTCAATCCCCAACAGGTATATTTGTTATAATTAATGAACCAATATTCTTGCACTATTATTATTAGCTAAGATCCACAGTTTATTCAGATTGCCTTAAATTTTACCTAACATCCTTTGTCTGTTCCAGAATTCCAGTGAGGATACCACATTACATTTTGTGGTCATGTTTCCTTAAGCTACTCTTGAAGATAAGTTTCTTTGTGACTTTGGTTACTTTTGATGATGTTGACAGTTTTGAGTACTAGTCAGGTATGTTATAGGATGGCCCTCTATTAGAATTTGTCTGATGTTTTTCTTATGATTAGACTGAGGTTATAGATATTTGGGAAGAAGACCACAGAGTCTTTGAGAGGAAGACCACACAGTGCCATTTTCATTGCATCACATAAAGGGTACATACTATCAACATAACTTATCATTGTTGATGATAACCTTTATCACCTGGATGAAATATTGTTTGTCAGGTTTCTCCAGTGTAAAGTTACAAAGACCCCCTCCTTTACTCTTTGAAAGACAGTCACTCCATGAAGCTCACATTTGAATAGGGGATTTTTCTCACTCTCCTTGTGACCCACATTTTCATCTGTGAATTAGGGCTAAAAGTAGTACCTATCAATTCAGAGAGATAAGGTACAGGTTTCTGAGTTAATTATGTAAAGTTCTAGGAACAATTACTTTCACTGGGTAATAATTAATAAACATTAATGATTATTAGCATTATCATTATGAAAATTCTTACCACCTTTTGCCTTTTATTATTATAGGTTTGTGTGTGTGTGCCCTCTCGTTAGTACAGTAATTTCCTTGAGTTTAAACATATATTATTTGAATATTTCCATAATATCTAGAAATGGCAGTGAATCCTCAATAAAGGGGAAGTTCAGTTTAAAAAGTATGTATATGTATATATCTATATCAATATATGTGTACATCTTAATAAATCCCTATCTTGCCCCCAGTATCTTTAGCTTGTTAGGTTATTCTAAGAAGAAAGCATCATTTAACTGACCTTCAGTGGATAACAACAGAAATTGAGGGATCCTTATTTCCTTATTTGAGGACCACTGCTCCAACATATTCTTTTAAGTGCTCATGCACCATCATTATAATTTATCTCCTTAGTGGCCTGAAGAATTCTTAGCTCCCATTTCCAAGTTCTGAGGGCAATAGGGAGACATTAAAAGATGATGAGAAACTTTGTAAGTTCAAAGCGAGTTTTATTGAGGAGAGAAATCCATGGTTTTGGTGGAGAAAACATGTATTAGGTTTACTTATCTTAAATAAATTTAGAGAAACCACACATAATGGAAATAACTTGTTGAAAAGAAGACAAGAAAAGGAAAGGGAAATTGCAAAATGTTCACATTCTTATGACCTTAAGAATGAAATGAGTTGGGTGCGATGGCTTATGCCTGTGATCCCAACTACTCAGTGGGATAAGTCAGGCAGATCACTTGAAGCCAGGAGTTCAAGACCAGCCTGGGCAACATATCAAGACCCCATCTCTACAAACGTGGTGTTTAAAAATTAGCCTGGCATGGTGGCATCCACCTGTAGTCCCAGCTGCTTGGGAGGCTGACACAGAAGGATCACTTGATCCCATGAGTTCAAGGCTACAGTAAGCCATGATCATATCACTGCACTCAAGACTGAATAGAGCAAGACTCTATCTCTTAAGAAAATTTTTAAAAACCCACAAAATTATGCAAATGAACAAGTTGCCCAGAAGACCTAATCATCCCAGTCTTCATATGTTTGTTGCTTTAGTAAAGATGCTTCCTACTCCCATTATTATTGTAATGAAAAAACAACAATAAAAAACTCTAATGAAGTGGGAGCAATGTATAGCCCAGTTAACTCTGCCTTATAGGAAGAACTAGAGGAGTGTGGAAGGTGTTGGTGCATTAAAAATAAATAATAAATATCCTTTGGACTTAGCTTAAAAATAAAAATGAATATACTAAAAATAATCAAGAAATTCTTGGTATTACAGACAAGTTGCATTCACTGCTAACTTAATCATGGTCAGTTTTTATAAACAATACTTCTGTGTATCCATGTGGAGATCATTTGTCCTCCTATCTGATGCCATCATGATTTAAACAGGTTGATAACATGGGGAAATCCATGAAGGAAGCAGGGCTGAGGGGTCCATAATCAGAAAGCTTATTTTGACCATAGTATTTGGAATAGATTGGAGGAGAGGAGGACTGAAGTAAGGAAATATGGAGAGTGTTTCAGTCAATTATAAGAGATAATAACAGACTTAATAAAGCAATGAATTTTTAAAGTATTTTCTTTAAAATTACAGATATCCCTGGGAGAAGTAATAGCTTAGGCAATTTCATAATTACGTTTTCTAGCTATAGAGACACAAATGTTAGATTTAGAAGGCATCCCTTCTATTGAACCACCTTGTTCATCCCTCTCCATTAAACAAGGAAAAACAGAGGCTTAGAGATGAGGGATAAAATATTCGAGTCTCTAGGAGAATTAGAGGAAGAATTGGGACCAAAACTGAAGGCTATGGCTTCCTGACCAGCCTGTTTTCCAAAATACCATATTTGCCAGTTATAAATCTAGAGGACTGGTAGCAGACTGAAGGAAAGAATGAGGAAGAAACAGGACCCAAGTGATGAAGAATGTGGAATCAGCAGCAATAATTATTAACTCTTAATATTTTAATATTAAAATAATTAAAAGGAAGCGAAGAGGTCAGAGAAAAATGAACTTTTCCAACTCAGATTTTTGCCAAGAGGTAATCCAGTAAGCCATCATCATAATTTCCAGCCTAAGAAAAAAATGTACATAGAATCATCTTTTTAATAAAAATGGATTTTCCTTGAGACCCTATCCCTTCCTAGGCACCAAACATGGTCTAACATTTTAATTTTCTTTTTAACTTCTCCAAGCATCACTGATTTACAACCAGTCCCTTGAAGAGTGAAATGATCAGAGTTAGCATTTTCTAAAGACCATACCTTAGAATGATTATCAAGATTAAAAAAAAAAAAAAACTATTCCAGGCCAATGTAACAGATATTGTGTGAATAATAAGTGTGACTAAGAGATAGATAAAGTATCTGTATCCATGATGATGACTCCTTTCTGTGTGAACTAGAGATAGTCACATGAGTTGTTTCCTTATCCATAAAATGAAAATGATGATATAAACCTGCTTTAGTGGGCATTTATAAAGGCTTATGGCAACATGCTTTTAAGATCGAAAGCTCAATGTAAATCGAATTGCACTGTAAGTTGTTAATGCACTCCCAAGTTCTTTCAGTCATGCATTAAAGCATCTTTAATTTAGGCTAAATTTACTCAAGCATTGTAAGAATTCCAGCAGAAGTTAGGCTGAAGATTGTTTTATAATGTTTGTTTTGTTTTGCATATAAACGTTATATATAGTTGGTGTAGAAATCTGCAAAATTAGAGCCAGACTAAGAGAAGCAGTGAAGCACAATGATTAAGTAACACCTGGCTCTGCCATTTATAAGCAGTTTAGCCCTGTACTTTAAGTAACATCTCTAAGCATGGGCCATTTTTTCTCTTTAATAGGAGAAAGTAACAGTGGCTCCTTCTTAGAGTTGTGAGAATTTAAGTTCTTGTTGTAAGCTGTAAAGCTCTTAAGAATTATTTTTGGTTCCAAGTAAGTACTCAGTAAATGTTAGTAACTGTTATTACTATTATTATGTTTCTTATTTTAATGGTAGATGATTTATATAAGTAAATTATGCATGCAAGATATATAACAACAAGGGTTAAGAAGTAGAAACACTTAATAGGCACTTTTGAAGCCTTACCCTTCTTCCTGATTCCAAGCCTCTCTATCCCAATGTCCTGAATGTGGTGTATATTATGTCCTTGTTATATTTCTTAGACTCTTTTTAAACCACATTTATGTGTATTCCTAAGCAGTTTTATATAATAAATTTACGCTGGTGTATTCTATAACCAGACTTTTTTTCTTACAATATTATTTTCCTGAAGTCCATTCAATTGATTCATGGAGTTGTAGATCATTCTTCCTCTCTGCTGCATGGTATTCTATCATTTTCCATAGAAAACATTTCAAATGAAAATTTATATTGGTTCCAGTGTTTTTGTTTCTTTATTTCTATGGCTTATAATGTTGCTATTAATTTTCTTGCACGTTTCCTGAGATATCAGTACAAGGTTATCTCTAGAGTAGAATGGTTAGGTTGTAAGGTATGCATCCAAACTTGAACATTTTTCTCTTAATAGTTTGTTAATTATGAATTATTAATTATTTCTCATAATTAGGCTTTGACATCAGTCATAAGTTGAAACTGTTCCAGGGAAAGTGGGAGGTGTGGTCACTCAAACTCGTCTAGATAATGCCACATTGCTTTCTAAAGTATTCTAATTTATACTTTTATCAGCAAAGCATTTTAAACAATTAATTAATTTTAATATACAAATAATAGTTGCATATATTTATGTGGTACAATGTGATGTTGTGATCTTTGTTTTCATCATAGGTTCATTCAAGCTAATTAACATATTCATTGCCACACCATTTTATTATTTTTTTCCAGTGAGAATATTTAAAATGTATTTTAGCATTTTGAAATAAACAAAACATTATTATTAACTTTGGTCAACATGCAGTGCAATAAGTTACTAAAACTTATTCTTCCAATCTAACTGAAACTTTGTACCCTTGATCAATACCTTCCTTTTCCTCATCTTCCCCCTTCCCTCAGCCTCTGATAACTACCTTTCTACTCTCTGTTTCTATGAGATTGACTTAAAAATTTTTGCATATAAGTGATATCAGACAGTATTTGCCTTTCTGTGCCTGGCTTATTTCACTTAACATAATATTCTCTAGTTTCATTCATGCGGTTGCAAACGACAGAATTTCCTTCTTTCTTAAGGCTGTATAGTATTCCATTGTGTATATATGCCACATTTTCTTCATTCATTCATTGATAGAAACTTAGTTTGCTTCCATATCATGGATATTGTGAATAATGCTGAAACGAACATGAAAATGCAGTTATATATTTGATATCTCTATTTCAATTTCTTTGGCTATATACCTGGAAGTGGATTGCTGGATTATATGATGATTCTATTTTTTGTTTTCTAAGGGACTTGTTTAATTTTCCAAAATGCCTGTAATAATTTACATTCTTACCAACAGTGTATAAGTGTTCCTTTTTTTTCCCATATCCTTGCACATACTTGTCATTGGTCTTTTTTTTCTGAGTTGTTTTTAATTTTTTTTGGATAGAAAATTATGGAGTGCCAGTGCAATTTCTTGTTACATACATAGATTACACAGTAGTCAGGTCAGAGATTTTAGGTCATCCATCACCTGAATAATGCACATTTTATCCATTAAGTAATTTCTCATAGCTTTTGTCTCTTTGACAATAGAAATTCTAACTGGTGTAAAGTGATATCTCACTGAGGTTTTGATTTGCATTTCTCTGATGATTAGAAACATTGAACATGTTTTTCATGTATCTGTTGGCCATTTCTATCTCTTCTTTTGAGAAATGTCTATTCAGATTCTTTTTTAAAATTTTTTTATTGTCTTTTTTGAAACTTTTATTTTATGTTCAGTGGTACCTACATGGGCAGGTTTGTTACAAAGGTAAACTTGAGCCATGGGGGTGGGTTGTACAGATGATTTCATCACTGAGGTGTTAAGCCTAGTAGCCATTAATTATTTTTCCTGATCTCTCCCTCCTCCAACCCTCCACTCTCTGGTAGGCCTCAGTGTGTATTGTTCCCCTCTACGTGTCCATGTGTCCTCATTGTTTAGCTCCCACTTATAAGTGAGAACATGTGTATTTTGTTGTCTGTTCCTGTGTTAGTTTGCTAAGGATAATGGCCTCCAGCTCCATCTATGTCCCTGCAAAGGATATGATTTTGTTCTTCTCTACGGCTGCATAGTATTCCATGGTGTTTGCTGATTTTAAAAAATGGGTTGTTTTCTTGCGATTGAATTGTTTGAGTTCCTTATATATTCTGGATATTAGCCCTTAATGTGGATTAAAAATATTTTCTCCAATCTATATGTTGCCTCTTCACTCTGTTAATTGTTTCTTTATTTGCGAAGAAGTCTTTTAAAGTTTGATGCAATCCCATTTATTTATATTTGCTTTTATTGCCTGTGCTTTTGGGGTCATATCCAAGAAATCGTTGCCCAGACCAGCACTGCAGAATCTTTCTCCTATGTTTTCTTCTAGTAGTTTTACAGCTCCACATCCTACCTTTAAGTCTTTTATCTATTTTCAGTTGATTTTTGTACGATGTGAGACAAGGGACAAATTTCATTCTTCTGCATGTTTCTGTTAGAACCAAAATAGCCAAAGCAATCCCGAACTAAAAGAACAAAGCTGGAGGCATCATACTTCCTGATTTAAAAATGCATTATAAAGCCATTGTAAGCAAAACAGCATGATAGTGGCCCAAAAACAGACACATTAACCAATGGAACAAAATAGAAAGCCCAGAAATAAATCCAAGTATTTATGGCCAATTGGTTTTTGAAAAAGATGCTACACAATAGGGAAAGGACAGTTTCTTTGTAAAAGGCATTTTTATTTTTGGCTACTTTTTGAGTCAACTTTGGTTGGTTAGCCAGATATATTTTTCTAGTAATTGGCAAATTTTCTAAGTTTTCTAACTTACTGGAATAAAATGTTTAAAAAAATCTTTATTTCCTTTCATTAAGTTATCAGTAAAAATCTTTGTGTTGTCATTTCTAATATTGTTTTTGTGTCCTTTACTTTTTAAAATGTTCAGTCTTGCAAAAGATCAATACCCTGAAAAGGCTAAAAAAAATTAACAAATATTTGACTTTTTTTAATCTTCTCTAATTATAGGTGTATTTTCTATTTTTAAAATTTTTGTTATTATTACTACT
The DNA here is from genome assembly GCF_000001405.40 of Homo sapiens. NCBI lineage: Eukaryota > Metazoa > Chordata > Mammalia > Primates > Hominidae > Homo > Homo sapiens. Next base: position 105,525,970 of record NC_000010.11, on the reverse strand, counting down.
TTTCTTTAATTTTTAGTTCATTTTTCTAACTGTATAAGTTTAGTATTTAATTTAATTTAAACCTATGTTCTTTTCCAAAATATGGATTTAAGTCTTTTTGCCTGTGGATTTCTCTTAAGTATTAGTTTCATCTCATGATGTTTTGTAGGTAGAGTATTTTTGTTGTTGTTAGTTCTAAATTTTCTAATTTATTTTATTTTTCATTGACTTATAAAATCTTTTAAAAATCAGCAAAAATCATTTCTGATTTTTAATCAATAATTATTATATTTTCAATTACCATTTTATTATATCTCACAATTTTGTGAGTAAGAAATTCTGAAAGGGCTCAGCTGGCAATTTTGTGCTCTTAATGGCTTTAACAGGAGTTAGTCTGATGCTAGGCTAGGGTAGAAGATCCAAGATGACTTCATTCATGTGCCTTGGCACAATGTCTGGAAGTCTGGGTTTAGCCTCTCCCCTCTCCATTTCCATGTAGTCTCAGAGCCTCTCCACATGCCCTCTCCTGGAAGCTTGGGCTTCTCAAAACACGGTGGTATCAGGGAAGTTGGCTTGTTATAAGGAAGCTCAGGGCTCTAAGTGTGAGTTTTCCAAGGCTCCTGGGTAGAAGATACAAGGTTTCTTATGGCTTGGCCTCAAAGGTCCAAGAACATCACTTCTGCCAGATTCTATTGATCAAGAACATCACTCAGGCAAGCCCAGATTCAGTGTGAGGAAGATTTAATTCTACCACTCGTTATGAGGAGTAACAAGAATCTATGGTTCTTCTAGTTCTATCACACCAATAACCCCAGTGTATCCAACTCAAGGTTCAAGATCTCTCAGGTATGTATATTCTGCACCATCAGGTGCAGATATGGCTTCTCATTTGCTGGTGACCAATGAACTAAAAAGATAAGTCAACTGTCCCACACTAAGTATTTAGTATGGTACCTAGTCAAGATAACCCCCAGAATACTTCTCTTTGAAAGAAGTAAGAATGTGAAACACAGAACAATCACTTGTCTATAGTAGTTCCAAAATCCTAACAATGAGAGAAGTTCCTCTTTTAGACTCTGGTTCTCTGCTCTGGAAGTGGTACCTTTGCACATTTTTTTTCTTCATGACTTCATTCAGATAGTTATTTTCTGTTTTCCATGATCCCATTTGCTATGTCTACAGGAGAGTAGGTTTAAGTTTTTGAAGCCTGCTTCTTGCTCATGAAAATACGGTAACCTAAAGAGATTGTTTTAACTTTTGACTAGTCAAATAGCTTAGCCTAGGTTGAATTTTATTTTTTTTTCAATTACATCCTTCCAGTACGTGGCATGCTTCTCGTCTGTTTCTTTCCAGTTAATTTCCTGGGTCAACAACTAAATCCAAAGACCCTTTTTTAAGTTCCCAGGTAATCTGTCTTTATCTTTCTTTGCTTCCTCATCCCCTTGCTTCTGTACATGGTGACTACTCAAAGTGATGGTTAGTAGCTGACACTCTCACACCCACCCTTAATCTGATATTCATGACAAGACTGGGTCTTTCTTACTATATGTTTGTTTACAGATTTCCCCCAATATTATCTTCTGATCTTTGTTGTCCAGAAGCAGTAGGATTTTTCAAACCCTAGAGATTTCAAATTTATTCACTTTCTATATTTGCTTTTATTTTTGATTGCAAATTAGCCCTTTCTTTCCTGAGTATTTTGTGTTATAAGACTTTGCTAAAAGAAAATAATAGTTGCCAACACAAACTAAAGATTTTATTCATGCCAACCTCTTACCCTGGAGCTTCCAACTCAATTAGTACATGATTGGATTCCTAGATACCAAAGCCTCAATTTTACCAAACATTTATCACCATAGGTCATAACTCCATCATTAAAGCTTCTAATATCACTTTCCTCCCTGCTCACTAAACAATTATTAAGCTAATGTCCTACTTGAGGATCTTAACTTCTGTAATAGATAGCATAAGTAATAGTAGGTGCTAAAATAAGCAACTCCCTACATATCCATAGCTAAATACAAACAAAGTTTATTTCTCATTTATATCACAGTCTAATAAAGTCAACAGGTGAGTAGACTCAGCTTCACTCAATCATACAGGGATTCAGAGTCCTTCTATGCTGAGGCTCCCTCATTTTTAACATGTGCTTTCATAGTCATCCCAGTATGCTTCAGACAACAAATGTGTGTGTGATGGGGTTGGTGGGTAGAGAATTTGGAGAAGGTAAATCTGTTCATAACTGGCTTGAGCTGGAAGTGACACATCAATTCACATTCCATAGACAGGAAATATAGAGATCATCCTACCTAAATTCAAGAGGGCTGGAAAGTATACTTTAGCTATATACGCAGACAGAGGAAACAGGAAGGTGAACATCTAGCCAGTTACTGCCACAAATTTTATGTGAGTTTTAGTTATTTTCAATAGGAAAATTGTTCGGAATACCTAGTCTGGCTCATAGCTAAAAATGAAAGTGCATTTTTATTTTCATTGTTCTTGATCTAGTTTGAAATTCTAGTTTTTGACTCCCCTATGATCTAATGGTTCCATAAGAGATTTATGTTTAATTCTCTGGGTAACAGATTTTTTTCTTTCATTTCTACTGTTAATTACTATTTTATGTGATTATGTGAAAAAAATCTGGCCTGTTGAATTTATGTTATTTGGAACTTAATGATGCCTGCATTTGGCCTAATATGTGGTCATTAAAAAATAAATGTTACATGAACAATGGAAAATAAGGTAAATGAGAAAATGAGAGGCTTAATTACCAATTACTTCCTATCTCACTTAAATAAAATTCTACTTCTCATAAACTCTAAATGACCTGATCCCTGTCTATCGCTCCACACTTATCTCAATCACTTTCCTTCCACTTACCTATGAAACTCCAGTCACAATGGCCTCATTTTTCTTCCTGCCTTGGGTCTTTGCACCTGCTATTTCTACTGGAAAAGGCCTAGCCCTTTTCTGTCATTTAGCTCTAGCTCAAATGTTTCCCCTCTGAAAGAACTTCCTAGGTCAACCTAGTAACATGCTATTATAACACCTTATTTTATTCTTTTCACAGCATTCATCACTATCCAAAATTAAACTGTTAACTTGTTTGTACATTATATGTCTTCTCCATCTAAAATGTAATTTTATGAAAGAGGAACTTTTGCCTTTCTCATTTACTGTTTTATTCCTAATGCTTACTAGAGTACTGAGAATATAATAAACACTAAACGAACATATGTTGAATGAATGAATGTATAACTTAATCTCACTTCCTTACCCATGCCTAACTAACTCAAGATGCACTGAACCATTGAAATGCTACTGTTGCTTCTTTCTCTCTCTCTCCCCCCATCTCTTTCTTCTTCCCTGTCTCTCCCCTCCTTCTCTTTCCTCCATTGCCCCTTCTTCTTTTCCATGTTTGGAGAAGTTTGTCTTGCTAAGGTGAGATGTGCATTGAAAAATACATTTATCAACCTAAAACTTTTGACTGGGATTTGCTGAATGACATTTTAAAAAATGTTTTATTTATTGCTCTATTATCACATTTTATCTTTTTATGTATCTTTATTTCTTATTTTGATAAAAGAACAACAAGAAATGTCTCAGTGACACTGAACCATTTACCATGCTTTTCCACAACTCTAACAGAGGTTTTGTCTGTACCATATTCTTCAAAAAATTTTTTTGGAAAAAAAAAGAACAATCCATAAAAAATATCAGGAACAAATTGAGCTTTTCATGCAAATGCACTTTTCAAATGTTATACCAGCATTCATTTACATACACTTGACATCTTGTAATAAATCAGTCTTAATCTCTTTATGGAAGCAATGCACACAAGCTATCCTGCCTTGGTGATGCGATGTTGCAATTGCCTGTGGTATTGGGTAAAAACAATTTTATTCCCCCTAAAACTCATTTTTAAATTCAAGTTTCTATATCTTATCTACCTACGTAATTACTTCAAACTAATAATGTTTCATTGAAAAAATAAATTAACATGATACTAGGTCCAGCTCACTGTAAAGAGTACATGTCAGAGAGGAGGTAGCAGAGCCATGTGCGTCTGTCATGGAGGTGGGGGGAGGATGCAAGGGCTTTTTCCAGTGAAGAAAATGAAAACTGATTCAAACTGTGAGCAGTGTTTTGTAAACATGTCTCATGGGTGAGGGTTGGTGGCCCAGGAAAATTTCCTGTTATTCAGGTCCCTTAAGAATAGTGGGGTTATTTTCAAGATAATCTGTGTGGAAGGGGCCAGGTACTGCCTTCAAATTGATGTTCATTTGGAATGAAAACTGCCAGAGCAGTTTATGCACATCCTGTCCAACATCCTTTGTGGTCCTGATTGGTCTGTCCAAGGTAGGGTATCTTGAATTCTGTGGAAAGTGCAGAATATGAGCCTCATGTTTTACTTGTAAGAAGCATCCTAGCTAAAAGAGGAGTTGGTAGGTTGGAAATTCATGTAGGATCCTTAGAGAATTGCCTTTTTTTCTTTCTGGGGATGAGCACTATTCAGTAAAAGGGTGATTTCCTCTGGCATCTGTAAGGTTGAAAGTAATTAATGAAGATAACATAACAACAGAAGAATTATTGAGCATGTTTTTTGAGTACCAATGGTCAGCAGGTACATAATTAATATTTGAATGAAATAACCACTATTACGTTTAACACTGAGTGATTACTACATTCTGGACCCAGTGTTAGGCATTTTAACACTTTAACTCCTTCATTCACAGCAAGGAATCCATGGGGGTAATTGCTATTATTACCTCCATTTTATACAAGAGGAAACTGCAGCTTAGGAAGGTTAAGTAAATTGTCTAAGGTTGTATTGTTACTAAATTGAGGTTCAAGATTCAGAAATCAAGCACTGAAACTCCAAGGCTCATGCCTTGGATGGATGGATGAATAATAAATGGCAATTGAATGGATGGATAAACATATGAGTTAGTTAATTCTTAAATGGTGTTGGATAAAAGTAGGGGAATCACATGTATTTGAAAACTTGGTTTACATTGATTTTAATAACCTTGCAATTAAAAAGTCACTAATTTTTTTCAAAGGGCCAGTTGCAATGCTGTCTTCTATCAAGTGTCTACACTTCATGGACGCTGTCAAACAGCTTTAATCTGTCATTAGCACAGAGGAACTTGCTACACACATAGTCACCTGTCCCAAATGAAAAGAGGTGGTGGTCAGCGCTGCTCATTCGTTAACACCATCTGAGTGCCAAATCCATGTTTGTTTTACATTATTTACATGCCTCTCATTAGAGGCAAGGATAGAACGCCATCCAGTTCTCAGAGCAAAACACCCCAGAGCTTTCTCACATACAATTGCATATCATATAATGTTAAGGTTTGTTAAAATACCACATGCTTGCAAAATTTTTCAATAATTGCCACAAATATTCACCAGCAGGAGAATGTCTATTCATTTGCTTAATTTCTAACATTATTTTCTGCTACAGTAATATTTTGTTAGTCTCTCTACATTTAATTTGGCATCTGATCAATTGGATTTATGCTTTTTAGCAAACAGTATAGGCTTTGAACGTTTAGTATCTCATTCATGTTATTTGTTCTTAGATTTAGTACCCATATAGCCTGTTGGCCATGTTATTTTCTAATGAGAATTTTATAAAATGCCTTGGAGGCTCATTACAGTTTGAGTGTCTTTCTTTCCATTCAAATAAGCCCCATTTTGAAATACAGCAATTCTTGCCACTGGAGGAGTTTTGGCTCTAGAGAACACAGGCTTTTCTCCATAGAGTCCAAGTTGCTGCTGGAACTGACAATGCCAGCTACATATGTGATGTTAAAGCTCACTCTTCTAACCTAAGAAAACTTTCCTTCATTTAAAAATCTTGATATACTTTCTACCTCTCAGTAACTACTGTGAATGTTGATAGCAGGACATTTAGTACTCCTGAAGATTCATATACAGCCTTATATCTGGTAATTCTTGCATTAACCCTGAGAGTATTACCATTATTCTGTTGAGAAAACTGAGACGCAGAGACATCAGACAACTTGTCAGTTATCATCCAGCTAGAAATTCTAGGGTCTACATTCACGTACATATTCTCTAACTCAAAAATCCCATGCTCTGTTTCTATAACCCCCCAAAGTACACCGATACCTTTAGTATTATTCTACCTCACTCCAAGATACACATTCCTTATGTGAACAGATTTTAATAACAAAAAATGTGTTTTAATGACTTCAACTGTGGATTTTTATTTCTACCTGTTATTTCTCACAAAATTAACTCTCAGCTGTCTTCCATATGAACACTTTTAAGTACTAGGATATAGAATACATAGCATAATTTCTTTTTCTGCTATTCTACTAATAAAATTCTCTAATTCCTTTATCTGTAACTCTCTTTCTAGTATAGGTTATAGTTCGCCTAGCTGTCATGGCCACTTTTCTTGTATCCTAGTCTGCTTTGTGTAATCTGACCTATACAGAGGAGAACTGTATGAGCATCTTCCTATTTCTGGACACTCTACTCTGGTTAATGCTACCCAATGTAGTATTGCTTTTGTTTGTTTTGTTTGGCTTGGGCACTACATGTCATGGTTAACCCATGTCATTTTTACTGTAGGCTAAGTCCCATAAATCATTCTCACGTATGTTGCTAAAGAGGCCCTTCTCTTCTACCTTGCATTTTTACATCTAATGGAGGAAATGCTTTGAATCAGACATTTCTTATGCATCACACTTACTACTTCCAGCCGCTGCTGCAGAGGCCAGCTCTGCATGGTTCTGTCCTTCTGCATGAAGGGAAAACCCAACAGCATCTCACCTCCTTCCCCTGCCACCTCTCTTGCCCCTCGCACCAGGTTTTTGACCTGCAGCAAAGGGGCACTGTGAGACTTTGCGTGGACCCCCATTTGTGCAAATCAGAAATGTTGGGGGGTGGGAGTTAACAGTTTTTGCAGTGAATTTTGACCAATAGGATGCAGGTGCTGATGGATCAATCCTCACCCCAGACAAGCTGTTTGAGATGCAGTTTATGACGCTTCTCAGAAGATGGTTCCACAACATCAGACAGTCTTCCTCCGTGGGGCCAGCTCGATAAACGCTCTTGTGCTGGTGCTCCCTCCTGCTCTGCTCCTCTCTGTTTTGTTCACTCCTGCTTTTCTCTGATTGTATTTGCTAAGAAAATACTTTCATATAAACCTTGGGATCAAGCTCTACTTTCTGGAAATTCTAGCCTAAGATCAATTTCAGAATTGTTAATGTCTTGGAAGTTTACTCTGTTTTAGATTTTAAGCATGCAAATGTATAAAAGATTTTACTTCTTTTATGTAGAATATTTATTCTTTATTTTCTTGATTGGGTAAGAATTTTCAAATATATGATAAAGCATCGAACATATTAATACTAATTGGAACCTATGTAGTTGGACAACTTTTTAGTGTCAAGATGTCTTTCTAATCAAAAATCCTTTTTTATGAAGTAGATAGCGGAATGAAGGAAAAGTAGTTCAGCATAGTTAGTACCTATACTGGGTAAAGGTACAGAGGAAATATCATTTTCACTACAAAGATTCCAAATTTAGGCACATCTAGCAGGATTCAAAGACCCACATATTCTGCTATAATAGGTGCTACTTGCCATTCATTTGCAGAAATTGTGCTTGCTAAACCATATCAACTTGCAGGATCTATTCTAATGTTAGTGAGGTAATGATATCATCAATGACCATTTTCAGTTTTAGAAAATATATCTGACTATAGACTGCTTACATATGTTAAAATTAAACCTTACAGCTTATTAAACATGACCCTTTGCTTAAAGAGTGTAGCTGGAAAGAACCTTAAACATTTTCCCATTTTTGCTTCTCACTTACACATTTCAAAAGAGGAAACTAAGGCCCAGAGAGGTAGAAAAACCTTTTCTAGGTCACCAGGAAAAATCAGCATTAGAGCTTGGACCAGATTCCTAGACCCAAGGGCTTTTTCACAACACTAATTTCTGAGCTTTAAAGGAGTAAAGGCTTTTTGTCCTATTCTCAGGAATTCCTATTGGGAATAGTTCATTAAACTGTGGAAATGTGGCTGAGAAAAATACAGTTTGCAACACCTATTTTTGGTATTGTAGCATTTTTAAGTCTCTCCTTAACCCTTGAATATAAGTGTCTTCTCTTACCATTATATACCACAATTCACTTAACCCCTCTTCTTGACAGCTGTAGTTCAAGATCATATCCTGAATCTGAGCATCCTCACCTTCCCCACCCTTAAACTGGAGTCCAAAATATCCTCATCTCCTGAAATAGCATTTAATTAGTCTCCCTTCCTCCTCTCTTGCATCTTTATAGAGTATTATCCACATAACAGTGAGTGTGATCTTTCTAAAATGTAAATCTGACCATGCCATCGCTTTGCTCAAAATCTCTAAATAGCCTCACAATTAAAATTTGAAGAAGGCCTCCAGGCTCTGTATGGTCTTGTTCCTGTCTACCTTTTCCATCTCATTGTCTAGAACTTTCTCTTCGCTCATTTACAGAAGCCAGTATGGCCATTTAGCATTTCTTCGAACTGGCCATTCTTGTCCTCACTTTAGGCCCTTTAGACAATTTGCTTCATTTGCCCAGAACATCCGTCTCCCAGATTTATCATTTCCTCCTCCATATCATTCAGGCTGTTGCTCACAGCACTTTCAGAGTCCTTTCCTGACCTTGTAACACCTCCTTCTACTGCTCTATTATCTGATTTGCACCCTGTCTTTATAGTAATTATCATTATCTGAAACCAGATTATAACACCAGTTAAATACATAAATTTTGTGTGTTGCTTACTAGAATATAAACTCCATGAGGTCAGGGAATTTGTATTGTTTATCTCAGTAAACACAGCACCTAAAGCAATGCCTCATGCCAGAATGGTGATGAATAAATGTTTATTAAATGGATGAATGCATAAAATTATAAATGTTTACTATGGAGAAGTCATTTTCTGCCAACATATGCCATTGTGATTTTACTTCCTATTCCCCAGCAGTTATCTTGTTAACTAATTAAACAATTTATCATTAATAGAGAGTCAACCAGGAAAGCAAGTCTTCATTTCAAGCTATAAGAGTGCATTGAATTACCCTCTACATTAGAATGCTTGGAACCTGAATGTCAAAGCTATTTGGCTGACATTATTTACTGTTTTCGGACCTCAGAGATGGTTATTTTTAAATGATCTCATAATAGCAGAAGAGCTCCTGGATGGTTTATCATTAACTATATTATTACTTTATGTTCTGTGAGCAATATCTATTTAGTCCCCAAAGCATCCCTGGTTGGGAGCAGAGGGAACTGAAAATTCTTTTGGATAGACATCATCATGGGTGGCTTCAGTGCATAAATGAGACTCTGGGTATTCAAAGAGCAAGCCTGCTTCTCTCTTTTAGACCTGCTATATCCAGCTTATAATAGTCACTGAACAAATAGTGTAGCGAATCTTCATCTATTTGTATTTCTTGCCTAATTTAAGAAGTTGGAGTTTACCTGTAAGATATTAGGAAGCAAAAGTTTCCTTAATGAACATTTAATGATGCACTGTCGGGGGAAGGGATTTCATAGGGAGTGGAAGAAACTTAGGGGCAATATAGTATAGTGGATGACTGGATTCAGCCAGAATTAAATTCAAGTCCATGCCCTGCACTTTCCTACCAATACATTTGGGGGATCTTAGTGACCTTGCTTGAGACTCATTGTCTTTATCTTTGAAATTGAGATGACAGTAGAACCCATCTCACATAGTGTTGTGATGACTAGAAGGAGACAATGCATGAAAGCAACTAGTAAAATGGCTAGCACAGTGAGGGTACTCTCTATATGTTATCCATTATTACCTTTTTTTTGTATTTTCAGCATCAATCAACAGGTATTTACTGAGGGATGTACTAAACTAATATACTGTAATTGGGTAACTAATATAATTAACAATGTAACTGACTGTCTTATAAGAGGTTATGATTCCTTTGATGAAATAGGGTATGCACACCCTGAATGAAATGTAATAATAAAAACAGCAAATATGGTTTTATATATATATATATATATATATATATATATATATATATGTGTGTGTGTGTAACTCTCTTGCATCCAACTTTTATTACCATATATATATGGTGTGTATATATATATATATGGTGTATAAATATATGGTGTATATATATGGTGTATATATATGGTGTATATATATGGTATATATATGGTGTATATATGGTATATATATGGTACATATATATGGTGTATATATGTGGTACATATATATGGTGTATATATGTGGTACGTATATGTGGTACGTATATGTGGTACGTATATGTGGTACGTATATGTGGTACGTATGTATATGGTGTATACATGGGGTTATATATATGGTATATATATATGGTGTATATATATACCATATATATGGTGCGTATATATATGGTGTATATATATGTGTATATATATATGCACCATATATATGGTATATATATATTTTATTACCATATATATATATGGTAATAAAAGTTGGATGCAAGAGATTTTTAGGCTAAGATGACCTGTTTTGTCTCACAAAGGAGGACAAAATTCAAGGAGTATTGAAAGAAATGTGAGATTTAAAAAGTTAGAAATAGAAGTAAAGAGATTCTTTGGTGGAATAAATTATGCTAATTTCAAGTTCCTCTTATCCGGGTTCATTGCTGTTTATCTTGTGGTTGTTCCCATTGTATGCAAGCCCCCTTAGAGAATTCCATTTTGGAAATACTTTGTTAGCCTGATTCTGATAACATATTTCCAAAAATAAGAGAATTACATTTGTTCAAGAACTTTATTTTACAGCATATCTAACACCTTATTTTTGCATATCTGAAGATTCAAGTGTCCCTTACAGTTACTTTTTGTTCATTGTATTATAATGGCTAGTTGAATAGATGCAGTGAATCAAAAGTATTAGAGACATGAATAATTACGCTTGTTCTTCAAGGGAAAAAAAAAATGACCCTACTTCTAGACCACATAAAAGAAGTAAAACATGAGTGGATTTGATGCTTTTTCTCCTGCATTTCTCCTGAATGCATTTTTTTTTTTTTTTTGCTAGTTAACACAAACTACGTTGCATTATGCTTGTTAAATATTTCAATAAAAAGTGGGACTCTAGCACAAAATGACTGCTGTATACTGAAAATGGAATTTTTTACAGGCCTTTTATGGAGTGTGACCTCATTCCATTATTGATAATGCACTTTGTGAGTTTTCTTTCATCCACTGATCTTGTAGGAGCATTGCTAACATTAACTAATTAATCCTCTTGTCATCTCCATGAAAAAGGTGAGGCATTTATTTAAAGGCTCACTCTGCTATGGTGTAACTTGTGTGAAAACTGTTTGACAGTGTTTGATGAGTGTGTGGTGCCAGGTGACAAGGAGAGCAGACTTTTAAAAGAAAATGGCTGATTCAACTTTCCTGGCACAGGCCCCTCTATCTCACAAGCAATCTGACCACTTTCTTCATATATTCTTATTGGCTCAAATCTATCCCCATCTGTTTGGAAGGCACAGTGCCCGACCAGGCATTGGTCAGATCCTTGGTGCTGATCTTGGGAGATGAGCACTTTCTGGGCAGTCTGTATCTCCCTGCCACGTTGCATCTGTTTTACCAGATGTCTCACCTCTGGGTCCATTAGTATGCCAACCCTGTTGCTGCATGTCTATTTACAGCACATCTGCTGCTGTGTAAATGCCAATCAACAAAGTAAATAGTAGAGCTGTGTGTGTGTGTGTGCGCGCATGAGTGTGTGTGTGTGTGAGTGCGCGCGTGGGTTGGAATGGGGATTGGCAGACAACTAGAGCACAAAATTCATGATGTACTCACAAAGCATTGCCCCTAAAGGCCTTCTCTTGATGGTCTTTGCTGCAGGCCGCAGCTGGGGAACATTAAGACACCCGCCTTTAGCCATCAAAAGAAATGCCTCAAAGTATATTATTTCCAGAATCAAATAGTATGTAAGACTTCAGCCTCACAAGTCTGGATCACAAAGTTAAAAGGATTACAACATCTCTCCTAAATGGAAGCAGTAAGAAGGCATATTGGAGCCCACTTTAATGGGTCCTTCATGTCATCATTTATTCATTTATTTAACAGATATCTACTGAGTACCTCCAAGGTATGCAGTCCTGTAGTAGATGAATAAACAGCTATAGAGAAATGATACTTGACCTCCACCTGGAGAAACAGGATACAAACACATGAAAGAGTTGAAAACACATGAAAGAGTTGAGTGACCATACAAGGTAGTCAGTGGTAGGTGTCCAAAGAAGAGTTTCTTGTGGGTTACAGGGAAAAAAGAATGATGCCTTCATGGTGACAGTGAATTTCCATTACATTTGCCTTAGAAAGAAACAGAGAAAATATTCTGGACACAGAGGAACAGCCCCAGAGATGGCATGAAGGAAGACATACATCTGTGTTGTATTGTCTTCATGTATAAATAGTGAAATGTATGTGTTTGCACTGTTCAACTCTAGTCTACACTCTAGGGTCAGTTAGATAAAATCTGAAGAATTTTCATCAGAGAGGTATACTCCAGAGCACGCCAAGAGTATTTAGCTAGGAAATAGACTAGCCCAAGAAGGAATTAACACATTCAAATGTGGCTTCATATATCTTTGTCAAAATCCACACCAGAGGTTTTTTTTTTTTTTAATTAGTCTAGTGATATTAGAAATTAGAATTTGGTTAGAAAGATTGCTTGGGCTTTGCCAACCTTTGAGAAATTTAGGAACTCAGCAAACTTTGCAGTCCAGTAACATCAGGGCAACATTTGAGTTTCAGAGCCTTCTTGGACTCGCATCCTTCAACAACCCTGCTACTTGGCTCAATTACAATGTTAGTGGATCCTGTCATCAGAGTTTACTGTATCTACCTTGGAAAAAGCTTTATATGTAAGGTAACTGTCAAAGTACCTCAGAGCAGAGAGTAGGAATTTTCTGACCAAGAGTACAAGTCATAATTTCATGTCAGTTTGCCAATGCATGTTTGAACACTCAGAATTTGCTCTATATCTTGCTTTTGTTGCAATGTGCAAACTGATATGACACCTATACCTCTCGCAAGCTCACCTCTAATACTGCAGTTTAACCATAGCTACTCAAAGAATTTGATATTGGCTCAACAGAAAACTGACTTCAGTGTGTTCTTAAGTGTGAAGAATGGTTAGTAATTGAGTTTACAGCCAATAGGCAGAGGATGGGCACATGAACCATAAAATATAAAATTCCATAACTCACTGAAAATCATGGTTTACAACTATTGACACTCACACAGGATAATTAAACAACTAGGACTAAATTGGCAGAGCTTGCTTCCAATCCTTCTCTTATTTCCCCCATCCCACCTTGTGTATGTACCTGGCATAAACTTTTAAACCATCGAGAGTCCTAAATTCACTCTTCTCCTGAGGACGGGTTATCTTTTAGCAGTCATGATGCCCTGACATTTATAATAGCAATTGACATATTTTTGAAATAATGATGGTGCCTTCTTCCTTTTCATTCCTACCAACAGATGGTATTTTAATAGATTCAAGCTACGCTGAAGTTTTCTATTCAGCTCTTCAATTTAAATTTTAGTAATCTTTCTTTTATTCTTAGAAACTAAAAATTCAAATTAAGAAAATATGTTCTTTCAGCTTTATTGATAAGGTTTGATAAACTCTGTGGATGTATCTATTCCAGCTCATCAGTCCTAGGGTGCTTTGCTTATTTGTTTGCTTCTTAGTGTTACTAATTCCTTCTGATTTTATGGGGTATTTTTAAATTCCAAGGGAATGATGCAAAGTTCGAATCCAGCTGAAATGCTTCTACCCATCAAATCTTTCAGTAATTCTCCCACTTTTATAGAGAGTTCTGTGGGAATGCTTGGTAATTTCATCTGTAGGTGGGATATTTAAATGAACAAATGCAGGAGAAATGGGTTTTCAGTCATGTAAATCAGTTCCTTTTCTTTCTCTTATGTGCCTTCCCCTTATTTTTTTAATGTAGTTCTTTTTCCAGTACCAAATCGTAGTACACATTTACAATACATTTTCTAAGGACATTAACTGTATGTATATGATCATTTTGTTCTTAAGGAGGATAGCTAGTATTAAAAATTTTGGCAATAGGCCTGTTGAAAATGTCAAATTAGGTTTACTCGAGGGACAACCATGAAGACTTTTTTTGTGTGTGTGGCATACAATCCTAGAACATGTCATTTAAGGAAATCCCAAAATCACAGAGCAGAAACAGATTTAACCCAGTAGTTGATTCCATTCTTGAAATGTTAATCTTGAAACAGTGGCTAATGTGAATGATAAATGTCTTTATAAATGTGACAATTTTGACAACTATTCTGGTCTATGTTGAAATGGCAGTGGGAAGAAATACTAATGGAGCATGCACTTAAGCTCAGAAGTGATCAGAAAAAGTAGCAGGGGAAGGTGAAGGAAACATGGGATTTGGTTCGTAGACTATTATCCCACCATCATGGAGCTTTAGTCTTCTCGTCTTTAAAATAGGAACCATAACAATCATTTTGTTAGGTTGATATAGACAAAAATCAGATAAAACACACAGGGGACACTGTGGATTGGCACACTCCACATCTATTCTAAATGTTTTCTAGCAGACTTCCTATACCACAGAGCTGGAAAATCCAAAATCTTTATAGAGACTTGCTTGCAGTTAAGCCTGCAGATGCTACGTAAATTCTGCCACATGGGTACACTTGCACAAAGTTGGGAAGGAAGAAGTGAGAAGCTGGCATTATTCAGCCACACAGATGCATTCTGCTTGCAAGAATGAGGGGCATAGGCACTTGGTTCTTATGGCAACTGTGGTAAAAGTTCTAGTCACCAGACCCAGAGCATCACAGACTCCAACCCACAACCTAGGGGGCCATTGAATTTTCCCTAAAACCCTTTTTCTCCTAGTTGTTCTTGCTATCGGTGTAGCATTCACATATAATCCCCTAATCTTCCTAGAAATTGTTATAAGCTACTTAATACCATCTAACAAATCCCTTCCTATTCAAACGTATGGAAATTAATCATGAGAACTGCAAACACATCCCTAACTGAAGCAATATCTGAAGAATATGTTGAAAATGATAAAGACACATTAGCTATTTTTCAAAGAAAGAATCATATTACAATTGTATTTATTTATTTCAAAGTATAATAACATTATCTTAAGAAACTAACTTTCAGAATCAGATGGTTGGGAATGTAACTCTTTAATATGGCTCAGCACAGGTATTTTACTAATAAGGTCTCTATTTCCTGGGTAGAAATTGGATTAAAGTTCTTACCAGATATACCTAAAAGTGACTTTATAACACATGATTTAAACTGCCTTTGCAAAATTTTGGCAGTGAGAAAAATCTGGCATAGTTGACTCCATCTTGCTTCTGAACTCCAAGCTGCCCTTGGTCATTCCTGGGCATAGGCAAAGCTAACTTTGGGAAGAATTTAAATTTAACTTTGGAGCAAGGATGATAATGATAGAGACAGGAAACAGCCAAGGGTCCCCAGCGAAACCCCACCTTCAAACCTAAAACAGCCTGAAGGCTGGAAAATTGGACTGCCGGTCCCGGATGAAGCCCATCCTCTCCCAATGGATACTCTCAGAATAATGCCCACATGAGCACTGGGGGAATGAGGTGGAGCCTCCAGAAATGGGTACCTTTTAGCAGGGGAGGAGCCTGGGCCTCTTCAGTTCCAGATCGTGGCCTGAGATTCAATTGGTGGGGCAGGAGCTTGTTAACAAGACTCCCTCTGGCTCTACTGAGATTTTTTCTTTTCCTTTTTACCCAATAAATTTCATTTTTTTTCTCACCCTTATATGTGCCCGTAAGCCTAATCTTTCCTAGTCATGTGACAAGAACCCGCTTTTAGCTGAACTAAGGAGAAAGTTTGCAACAATAATACGCCCTTCCTAAAACTAATCCTCTCCCTCTTCTGGAGCTGAAACCCCCTTGTGAGACTAATTAAAGGGCACAAGAATAGGAGGGTTCTGCTAAAATGTAGGTGTCGTTTCTATAATCTCTTATTGCTCAGGAGTCATGTGGCCGGAGGTCACAAGATTTGTGATTTCCCCAGTTGTTCCTGTAGATAACATCACTATTGTTGAGCTGAAGATTGGTTTTATTAGATGTCTTTTAGACTGATCTTACTTGGACTTGTGACTCAGGACTCAATCAGTCCTGTGGCCCCGCCCAGAAGCAGACTCAGCACACAATGACCATTTCCCATACTCCAATGATTTCATCCCCAATCAAACAGTAGCACCCATTCCCTAGCTTTCTGCCCACCACTGTCCATAAAAACCCTCACCATTGAGCCTTCAGAGAGACTGATTTGAGTAATAATTCTCTTCCACGTGGTCAGCCTGGCATCAATTAAACTCTGTCTTTACTGCAATGCCTTGGTCTCAGTGAATTGATTTTGTCTGTGTGGCAGTCAGGAAGAACCCATTAAGCGATTACATAATGACTCTCTTTTTTAGTTATGCTTTATTGGCAACCCCACATCTACTCCCACCCTCACTTGCCCCAATTCACACCTGCAGGAAAGTCTGATGTTTGGAGTAAAAATAGATATATACATGTAAAAGATACTGAAGAACATCAATACGAAATACTTGTATAATCATATAATACTACTGTTGGGGCTCAGAAACAATACCCCAAATTCTGGTGCTTTGACATGCTGAGTCCTTTGAACTAAAGGAAATTGGAAGGCCTTAGAAGCAGCCCTACAACCACATTCTCTGACCTTCTCCTTTCCTCCTGTCTCTTGCCCTTCTTTTTCCCCTAACACACAGAGAAGGTCCCTCTGAAATTTCCTTATCTGCCTAAAGAAAGGTCCTCCAGAAATAATACAATTGTCATGAGTTCCCTCCCTGGGAATCTCATTAACCAGGGAAGATGAACTTATTAGGAGACTATTCAGGAGGCTGAGTTGGGAGGATTGCTTAAGGAAAGAAGTGTGAGGTTGCAGTAAGCTATGATTACTCTACTGCACTTCACCCTTGGTGACAGAGTGAGACACAGTCTTTAAACATTTTTTAAATTAAAATAAAAAAAGAGACTAGAGGTCTATGTCTGACACAAATCAGACTTTTCCACAGACTACACCTATTCTGAGGGCCGCTTAGAGACCATTTTTATTACTCAGGAGACATTTTGGCTGCATAACAAAACCTTTTTTTACCATGCATTTTCTCCTCTCACCCTTCCATTACTAATGTCACTATGCCCTACCTCCTGCCCTGGGAATCTCCAAGCCCCTGTTCCTTTCTGTAGCTCAGGATGCTTTATAAGTTTCAATCATCTGACCCTTTTTTTTGAGTCTCATATACATACAAAGTAGAACTCCCATGGGTATGCATGTAATTAAAATGGCTTTTCTCCTGTTAATCTGTCTACCTGTCAGTTTATTTCATAGACTTAATTATCAAACCCTCAAAGGGTAGAGAGACAGTTTTCTCTCCTCTACACCAGCATTCAAATACAGATACTATGTATAAGAAGTTGACCATTAGCCAGGTGTGGTGGCTCAAGCCTGTAATCCCAGCACTTTGGGAGGCTGAGGCAGGCGGATCACGTGAGGTCAGGAATTCGAGACCAGCCTGACCAACATGGTGAAACCCTGTCTCTACTAAAAATACAAAAAAAAAATTAGCTGGGTGTGGTGGTGCACACCTGTAGTCCCAGCTACTCAGGAGGCTGAGGCAGGAGAATCACTTGAACCCAGGAGGCAGAGGTTGCAGTGAGCCGAGATCATGCCGCTACACTACAGCATGAGTGACAGAGTGAGACTCCATCTCAAAAAAAAAAAAAAAAAAAAAAAGGTTGATGATTCAGGAGTATTGGCAGTAAGACACAGGCTCAAATCAAAAATAGAAAAAAAATGAATTTATTGGTCTTTGCATCTGGCACAACTGAGTGTAGGAACTTGGAGCTCACCTTCACCCTATTTCTTTCTTTATCTCAATTCCAACTACTTGTGGGGAAGATTCCTTCTTCCAGTCCCCTATTAATATACTCCCATAAACAAAATCAAAAGGTACAGTGCCTTTTCTTAAGCTCTAAATGAAAAACACTTGGGAAAATACTGATTACTAACGTAAAACTCATGCTCAACCTGGGATCAGTCCCTAAGGTCTGGGCATGGCCTGTGCTAGACTAGGGCTGGATCCCAAAGTCATCAGAGACTTTCAGAACTATGGTTGGCAGTCCCAGCAGAAGACATTTCCCAAAGGAAGTTTGGGTACTAAATAGAAGAAAGACAAAGATCTGCTCCAAGGTATTCCTTAATTTAGAAGAACAAAAGGCATTCCCAATGCTCATTCCTATTATAAAATACATCTCTAGGTGTTCCTTTGTTATTAAGATATAATTTCCATATCCCTTACCTACTTATGTCAGCATGTGAATTCCTTTTCTCCTAATGAGATAGTCAAGATATAATCACACTCACTCACTAAAATAATTTTTAAGGGAAATCTAAACAAAAGAACAATACATACTCTCAGATTGCATTTGAGCACCTCTCAAAATACAGGACAATACTAACTGGGAACAGCATTAGTTTTTAACATTATATGGCCCTTTATAATCAAAAGTGAGTATCTCATCTCCTTTAATCTTTGCAATAATTCTATTAGGTAGGTAATGATAATGATGAGTATGATGAGGATGATTTTTACCTATTTTATTACAATAACAATTGTTATTATTTCTACCTATTTACAGAGGAGAATACAAATAGAGGTAGGTAACATAGATAGTTAAATTCATAGAACCATTAAGAGGCAAATAAAGGATTTTTATCTGGGTAATGAGATACCTAAATAACTTGTTTTTTCCACTGTACTTAAAATAGACCAGTCATGGAGGTCAATTGTGGAAGATAAATTGATTAAATCTTTCTGATGAATTCTGAAATACCTTGAGAACTGCAGATAAAGTGGCATGACTCTTTGGGCTGCCCAATTTAAAGAGAATTACATTGAACAGAAAAACTCAGAGAGCCCACACAAGTACTATTATGTGATATACTATTGAAATGTCCAGATTTCTAACAGTCCACAGGAAAGGAAGCTCCTACTGTGGCTCCTCCCAGGCTTTGCACATACCAGCAATCATAGGAAGCATCTCTCAAACACATCAGAATCAGGGATGCAGATCACCTCACTGATGTCCCCACAAGCAGAACCTGCCGCACTATGTTGATGAGAAATGCTTATCTTGTCCTTAGGTCCCTAGAGACCTACAGATGGTCCTGGACATATGCTAGGATTAATACCAATAAACCCATCTTACATTGAAAATACCTTAAGTCAAGAATGCATTTAATACACCTAGTCTACCCAGCATCATAGCTTAGCCTAGCCTACCTTAAATGTGCTCACGAGACTTGCGTTATCCTACAGCTGGGAAAAATCATCTGGCAACACAATGCACTGTAGAGTATCAGTTGTTTACCCTCCCGATCACGTGGCTGACTGGGAGCCAGGGCTCGCCACCACTGTCCAGCATCACAAGAGTGTAATACTGCATATTTCTAGCCTGGGAAAATATCATAATTTAAAATTCAAAGTACAATTTCTACTGAATGTTTATCATTTTTGCATCCTCATAAAATCAAAATAATAAATCAAACTGCTGTAAGTTGGGGACCATCTGTATTTCAGCCCATCACTCAGATTTCCTTGGAAGTGTGTGTTTAGTCCCTACAGTGTGCCAAACTCACAAAGGAAGTTGTTTTCTGCTATTATTTTTAAAATTTCTAATGTCAGCTTCTCCCCTGATGGTGCTTTCTCTCTCTAGGGATAGCTAAGTGATTTTTATTCCCCACAAACCTCTATTGTAAGTAATGTTTATCACCTAAAAGAGAGAAAAAAAAAGTCTTGCATTTGTGTTGTGCAAAACACTTTCAAACTGTCACACTTCCAGGTCCTCACAACATCCCTGTAAGATGTACAGGACAGATATGCATATCTTCCCAAGACTGCTGAAGAAACCCAAACCCCAGAGTAAGTGACTTACCAAACTTCTCTACTTATTTAGTACAAGTTAAGAGAAGCAGTCAAACCTCCTCCATCCCAGTCCCAGACCTAAGCTTTCTCTATAAAAAGGCCGGTGGATTTCACACATATTTTTTAATAGAATCCTTCTTTTCAAATAAAATCTGACATTGATGCTCAATATATAAAACAGATGATAAGAATGTTACTTATATTGAGG
Organism: Homo sapiens; assembly: GCF_000001405.40. NCBI lineage: Eukaryota > Metazoa > Chordata > Mammalia > Primates > Hominidae > Homo > Homo sapiens. The sequence continues at coordinate 105,505,702 of NC_000010.11, read as the reverse complement.
TCAGAGGACCAAGAAATTCAGCCTCATGATTGCAACTCCTGAGTGTTCTTGCAAAAGGCCTATTGAAATATTGTTTGAGAACCACAGAACTAGCCCAAGTAACCATCCCCTCTGAACCACGTAACTAGCCCAGGTTATCATCTCCTCCTCTCTATTCCAATATTGCTGAGCACAGCTGCTCAATTGGGATGCCACAGATGTTTTAAATTTGTGCTAAAATGTTGAACCCCTCAGCCACCAGGATGGCCCGAGAAGCCTAAACCCTCTGGGGTTGATCTTTACCCAGTAACAGCCTTCTCTGTTTACTCCAATGTGTTATACAAATATAATTTATATGTACAAATGGAATTTTCACTGTAGAAAATTTAGAAGGGCGCAGAACACGGAATGCTATTTTCCTCACTAGATTCAAATTAACATCAGTGATATTTCTTGTAATGAGCTCTCCCTTACCTGAATAAGATCATCTTTTCTACTTTTATTTGTTATTGATTGAATGAATCTTTCCATTTGTCTAAAGCAGATGTTCTCAACAAAGAGAGAGGTTTCCATAAAATTCCTACGTGGCCTTTTGTCTGATGTCCAATTAATTAATCTCTTGGCTGATATTCATTGAGGGTGATCTCAGTTGCCACTATGTTTTTAGTAGTTCTTTATATTGCTTCTCTAGTTGTTTTTATCACACCGATGATGCATACTTCTTTCTTGGCTTCCCTTTAACATTAGTAATTTTTTTTCAGTTTTAGCAAGCCTTTTACATAGTCTTCTATCATTATAGAAATACACCAATTCTTCATTCCCTGTTTCAGTTCCATTAATGAGCCACTATCCTTCCTGCCACAGGGTCTTTGCACATACTATTGCTCACACTTGGATGCCATTCACCTCCTCTCTGTCAAGCCGGCTTTGCTCGTCTTTGAGCCTTCAGCTCAGATGTCACTTCCTGGAGGAGCCTTTCTTAATGGTACAGGTCGGAGTGGGCCTTCCCATTATGCACCATGTGCCTTTTCTTCATGGCATGGTTTATAATGTAATTTCACATTCATTTGCATATTTAATTATTGCTGGTCACCCTAACAGACTGTAAGCTCTGTGACAGTAGATAGCATGCCAAGTTTTTTTTCACCATTAATTCTCATGCTTGGTACATAGCAGACCCTTAAACAATTGCTGAGTGGATTAATAAAAGAAGTCATTAACTGATGATGGTGATGACAGTGATGGTGACAAGAACTATGGCAGGAGGAGGAAGGAGACCAGGCAAATTTAGCCCTTATGTGTCTATTTTTTATTCAAGGCAGAGCCATACAGGAAATCTATTACAAATCTCTTCCTCTTGGGAAGATGAAGGGGATGCAGGAATTAAAGAGAAAAAAATGCTACAATCCTAAATATCAACAAAAACAATAATGATGATAATAATGATTTCTAAAAAATCTTCAAGTTATTAACTCAGCTGGATATTGCCCATTTCCCCAAGAGTGAATGAATCTTCTCTATCCATTAAATTTAGAATTGCCTCCCTTTGAAGGGTTACCCCAGGCAGAATACATTTCAACTCCTTCCCTATCTTGCTGTATGTCTTTTTCAAAGCCCCTTTGACTTTCTTTGCATTATATACATTTTTTATTTGCCAAAAGGGGATGAAAATATCTACACAACTATTTCACAGGATTACTGTTTTTTATCCCACTTTCTGGACTGCAAGGTCAGGAGATGCTGCTGACCTTCTCAGGACTTGGTAAGGCAGCCTAGAAAATAGCAAGTTCTTTCTTATGCTGAGTGGCTTCAGGGGCAGAAACAGAGTCAGGTTCTGACCTAGCAGCCTGTCCCCAACACAGCTGATTGTGCAGAGGAGCTTTGGAAGAAATGAGGTGCAAAACTAGATACTACAGGAAGATAACAAGAGAGAAAATTTCAACAGAGGATGATGAGTCCCTAATACCAAAGTAATTCCAGAGCTGAACAGAAGGTTCAGTATTCTGTCTGTTTGGGGGGTTTTATTTCTCTGTTATAATCCTGTTTTCCACAGCCTCTGGAAGAAACATGCCAAAAGCTTTTTAGGTAAAAGTCAAAGGCAAACTTTGTAATGGAGAGATTAGATTGATAACATCTGAAGGTGATGCTCACCCTTAACATTATAAAAAGGAGAAACACCCAGACATTGTTTCTACCAATATGATGAAATAGGTAGTATCCACACAACCTACGAAATAGTCTCAATGAAAAAATCGAAGTCTTTTTGTCTGACCAAGCCACTTGATTAAATTAATAATTTATAGAAAACGCAGAGGATAGACAAACTCATTAAGACCGCCACTGGAATGTAATCAGCCAAGTCTAGGATGTAGGAAATTCTGAAGGATTTTCTGAAAAAAAAAATCTGTAGAACTCAGGTTCTTCCACATATAATTTGCAAAAATAAAAAAGAAAGAAAAGGAAAGCGGGGAGGGGCCAAGACAGAGCAAAATAAACAATGAAAATTAGTATAAAAAGTCATTCACAGGATAATTGGTGAAATTTGAACAAAGTTTGGATAATAGTTGAAATCCATTCCAGTAAAGTTAGTAATAATAATGTTGTCAACATTAACAAATAGTGTTAATTAGATTAATAAGTTATTTTTTTAGTTATGATAATGTGTCATTAATAGGAGTCATGGTCTCAGAAATACAAATAAAATTACATATCTGTATGATAAATACAATTACACAATATGTCATCTAAGAGGGTCAAAATCAGATTGGTTATATGTTGCTAACTGTTGAAGCTAGATGATAGGCACACAGGGATTTACTATATTATTCCCTCTACTTTTGTGTGCTTTTGAAAATTTCTATACTAAAGAGTTAAGAAACAAGCACAATTTCTAAGAAAATGTTAGGGACCAATGGCCAAAACAGCAATAAATCAATGAATTCACCAACAGCTCATGAAATAATTTGTAGGTTCCAAGGGGAGTCAGGGTGGAACCCAGCAAGATGATTTTTTAATAAAAGAAAATGAAGTAATAAATTACCTTTGTGACCTGAAATAAAGATGGTAATGGCAGCAATGTGAAGAGTTTTGAGAATCAAAGGTAATCAGAGAAAGTGCCTTGAGTAACCAAAACTGCAAAACTGCAAGTACAGTCTTATAATTAACACTGAAAGTCAATTTGGAAGTTAACCATAAATTATTAAGAAGCTTTCTAAAATTCTTTTTTCAAAAGCAATTTATCTTCCATGCCTTATTAAAATTATCATCCATACCTTTTTTTCCTTTCTTTTTAGTGGTAACTTTGTGAGACAAGCCTCAAATTTTACCACTGTACCAAGAAATGAAAGCCAGAATGTGGAATTGGAGCTGGTAATGACGACGTCAGGACAGGTTCAAAGGAAGCCCATCACTTGAGTAAAAATTTATAGCCCTGCTTGTGCTGTGCTGTGCTGTGCTGTGAGTTTCAGTTCCGGGCCAGCAAAAGATTTATCAAAGGAAAGCAACAAGGTGTGTGGAAATAGAAGGTAAGAGTTTTAAAAGCCTTTGTGAACCAGAGTAAATCTTGACTCTTTGGGTTTCATCTCTGAAAGCTGGACTTCCAGGTATAATTATAGGTTAACATTTGACACATTAAGTAGGTGGAAAAAGTGAGACACTAAGAAAGTTTATCTCTAATAAAGCTTAGAAGGCTCCATTACTAGGTTAAGATATGCAAATACAACGGGAATGAGACAGGTGACATTATTACCATAGCAATCATGACCAGGCTCAGTGTCCAGGAGCAAAAATCAGTGATGGAGATGGGAACAAAGCTGGAACACATGCTCTTTCAAGAAGGTGTCCCCTGCAACTCAGTTCTAGCCAATGCTTACCATGCTCAAACAGAGGCCTTTTGTGCAGTTTTCCCAATTTTTAGGAGCAGTCAGAAATCTAGATGATTGTGTAAAATCTTCCAGTTTTGTAATGTCAGCAAGATGTTTAGATTTATACAATCTCCTTGTGGGCCAACTGTATGCCCAGCAAACAAAGCCTACCTGTAGGCCGTGCTCTGCCTGAGAATCACATTTGTAAAACTTGTTATAAGTCAAACCATTTTTTTTTGTCATTTTCCTTCTATAGTTTTTTATGTTTAACTTGGCTCAGGACAAACTGTAATATTTTCCCCTTATTAAATTTATTTTCTTAAACTCTGATATCACACTTTAATCTTTCACTGGTGCTCTCAATTTTAAAAAAAATGCTGTTTCTGAATCCTTCATTTGTGTGTGTGTGTGTCAAATATTTTCCAAAGGAATACAAAAAAATAAAAATGAACATATGAGAAGAAGTTGGTGGGGAGAAACTGTTGACCAATCTATAAAATGTTTGTATATGCTTCCTTTTCTTGGGCCAATTAGATTTTGGTGGTAATAAAACCCACATGAAACTTTTCATTTTTATATTTTTATGTGAACTTTCAAAGAGTAAATGATAAGATATTTCCCTTATCAGAGTTGAAGAGATTGTGGGCTGTGTATACCCAATACTCTAAACAAACAAACAAACAAACAAAAAACTAATTTGACTATACGATTGGTTAGCTAATAATACTGTATTCACATTAGATAGTAACAGAATATCTCTGATCTTAACCTTTGGCATACCTAGACATGTAAATTAAAGAAACATTTGGAAGTAAGTCTGGCATCACCTTGGTGATTCCTTATTGAGTCTTCAAGGCCATGATGATATAAAATGGGAAACTCACGGATGCATGGGAGAGACAGGATATTATAAAGAGTATATTGGGCTGGGAATTGGAAGTTAGGCTCCAGTCCCAGCTCTCTTTCCAACAAGCTGTAAAACTTCTCTGCATCTCAGTTCATTATTTATTTACTATTTATATATTGCCTATTTTCCAAAACAGATTGGAGGTGGCTTTCAATAAAAGCTACTAATGTATCAGAACTCTTTTACAAGGTAATAAGCCAAAATAAAAGAAAAAAGAAAGAAGGATAGTTATAGCAGCAAATCTAAACTTGGGAAATATACTGTAGCAGCATACAAAATGCTGCTGTGTCATGGCCAGAATCAAGCAAGAAACAACTTGTACCACGATCATCACCCATGGGTCTCAGTTTTTGTATTTACAAAATGGGTGAAAAATGAAAGTTGGATGAAATCATTTTTCAAGTTCAGGTGTTTCTGTTAAAAACCAATACGTACATTCCTGAAAATATTTCCTCTATTTCTATATAATGAAGCACTATCACAAGCCTTAAGGAAAAATTTGGGATCAAGCAGCTCACTCATAACCTGTGTAACTTTGTAATCAGAGAAGTATATGAATAAACAATAATGATGATGAAAATACTAGCATGGTTTAAAAGGAATGTTAAATGTTAAATTACAAATAAATGAAGGAATACTACAGTACATAGAAGATTTTACCTATAAAAATAAAGGGGCTAGGGGATGAATATTTATTGATAGAAGCCTGTGTAAGGAAAGGTTGAAACTTATGAGTTCAAGGACAAAGTGCACAGAGATGAGGCAAAACATATAATTAAAACTTTAAGACAGAGCATGAAGCCAAACTGAGGCAAGATGAAGTACATAGAGTGAAAAGTCATAGTGTACAGTATTACAATCCTCAGCTGACTGCTGTATTCCACTATGCTCATGTACTTTGAATTCAATTACTGTTACTTAATGGGGCCAACTATTAAAGTGCTGGGGAAAAAATGGACCAACATGACTTGTACATTGTTTGACATTACATCCCTATTTGCCAACCAGTATGAAATGTTTTACTTTAAGGAAACACATTGTAACAGAACAGACTGTATGATGCTCTTTGAATCCAAATAGAAATATACAGATAAATAGGAAGAAAAGCATCTGTGACTAGGACTTGATCAGTGTTTCTACCAAGATATCTAAGAGTTTCTATATTGGACTAGACACACTTGGAATGTTCAGGTATACATAGTATTGATTTGGCTATTACTGTGTAGAGAAAGACTAAAAGGCCCGTAAGGTGTAACAAACAAATGATACAGAAGAGTTATGGCCAGGAGGAGGCTATCATCTAAAATGATGACTGGTACAGAGAATGTGGGGTAATTTTGAAAACAAAACTAAACGTGAAAAAGGCATTAGAAGATGGAGATGAAAATCATAAATAAATTCCGAGTGGCCATAGCAAATCAAATAAAGAAAACTTGTTTGCCCAAAAGAGAGTTCATGGAAGATTCAAATATTGAACAGCTTTGAGGAAAGGAAAAGGAATTGTCCAGCCATTCCCACTTTCTGAATAAAATTCCTCTAAACAAGTGTTTCTCAACCAGGGGAAATTTTGCCTCCCCAGAGTGCATTCGGCAACATCTGGAGACATTTTTGGTTGTTGCAACTGGGGAGGTGCTACTGGCATATAATAGGTAGAAGCCAGGAGTGCTGTTAAACAACCCACAATGCACAGGTGAGGCCCCTAAAACAAATTATCTGGCCCAAAATGCCAGTAGTGCCATGGTTGAGAATCCAAAATAAAGACAAAACTGCATAGTAAGTTCATCTGTCCTAGCGGCAATTTTCTATGTACCACTCTCCTTCCCATGGCCTCAGTGGAAGTTGTAAATTTTTTTTTTTTTTTTTTTTTTTTTTTGAGACGGAGTCTCGCTCTGTCGCCCAGGCTAGAGTGCAGTGGCACAATCTCGGCTCACTGCAAGCTCCGCCTCCCGGGTTTCACACCATTCTCCTGCCTCAGCCTCCCGAGTAGCTGGGACTATAGGCACCCGCCACCACGCCCGGCTAATTTTTTGTATTTTTAGTAGAGATGGGGTTTCACTATGTTAGCCAGGATGGTCTCGATCTTCTGACCTCGCGATCCGCCTGCCTCGGCCTCCCAAAGTGCTGGGATTACAGGCGTGAGCCACCGCACCTGGCCTGTAAATTTTTTTTAATTCCTTAATGTGATGCCTCTAAGATCCATCTGTTCCCATCAATCTCATCTTTGATACCTTTAGCTTAAGTTTGGCTTAACTGTAATCCATACCTCATGTCTTTAAAAGTATTCCCATGTATTTCCTTCTCTTTTCTGTAATTTAGTTCTTTTGATCCCTTATGAATTAGTATTTTGACTTATGAGGCCATGACCCTTTCTCTTCTTTTAGTTGTACTCCTTCTCTGATGTCCTGAATTTTACTGCTCTCAAATGATATTCAAGATGTTTGTTCACTTAAGTGAACAAAAAAACTAAGTTGAACATTTTTAGTGTGCAACTAAGTTTCTGAATATTTGAAGTCCTTTTTGTATCTCTCAAGATACTACCTTTATGGCAAATGTAGTCTTAACTGTACTAAAATTATGAAAATAGTCCTTAGACTTGTGAATACCTTGACTCGAAGGAGATAAAGTGAACCAGATGAAAACAAAAAGACTGGAATCAAAAGCGTTGCTTCTAAAAAAGGAGAAGAAATATGTTCTTGTAATCACATGAGGAGGAAGATAATGGGACAAACAACTGGCTTCAGGATTTTTTTTTCTTTTCTGAGATTCACACCAAATTTCTGCATGCTTGAGATTTACTTTACCTAAAATTTTTAGGCCCAAAATCAGTAGAAACTCAATTGACTGTTTTGGGGGACCTTGTCTGTCGACAGTGTATTTGATTTAAATGGGACAATATTGTGGAAAAGTCTGCCCTTTACTAGCTGTTCCAAATGTCAATTCCATCTGAGCCTTCTTCTATAAGGGGACATTAATGTCTTTTTCTGACATTTTTCCTCATGATTGACATTCCCAGAAATTTCTCCCCAGCTATTAGCTTCATTAACATTATTATTGCATTTGGTTGGCATTCTTTCCTCTACCTAATTCTGTAAAGATCAGATAGTATTTGTTCTAGAGATAAACTTTTCTTTCTCATACACACACTCAGTACACAAGAAGCCCACAGAATCTTACATGGACACAGCCTATGTAGATCCAGGCAGAGGGAGAAATTTTCAGTGACAGCCTATACTTCTCACTGATATTCCAGAACAGGGAGAAAAAGGAAATGTTTTCATCTCTGTATAGTTAAGTGTTCCTTATTCTGATGACAATAGAAAGCTATTTCATAGACATTACATCTACCCTTTCTCTAGTCTAAATGGAAAGCAGAATTACACAGTTAACCAAAGATATATTGAGAAAGGTTTCTTAAAACACACTGAAAGAAAATTGTAGTAATTTATTAGCTGGTCTCTTAGAGTACATGTATATGTGTGTGACTGCATGCAAATCTGTATGCATGCAAAAGTGAATGCAATTCACTTCTTTGCTTTTCACAGTGGATCCTGTATTTTAGGATTTGTGAGCTGTCAGAATTTCAATAAGTGAAAATGTCACCCTATTTCTAATGATATATTTGGTTAAACCATGCTGATATGTAATAGAGAGTATTCAGGCCTTTATTGAGACCAGTCAGTGCATAAAATATCTTCTCTACTGGTAACCAATATTTATTGAATGCCTCCTGTGTGTGTCAAGGGTTCTACACATGTTATTTTATTTGATTCTCCTTTGTCTTAGAATTATGAACTCACCAAATCATTCCTTTAAAGAGAAAAATATTTTCCAGCCTCTTCAAGTTAGGCAGGACCATGGAACTAAGTATGGTCAATGAAATGTGGGTGGGAGTAACATATGCCATTTTCAGAGCTTGTCCTTGGTAACTTCCACATGCCCCTGCCTCCCACCCTTCTCATTGGCTGGCTGGATGCAGAGAGAATCCAGGAAAGGATTCTGAGACCCGTGGTAACTACTGGATGACTGGAGCCTGGATTCTATGGAGGAGAGCTACTCAGGAAAGCTGATGGTGATGATTGATATTAACTGATGAACTTTCATGAGCAGTAAAGTTCAGTAATGCTAAGAACTTAGATGTCATTGCTATTTTGTAGCAGTGAGTATTATTAAACTCGACTAATATAGCAACTGCTTAACTAGAAAAAGAGTGCTGCTAAAATGCAAAAATTAAATATGTGGTAGTTGCCTTATAGGTTGGATGATAAGCAGCAAGGAAATTGATATTGAAGTCTGATAAGATAGAACTCATATTATTCAGCGGTAAACATTTTGTATAACTATCACTTGTGATTGTGTTGAAGGCAAGCCACGTGCTTGCTGAGCCAGCAGCTCTAGTGGAAATAATTAGAAGAATCAACAGTTAGCGTGTATTGGATACTACTGGCTGCTTTGACAAGGTATTGCAATATTACAAGAAAGAGATGAACTCAGGAAAACCCTGGCTGGTTTGCAAACAGAAATGAAAGGAAACAAAGAGATAGAAAGCAAGGACTTTATTGCTAGGAAAGCCATCTGCTTCTAGACACAAACAATAAGATGGAATTTTGAAAGGTTTTGAGTGTCAATGGCCAAATAAAACTCAGATGAATAAAATGTCCAAAAACAGTTACCTAATAAAGAGTGTGGCTTCCCATTCAATGTCAGCCACCATTGTCTTGAGAGAGAGAAAGACATAGGGTTGAGGAAACAACAAATAAGGGATGCTTGAAAACTTAAGTTTCAGAAGGAAATACAAATGTGGGTATTGGCATATGAAAGTAATTGTAATCAAAAGACAGTGTCATGGGTTGGATTGTGTGCCCCCCAAATTCATGCCTTGAAGTCCTGGCCCCCAGTACCTTAGAATGTACCTTATTTGGAGATAAGGTATTATAGAGGTAATCAAGTTAAGCTGTCATTAGAGCGGGTCTCAATACAATGTGACTGATGTCCATACAGAAGAGGAAATTTGGACACAGACTGGTACAGAAGGAAGACCATGTGAAAACACAAGATGTCAAAGCAAGTGAGTGAATTATCTGTGCTTCTTTCTTCAGTTTTCTAAGTGGTAGTATCACTGTGGTTATCCTGACCCTGATCTGCCATTACATATGAGCTTTTGTGGCCGGTGGGGGATGGGGCGGTGGGGAAGGAAGTAGCTTGTCTCTTTAAGTCATAGGTAGAAGACCAAGAAGAGCCACTTCTAGTGAGGTGGAGAAAGTGTCTCATTACCCAGCAGTCCTGCTGGATGCAGTGCCTGGATGGAACTTTGGGATGTCTTCCTTGGGTGCTGCTAAATACATGCTGTGTATTGGTAGAGCATAATGGAGACGCTACTCTTTGCCCTCTACACTTTTTCATTTCTTTTTGGGCATATAGCCAAACTACCTTTGGAAGCTGCCTTATAGATGGTGAGACAATGTGAATCAGGTGTGGGCTAAGAAATATCAGGGGAAATGACATATGGTTTTTCCAATTATGAGCTCTAAACACCTCTCACAAAATCTCTCATACGGAATCACTGGCTCGACAGATGAAGAGAATCCTTGAAGAACTCCAAGGACTTACGGGAGCTCACAACTTATAGAATAGACAAAAGGAGCCCAGGTCGCAGAGTCACTGCTTTAAAGGGTAGCTGCCAAGAAGAACTGTCCAATATAGGACATTTATATTGGCCTTTATGAAAGCAAGAAATAATAAAGTTTTATTCGGTCAAGCCATGAAATTTTAGCGTTTGTTACTGAAGCAGCTAGCATTAATTCTGCTGACTCATATACTTCTCAATAATCCAGCACAGTAATAACAATAGCCTTTCAGAGAAGTATCTTAAAATTGCCTAAAGTTATACAATAAATTAGGCAGTATATAATGGGTTAATCAAGTCAAAAGAGTTTAGTTTTAACCCCAGAATGGAGAAACTTGGATATTATGTCACGGTGTAAACACATAAAGGGATCTTTACAAAGCCATGACAGAAATACACATTTGGTCTGTCAACACACACACACACACACACACACACAAACACACACACACACACACACATCTAAAGTTTGTATTCATTTTGTTTTTCTGAACCATGTGATGAATCACAGTGATTTAAGTGAGTTAAGAATAAGGGGAAATTACCAACGTCGGAAAAATATTAGTTGACCCTTATCCCTGCCAATTTATAGCGAGTATAATGGATTATGAGCATTAAAAAATGAAAAAATTCACCGTAATGTTAAATGGTAGTTGCTATAGAATATGTTTGAATAAAAAAATTACTAATGAGGCAGTCTAGGTCTCAAGGCAGCTATCCAAATGCCAAGTACAACTGAAATAGTGCTGCAGATCAGAGAGTTAGTAGCAACACAAACACCAGTGAACAGACTTGCCAGACCATAAAGAGAGCTGTGTGAGCTAAGTGTGTTACCTGGAGATGGAAGCATTAGGCTATCACAGTTCACAATATGCATTAATGTCCTAATGAGAAATGTAATCCCAAGCTACTTGCCTAGTTGTTATTTCCAAGGATGACTAATCATAGAGGGAATTAAGAAACGAAATACATTAGAATTAGTGTCATTATAGAAATCAAACTGTACTTGTTTAAGGGGAAAAATAACAACCATAAGATTTTTTTTAACCAAGAGTTTGCACAGATTTATTGGCTGCTTTTCTTTGAATATTGGAGTTATATTCAGCTTTACTGACAATGTATTATGATCAGAGAGAATTTTGGATTTTTCTCTTCTATTCAGACATGATTAGGTCCTGACTGTAGACATGAACAATAGGCAACTGGAAACAAATGGCCCTAATGTCACAAGAGAGATAAAACAGATCTAAAATGCTACTTCCCATAGGTGTTCATCAAAGCCTGATTTAGTCATTGCAGAAGGACTGTGGGTCTAGGCTTGGGTTTATGTTCGCTTTTACAAGATATTTCAGCCATTATCCTGATAACAGACAATCTTTGGGGATGTTATTAGATCCTTCCCTCCTTTTTTTCCTTCTGTTCTTTTTCCCTCCTTCTTCCCTCCTTCCCTTCCTTCTTCTTTCCCTCCATCCTCCTTTCTTAATAGATGTGGACAATGCTGTAGGTGATCTTTAAAGTACTTTAAATGTTCAGAGGCATTTCAAACACCTTTTGTTTCACAAAGATAAAACATTGTTTACATACTTCTAGGACAAGAATAAGCAATATATGACACACAGAAGGACTAGGGGGAAAATAGGTTTTTTTCCTCTTATTTTCTTCAATATTTTCTTTTGTCACTCCCAGTCACCATCCTCCCTTTCCATCTACTCTCCCCTAACAGGTTGTTTTTCCCCTGACTCATGGTTGTAGCGGCACATCTAGGCACTTTTCACTTCTTCCTATAAACTCTCAGTGAGTTAGCAGAGGATTTTCTACCTTTGGTTTAACTTTTTTTTTCCATAAAGAGTTCTCAAAACACCCAGATGAGGCCTTCTCTGACTTTAAATGATCCTCCAATTATATCTTCATACAGACACAGAGAGTGTCTTCACTCCCATGCAACATTGCTCCTTCTGCCAGCCAAACACTGAAAGAAGTTGGTATAGTGAGATGGGCTTTGTGTTATGCTAATCTGAGGTTAAGTCCCAACTCTGCCACAAATCCACTGTTCTTAGACAAATTCCTTAATCTTTGGATCTCTGCTCCCTCATCTACAAAATGGGGATAATAACACTCACCCCACAATAGGACCTGACGTGATAGATCTGTACATCACAGAATACAATGCATGGGAATTACCTATGGCAGACTGTGGCCCATCCTAGACACCCAGTGATTATGAACTCTTTGGCAGCTCATTTCTTCTCAACCTTGCAATAGCCAGTATCTAGGTTTTTAATTATTTTTGAAAAATTTTCATAACTTCCTACTTCATCAGCTGGGAACTGGTCTTTCTGAATTGCCTTAGTTTTAGATAAAGGCTCTTGTGGGTCCAGGATGGTGGGGAAGAACAATTTCCCTCTGTTTGCTGGCCTAACAAGGATAAATGACTCTATCTCTGTGGTTTATGTTGAATGCCTGATAATGCATCTCCAAGAGAAGCACTTAGCAAGAAAACTCATAAATATGGCTATAATGTTTATTCAAAGTACTCTATTTGCAAGGCCAAGTATACAAATGAAGGATGAAAACAGACAAAATGTGTCACTAACATTAGCCTGTGCTGTTTGTGAGGCAGGTAGTAATAATACAGGTAGTGTTTTCTCTTATTGCTTGTTTTTCAGGGAGTTTTAGTTACATAACAAAGATTTATTGTAAGAATAAGAAACTTACTCTCTTCCATCTTATGGGATGTCTGCTGGTCTGGGAATGCAGGTCATAGAGACGCATTACCAAAAGTGTATGTTTTAGAAGGTTCTTTGTCTCCCAAGCCTTGATATTTGCATAATATATAAAGTCAATTTATACTCCTTAATCATACACAAATACTGCATCTCTTTCCCTTAGCATCCTAGCAATCATGTTCCTGCAGGAATGGAATAGAACCTAGAGTTTATTTACTTTTAAAGAGAGACAAATAAAAGAACAGAGAATAACTGATCATGAAAGTGAAACTCAATTTAATCCACATTGATCCAGAGCTGAATGGAGGATAAATGGTTGAGATACAAACAGGCAGATTTTTGCCTCAACAGAAGGAAAGAAAGAAGGAAGCAAACTAAAAATAAGTACCCATTATATTTGAACAGGTGTACTTAAAAATGTTCATATTTCATCTCATCCATTTGTGAACTAAAGGTTGCGATTTTACCCTTAAAAAAAGTAGACAAGAGATATTTCTTTCTTATTATGGTCACTCAGCTAGTGAATGGCATAGTAGTGTTTATCTCAGTTTATGACTGACTCTAAAACTTACACTTTCCATTCTACCATTATATCTCTGTAACCTCAGTTAAATCTTCATGCCTAAAGCTGCTAAAAAATTTAATCAGTGACTGAATGAATGGGTAATAAGTTCCTCATCACCAATATAGGTGCCCAGAACCTGCAGAAACAGAATACTGAAGAAAAGCTTCACAAAGGTTGGAGGTTGAAATTCTACAATAGCTATCATTTCTGTGTTTCTGTGTTCATGTCTCTTCTTGCTACCATTGCTTGTGGTCAGATTCTTGGAAGCTGCATATGAATAGTGTTTTAAACAGCAACTAGAGCAACAGTTCCATCTGTCCTCTATCACTGGGTGCCTTGTCAAGCATTTTATAAACGTTACTGCATTTAATCCTTAGTACTTAATGAAATGTTTTATTACCCCATTTTTTTCAGGTAAGAAAAATTAATTTCAGAGAGGAAAATAAAGTTGCTTGAGGTAGGATATTTCAAACCTTGGATTCTAACCTGGCTCTAACTGACTCAAAGAAAGGTATATATTTTGATCTGTATGTCAAAGATCACAAAACTCTTGGGGAAAATATTTACAGGAGAAAAAAGTCAACACTTTCCTTTTGAGGGATTTACTTCATTCAAAATAATATCTTGCACAGGTAAACATAAAGAATGATAGAGGTGCCACGCCTGGTCTTGCTGGTTTTCCTAAATGCAGTTAACCTTACATGTTTTCCTACTGTTTAGCTATCCACCGGGCTCTCCTTTTTATGGTTCAGCTTGTCAATGTTTCTCTTAAGTATGATAAAGAGCCCTGCACCCTGCATCTGTCCATCAAGCTAAACAAATTGGTTAGAACTGCTGGAAGAAAACACTGGTCTTGTCTATTCCTACACACATATATATCACCCTCCTGACATTTGAGAGGCTAGATGTCATTGCCACATGCAACTGCATTTAGATTTGTTTCCTTAAATACACAAATGAATACATAAATACATGAATGGAAAAATGATCAAATAAATGAATAATCAAAGCTGGGCACGGTGGCTCATGTCTGTAATCCCAGCACTTTGGGAGGCCGAGGCGGGCCTATCACGAAGTCAGGAGTTCAACTCCAGCCTGGCTAGCATGGTGAAACCCTGTCTCTACTAAAAATATAAAAAATTAGCTGGGCATGGTGGCACACCCCTGTGGTCCCAGCTACCAGGGAGGCTGAGGCAGGAGAATTGCTTGAACCCAGCAGGCAGAGGTTGCAGAGGGCCGAGATTGTGCCACTGCACTCCAACCTGGGCGACAGAGTGAGACTCCGTCTCAAAAAAATGATACTACTACTAATAATAATAACAATAATCAAAACCTCATAACAGTTCCTTCACTTTCATCCCAAAATATGCATTCCTGAAAGGAAAGCCATGGCATGAATTTCATCCATGGAAACTTCTGCCTGATTCTCATAATCCCCAGGATTGCAGAGGAGTAGGCTGATGCTTCACACCTGCAGCTCGATTATGATGATTTATAAGAGGACAGAAATTTTAAAATAAACATGGTTCTTTTAAAGGCAGTCTTCAGAGTCTCTTCTAATCCTCTTGCTACCTTCATCTCCTTTCAAACCAAATGTTCTGAACAGGGATATCTTAGCTTTTCATATTGCTTTGATAAAAGAAAGGAAGTTGGTTCAAATCTAGCAAAACTCTGCATTTGAAACATCTTTATGATCTTGTATTAGATTATTTTAAAATCTTATTTTCCTTCAACTTAGTCATTAACTTCCTGTAGAGCAATGAGCTAGTACCCTGTATTAGGCAAACTTGCTGTAAATTAAATGCATCTTCAAGGTTACTCCGACTCTCTGATATGCCCACCTTCTTATCTCCAAGTCTATGTGTGTTAGCTAGTAACGCAGGAAACAGAAGACACTCTCAAATTAGAATAATTCAAGAAGAATTTAATAAAGAGACTGTTTACAAACATGTGGGCAGTGTTTAGGGAAATCATAGGAGATAGTAACACTCTGCTCTACCTCTGTCATTTCTTGGTTAAATAAAAGGGGAGAAGGGAAGTGGTACTAAAACCAAACAGGAGAGAGTGCAGAGGGACCATAATAGAAATTGTTCTGAGGTTGGAAAGCTCCTAAGTGCAAGCTTACAAGGAGACAGAAGATAAATACCAACTACACACTCCTCCTCCTATCTCCTTCAGGGGCTCTTCAATGACCAAAGGCCATAAGAGACTGGAAGGCAAAAGGACCCATTAATGTAATCCAAACATCAGTCTCCTGCAGCAAAGAGGTGAATGGAGAAGGGTGGAGAGTAGCTGTGGACGAGTGAAAAAGACATCGCACCATGTCTTCAAATTACATCCAGCAACTTCATATGAACTATGAAACCCTTGTTGCCACAATAGTCCCTCTTTGTTTGAACTACTACAAGAATAAAGAAATTTCTTTCTAATCTTTTGCAGAAGAATTACATAGACTCTCACTTACTGCTCTTGTTTCATAGGTGGCTGATTTTCCAATTATATTAAATACTTTTGGAAGGGCTGGGACTACATCTAATTTCTTGAAAAGTCTGGTGCTGTGGAAGACCAAGACCCAGACTGTTGAGGTCAGCCTAATGTAATGTGAAATATCTAAACTCTGCGTACTTCTTTACCATGAGTGTATAGATAAAATATCATTGCATTTAAGGAAATTGCTTAAAGCCTCACAGTGAATAAAGTTGACAAAACATGTAGACTTATTGCAGATTTTATGCATTTAGGTTTTATGGCTTCATTTGCAATCAGGACTCCCCTCCCCTCCCTTCCTCCCTTCCTTCCCTTCCCTTCCCTGTCCTTCTTTCTTTCCTTTCCTTCCCCTTCCTTCCTTCTCCTCGTCCTGTTTTTCTCCTCTTTCTTCTTCCTCTTCCTCTTTCCTACCTTCTCTCTCTCTTAAATTTGGACATTGTCTCTCAGACTTGAAATTATTTTTGAAAAGGCAATCTTCACCTTCTACAAGAATTCATGTGGGAGAAGTTGATGTTCTACATGAATGTAGCAGGAAATAATAATATCCTGCCTTTTATTTTGAGTCTCCCTACTGCCTCACTCCCTCTAAATCACCGTGTAATCAATCTGAAGCAGCAACATGCAACAGCATTAAAATTAGGGATGTTTGAAGAGGGAATTAGTCTACTCACTCATTACTCTTGATTAATAGAAAATTATCCTGCTAACATTTACCATGCTATTCATTTGTTATTTGGAAGTGATTAGCCACAAATAGCAGTTAAGAACAAGCCAGTTCTGTGGTTTCAGCCACAGCTTTAATTACCTCCGTAGTGCCGCTTTCTTCAAACACGCCTTCCTCACTTGAAAATAGCTCACACCTTCCTTAAACACTGCCTCTTCTCCCATATCAGCTTTTCTCTTTCAACCAGATCAGTGGCCCTGCTCACTTTTACCCCATTCATGAAGACACAAGAAACCTCAGGGAGAGAACTAGTTTATGGCTTAAAGCTGGGAGAGCTCAGGGCACAGATGGTACTCTTTCCCAGATTTCCCTATTACCTAGCTTCTATCAGCCCTCAACACATTCCTCATTAATTTGCTTTCCTCCGAGAAGAAACCTGAGGGTCTCAGGCCAGATATTGACCTAGCATCACTACTTGCCTCTGAAATCTCTGACCTCTTTCCTTGCTTTCTTTTTCCCTTTTAAACAACCCTATCCTGGACCTTTCCTTTCTGGTCCTCAAGATGACCTCAGGTTGGCCAGTATTCCCTTAGGCATTGCCAGATTGTCCACCTCAATTTCTTCCACCTGATTTTCCTTTTTGTGTATTTTACTCTTATGGAGAATTTGCCTCACCTGATTGCCTCTTAAGAAAAATGCAAATAATTTACCCTCAGGTGTTAACAATGACCGAAAATTGGCTTGCTAAAGTGTTAAGCATTCTGAGATGTTTTCATTTTGTCAATTTTAAGGCCCTAAAAGAGTGATTATTAGCTCAAACTGTTTATTATCATCTCAGAAGATTTTTTAAAACTACCAATGAATGCCTGGGCCTCACCCATGTCAGAGTTTCTCATAAAACAGATAGCGTGAAACCTGTACCTAAGAAATGGCTCTTGTTAGTAATTTTAGTAATCTGTAACAAGATAATGAGGGAATATATATATATATAATGTATTATTTATATACATATTTATTTATGTAATATATATGTATTTATATATATATAATGTGTGTATACACACACACACACACACACACACACACACACACATATATAGACATTTTTGTTCAGCTGGCCAGTGTAATTCCCTTACATTCATGTTTTTTTGGGTGCTCCTTCTTTCTCCTCCAAAGTCCAAAACTTCTGCCTGCTGTTACCAGACCATTTTTTTAAACTCATTTCAAAGAATCATTCAGGAGGAGGGTGCCTATTCCTGTACCCTATTCCAGGACTCTGCATTAGGATCTGTAGGAATCTGCATTTTAACAAATTTTTTAGACTGACTAATGCATGCTTAAGTTTGAGAACCACTCACTGCACTAGATAAACTCAAGAGCAGACCTACCAGGATTAGAAACTGATTGGATTTAGTGCTAATTCTTTCATTTCTCCAAGTTACCTTGCAGTGACTCATAGATGCCAGACATCAAAATATATGCCAAACTTCATCTTTGACTTATCTTAGAGAGTATATATATGTAAAAAAAAATATGGGATACATTTAATGAATTGTTCGATATGACATTTGCATTGCCTTATGTCCGGCTATGTTTTATTATTCACCTCACCATTTAATTTAACATGTATCCAGCATCATCTAGCATAAGTTACTGCCTAGCAATAAATGTAAACAGATTCACTTCCCTCGAGGAGCTTAGTTACCAGTCACAGAGAATGATGTGAATGCAACTAACACAATGCAGAGTGTGATAAGTGCTAACATGAAGATCTGAAACAAGAATAAGCACAAGAATATTCCAAAAGACTTGATCTGAAAAGGATAGCAGATGAGTTGGGCCTTGAAGAATAGGCTGTTTTACAATGGGCACCTAGAGCCCAAAGACAGACAAACTGCTGAGTACCAGGATGGGCCTTGGCTCATGCTGTTCCCTCCTCCCCAGTGGCTGTTAATGCATTGGGTCTTTCTGGTGAATTCTTATTTATCCTTCAAATCCTGGCTGTGGTTCTCCCTCCTCTATGAAGCCCCTTGCTTCCCTTAGCGTTCAATACATCACCCCTTCTTTGTTCTACTACTTAACTTGCAACTGCTGCTATGCTAAAAGCATCATGCTAGTTTCAGTTATATAGAATGATTTATATACATATTATATATATATGTATATATATAATATATATATATTATATATATATAGAACTGCCTCCACACTAGATTGTGATCAGCTTGGTAGCAGAAATCATGACTTACTCATCTTTGATTATTCAACACTTAGCAGACCACCTGGTATGTTGAATATGGATATAATACATGTTTGTTGATTTAAAATTTATACTGTAGTGGTTGAAAGCCAAACTGACTGGTTTGTATGCTAAGTCTACAACTTGATTGCTATGTGAAATCGGTAGTAAATAACTGAAAATAGTAAATACCACCGATATTGATATTGGACTACCTGAAAATAGTAAATACCACTAATAGTGAGATAAGGATAAAATGAGTTAATACATGTAAAGTGTACAGGAAAGTGGTTCATTGTTAGTGTTCAATAAGTATTTTCTAATTATTAATTTGCTAATAATTTTTTGTTCTTAGTAAAACCGAATAGGTCTTTCTCTATATCATTCTCCATGGAATTCATTTTACTCTACTACTTACACATTGAAGTGCTAGGACAAGTGGCTATCCACAAATGCATCCGTGACATCTTATTTTGATATAGGACTGCCATTCCCAGCACTTAGAGTCTTTTATGGATATTGTCTTGAGTCACTACATAGCATAAGACATCTTATAGCCAGTGATATAGTGAGGTCCAAGGGATTGTCACAAGCTACCCAATGAATCAATGGAACAGCCCAAGCCAGACTCTCAACTTTTCAGGTCAATGCCACCTACTCTACTACTAAGGACTGAGAAATTTTCAAAGTGACTCTTAAGTGTCACACTACATTTTTTCCAAGTGGGTACATTCATAATGTCAATTTCACCTTTCTAAATGAGTAAATGGAGTTTCTCTCCACCTGCAATATAGAGCAGGTTATGTTAGCTTTCCTTTTCTATTACTGGAGAGAAGCTCTGAAGCAGTGGCTGGCATAAGCTGTCTTGCAGAGGACACCACTCAATCCACCAATTCAATCCCTAAAGCAGAAGTTCTCAACCTGGGGTACTATGGCAATGTCTGGACACATGTTTGGTTGTCACAACTGGAGGATGCTAGTAGCATTCTAATGGGTAGAGGCTGGGGTGCGGCTAAATATTCTGCATGTACAAAACAGCACCTGACAACAAATAGTTGTGCTACCCAAAATATCAGTAGTGCCGAGGTTAAGAAAATGTGCTCTGGAGCCGAGTTACTGCCTCACCTGAGCGTGGGCTTTCAGAAATGATATACGTTTTAAACATCTTAAGTGCTAGCTCAGTTTGAGTTAGTAAAACTCATGGGAGGAAAAGATTAAACAAAGTGGGAGGTGAGGTTAATAAAGAAAGGCACAGAGGCTTGTTTTTGATAACTACACTAACTCTATTTGGATGCTTTCAGCTTTCTACATCCCAGCACCCAATTTTCTACCTTTTTCTGGTGACAGATATGCTGCACAGTCATTTGACACTTGATTTCAATGGTAATGTGACCCAGCAAGAACACTGAGCCTTAAGAGCAGCTTTGCAGATTCTGTGGTCTGACCCACTGCCCTTTAATAAGACTAAGTTTCCTTTGTGACTTTTAGTTGGCGAGAATTGGGATAGTGGGAACAAAAGCCTAGTTTGATTCATTTCGTCCTCTCGTTTCCTTTACAATTGCACACGTCACAATGGAAGGCCCGAGGTCAGAAAAGAAGCAGGCATCAAATTGGATAAAATAACAAAGCAACTGAAGTCACAACCCCTTTCCTCCCCTGCTACCTTCTTGAGATAGTCACTTTTCTGTCTATGAAGCAAAATCACCTGATGGCCCCCACACCATCTGAACTTAACATGCATGTCACATTTTAGAAATTATTGCTCATAATTCCAAAGAACCTGTCGTATCTTTTTATAGAGAGATTATTTTAATCTATTAAACCCAAAGTCAACGAATTAGCACTAGGTGTGGACAAATTGTGTTCATGAATTGATGCTTCGGAAGAATTTGTTAAGAAGAAAATATATGAAATAGTTTGTTTTTGCAGCTAACCTCTCCTCAGTACCCCAAATTTATAATATTTACTATTTACCTAGTTTACAAATTTGTTTAACCTACAATGAGACATTGCTTCTCAGAGAAATTTAAATTTATCTCTGGAATTTTGTTCTTAATGGATAATTAAAAGTGTACGTTTTCGTAAATAAATCATGATCTTTCTGTATCAGGATATACTTTTCTATTGTGATTTACCTAGTGTTCTATAATGCAGATTTGTGGATGCATGTTTGGAGATTCAATCAGCAGAAAGGTTTGCAGATGTTTAAATGGATTTCCTTTCTACATAATCCTTTTGCTGCCAGGTTATTGGGAGCAGCCTCAGTGGAGACAACCATGAGCCCAGTGATTTCTGAAGGTTATTGCAAGTACGGTATTTCCCAGTGTTAATAAAGGTTAATTCATTTGCTCCTCAATCTCTTTCATATCCCAGTACCAAATGCCTGAGCTTCTGAGTATAGCACAGAGCTATAAGACAAACTACCCTGTAACACAACAATTAAAAAAAGAAAAAAATTGCTAAAGAAATGAAGGCAAGCTTTCTTTATCAATAATCTGCTTTTTGGCTCAAAAACTATATTGACAAAGTATACCCTAGTTAAGAATTTTTGATGTACTGTAAGTAGAAAAGACCAGCCCATGTTAGCCTAATCAAAGCAAATGATCACCTTTAAAATGGACCTGATTTGCTGGGATAACTGGCTAGCCATATGCAGAAGAATGAAACTGTACCCTTACTTTTCACCATATACAAAAATTAACTCAAGATGGATCAAAGATTTAAATATAAGACCTCAAAGTATACAAATCCTAGAAGAAAACATAGGAAATACCATTTTCAATCTTGGCCCTGGCGAAGAATTTATGACTAAGTTCTCAAAAGCAATCGCAACAAAAACAAAAACTGATAAGTGGGACCTAATTAAAATAAAGAGCTTCTGCATAGCAAAGGAAACTATCGACATAATAAACAGACAATCTAAAGAATGGGAGAAAATATTTGCAGACTATACATCTGACAAAGGTCTAATATCCAGAATTAATGAGGAACTTAACAGTCAAAAGACAAATAACCCCATTAGAAAGTGAGTAGAGGGGCCGGGCACCGTGGCTCATGCCTGTAATCCCAGCACTTTGGGAGGCCGAGGTGGGCGGATCACGAGGTCAGGAGATCCAGACCATCCTGGCTAACATGGTGAAACCCCATTTCTACTAAAAATACAAAAAATCAGCCAGGCATGGTGGTGGGCCCCTGTAGTCCCAGCTACTCGGGAGACTGAGGCAGGAGAATGGCGTGAACCCGGGAGGCGGAGCTTGCAGTGAGCCGAGATCGCGCCACTGCACTCCAGCCTGGGCGACAGAGCGAGACTCTGTCTCAAAAAAAAAAAAAAAAAAAAAAAAGCAGGCAGAGGACATGAACAGACACTTTTCAAAAGAAGACATACAAGTTGCCAACAAAAATATGGAAAAATGCTCAATATCATTAATCATCAGAGAAATGAAAATCAAAACCACAGTGAAATATCATCTCAGACCAGTCAGAATGGCTATTATTAAAAAGTCAAGACATAACAGATACTGGGGAGGCTGCAGAGAAAAGGGAATGTAAATTAGTTCAGACACTGTGGAAAGCAGTTTAGAGATTTCTCCAAGAACTGAAAACAGAACTGCCATTTGACCCAGCAATCCCATTGCTCATTATAAATCTGTATTAGTCAGGCTTCTGTAGAGGGACAGAACTAATAGGATAGATATATATACATATAAAGGGGAGTTTATTAAGGAGTACTGATTCACACAATCACAAGGTCCCACAATAGGCCGCCTGCAAGCTGAGGAGCAAGGAAGCCAGTCCAAGTCCCAAAGCTGAAGAACTTGGAGTCCGATGTTGGAGGGCAGGAAGCATCCAGCACAGGAGAAAGATGTAGTCTTGGAGACTAGGCCAGTCTAGCCTTTTCACGTTCTTCTGTCTGCTTTTATTCTGGCCACACTGGCAGCTGATTAGATTTTGCCTACCCTGATTGAGAGTGGGTCTGCCTTTCCCAGTCCACTGACTCAAATGTTAATCTCGTTTGGCAACACTCTCACCGACACATCCAGCAACAATACTTCCCATACTTCAATCCAATCAAGTTGACACTCAGTATTAGCTGTTACAATACCCAAAGGAAAATAAATCATTCTACGAAAAAGACATATGCACTAGCATATTCATCATGGCACTATTCACAATAGAAAAGACATGGACTCAACCTACGTGCCCATCAACATGTAGGTTGGTGGACTGGATAAGGACAATGAGGTACATATATACCATGGAATAATACACAGCTACAAAAAGAATGAGATCATGTCCTTTGCAGCAGCATGAATGCAGCTAGAGGCCACTATCATAAGCAAATTAACATAGGAACAGAATACCAAATCCCACATATTATCACCTATAAATGAGAACTAAACTTTGGGTACACATGGACATAAAGATGGGAACAATTGATACTGATGCCACTATAGATGCAAGAGAGGGATGGGGGAAGAGCCCAAGCCTCAGCTTCATGCAATAAACCCATGTAACAAGCCTCACATGTACCCCTTGAAGCTAAAATAAAAGTTAAAATTGTTTTTTCAAATTCTCACTTTACTCAATTCCTCACTTCACTCAAATGCCATCATTTCTTTCCTTTTACTTCACTCAAATATCATGTCAAGGCCTTCACTAGCCACCTATCTAAAGCTGAACCTCCACTCATGAAACTTCCCACAACATTTTTGCTTTCCTGTTACACTTAACACACCTACCATACTATTTTAATTATTTATCTTGTTTACTTTGTATTTTCAACATGTGAATATAAGCTTCATGAGGGCAAGGATCTTTTTGAATTTTTTTTCACTGCTGTAACTACAATACCAAGATTAGTGCTTAGGACATAGTAGATGCTCAACCAATAATAATTGAATTAAAGAATCAGGACACAATTATGCTTCATGAAACTCAAAGGCAAGTTAATCTTGGATTTACAAAAGACAAGGAAACAGTCGGAACTTTGGAAGCTTCTCTCTGTGGGTTTATAGGTTCTCCCTACATGATCTTCTCCGTGTCTGGGTCTTTTGTGCTGTCTCATTTTCATTGATTCATTATGTCAAAACTGAGTTCCTATGAACTCAGTTCCATCCAAAATCTTAACTAGATTCTCCAGACCTGGATGCTTCTGGAAGAGATCATTGGATTGACCAACACCGGGGTAAAGTGTTCTCCCCTTGTGGGAAATCAACAGTAGCTGAAGGAATGGGGTCACAGAATGCAAACAGGGATCCAAGAGAGCATACATAAGGATTTGGGAAAGGGTTTATTTCATAGATTTTGAGATATTTTCCAGATTCACATTTATACCCTTTCACTAATATATAGAGATACTCACAGCAAATAAGACAGGTTTAGAAAGAAGATGGCTTTCTCTACTCTGGCCTTGTATAAATGAATAGAATCCTCTGACAAAGAGGGTTCTATAAGAAAAAAAATCAGATTTCAGTGGGTGGAGCCAAGATGGCAGAATAGGAAAAGCTCTGGTCTACAGCTCCAAGCGTGAGCGATGCAGAAGATGGGTGATTGCTGCATTTCCATCTGAGGTACTGGGTTCACCTCACTAGGGAGTGCTAGACAGTGGGTGCAGGACAGTGGGTGCAGCGCACCGTGTGCAAGCCGAAGCAGGGCAAGGCATTGCCTCACTTGGGAAGCGCAAGGGGTCAGGGAGTTCCCTTTCCTAGTCAAAGAAAGGGGTGACAGACGGCACCTGGAAAATCGGGTCACTCCCACCCTAATACAGCTCTTTTCCAACAGGCTTAAAAAATGGCGCACCAGGAGATTATATCCCGCACATGGCTGGGAGGGTCCTACCCACAGAGTCTTGCTCATTGCTAGCACAGCAGTCTGAGATCAAACTGCAAGGTGGCAGCAAGGCTGGGGGAGGGGCGCCTGCCATTGCCCAGGCTTGATTAGGTAAACAAAGCAGCCGGGAAGCTCGAACTGGGTGGAGCCCACCACAGCTCAAGGAGGCCTGCCTGCCTCTGTAGGCTCCACCTCTGGGGGCAGGGCACAGACAAACAAAAAGACAGCAGTAACCTCTGCAGACTTAAATGTCCCTGTCTGACAGCTTTGAAGAGAGTAGTGGTTCTCCCAGCACACAACTGGAGGTCTGAGAATGGGCAGACTGCCTCCTTAAGTGGGTCCTTGACCCCCGAGCAGCCTAAGTACGAGGCATCCCCCAGTAGGGGCAGATTGACACCTCACATGGCCGGCCGGGTACTCCTCTGAGACAAAACTTCCAGAGGAACGATTAGGCAGCAGCATTTGTGGTTCACCAAGATCCGCTGTTCTACAGCCACCGCTGTTCTGCAGCCACCGCTGCTGTTACCCAGGCAAACAGGGTCTGGAGTGGACCTCTAGCGAACTCCAACAGACCTGCAGTTGAGGGTCCTGTCTGTTCAAAGGAAAACTAACAAACAGAAAGGGCATCCACACCAAAAACCCTTCTGTATGTCACCATCATCAAAGACCAGAAGTAGATAAAACCACAAAGATGGGGAAAAAACAGAGCAGAAAAACTGGAAACTCTAAAAAGCAGAGCGCCTCTCCTCCTCCAAAGGAATGCAGCTCCTCACCAGCAAGAGAACAAAGCTGGACAGAGAATGACTTTGACGAACTGAGAGAAGAAGGCTTCAGACAATCAAACTACTCCGAGCTACAGGAGGAAATTCAAACCAATGGCAAAGAAGTTAAAAACTTTGAAAAAAAATTTAGACGAATGGATAACTAGAATAACCAAAGCAGAGAAATCCTTAAAGGAGCTGATGTAGCTGAAAGCCAAGGCTTGAGAACTACGTGAAGAATGCAGAAGCCTCAGGAGCCAACGCAATCAACTGGAAGAAAGGGTATCAGTGATGGAAGACGAAATGAATGAAATGAAGTGAGAAGGGAAGTTTAGAGAAAAAAGAATAAAAAGAAATGAACAAAGCCTCCAAGAAATATGGGACTATGTGAAAAGACCAAATCTATGTCTTGTTGGTGTACCTGAAAGTGACAGGGAGAATGGAAGCAAGTTGGAAAACACTCTGCAGGATATTATCCAGGAGAACTTCCCCAATCTAGTAAGGCAGGCCAACATTTAGATTCAGGAAATACAGAGAACGCCACAAAGATACTCCTCGAGAAGAGCAACTCCAAGACACATAATTGTCAGATTCACCAAAGTTGAAATGAAGGAAAAAAAATGTTAAGGGCAGCCAGAGAGAAAGGTCGGGTTACCCACAAAGGGAAGCCCATAAGACTAACAGCAGATCTCTCGGCAGAAACTCTGCAAGCCAGAAGAGAGTGGGGGCCAATATTCAGCATTCTTAAAGAAAAGAATTTTCAACCCAGAATTTCATATCCATCCAAACTAAGCTTCATAAGTGAAGGAGAAATAAAATACTTTACAGACAAGCAAATGCTGAGAGATTTTGTCACCACGAGGCCTGCCCTAAAAGAGCTCCTGAAGGAAGCACTAAACATGGAAAGGAACAACCGGTACCAGCCACTGCAAAATCAGGCCAAATTGTAAAGACAATCGAGGCTAGGAAGAAATTGCATCAGCTAACGAGCAAAATAACCAGCTAACATCAAAATGACATGACCAAATTCACACATAACAATATTAACTTTAAATGTAAATGTG
Organism: Homo sapiens; assembly: GCF_000001405.40. NCBI lineage: Eukaryota > Metazoa > Chordata > Mammalia > Primates > Hominidae > Homo > Homo sapiens. The sequence continues at coordinate 105,478,995 of NC_000010.11, read as the reverse complement.
GACTAAATGCTCCAATTAAAAGACACAGACTGGCAAATTGGATAAAGACCCAAGACCCTTGACAGTGTGCTGTATTCAGGAAACCCATCTCACGTGCAGAGACACACATAGGCTCAAAATAAATGGATGGAGGAAGATCTACCAAGCAAATGGAAAACAAAAAAAAGGCAGGGGTTGCAATCCTAGTCTCTGATAAAACAGACTTTAAACCAACAAAGATCAAAAGAGACAAACAAGGCCATTACATCATGGTAAAGGGATCAATTCAACAAGAAGAGCTAACCTAAATATATATGCGCCCAATACAGGAGCACCCAGATTCATAAAGCAAGTCCTGAATGACCCACAAAGAGACTTAGACTCCCACACGATAATAATGGGAGAATTTAACACCCCACTGTCAACATTAGACAGATCAACGAGACAGAAAGTTAACAAGGATATCCAGGAATTGAACTCAGCTCTGCACCAAGCAGACCTAATAGACATCTACAGAACTCTCCACCCCAAATCAACAGAATGTACATTTTTTTCAGCACCACACCACACCTATTCCAAAATTGACCACATACTTCGAAGAAAAGCACTCCTCAGCAAATGTAAAAGAAAAGAAATTATAACAAACTGTCTCTCAGACCACAGTGCAATCAAACTAGAACCCAGGACTAAGAAACTCACTCAAAACCACTCAACTACATGGAAACTGAGCAAGCTGCTTCTGAATGACTACTGGGTACGTAACAAAATGAAGGCAGAAATAAAGATGTTCTTTGAAACCAACGAGAACAAAGCCACAACATACCAGAATCTCTGGGACACATTCAAAGCAGTGTGTAGAGGGAAATTTATAGCACTAAATGCCCACAAGAGAAAGCAGGAAAGATCCAAAATTGACACCCTAACGTCACAATTAAAAGAACTAGAAAAGCAAGAGCAAACACATTCAAAAGCTAGCAGAAGACAAGAAATAACTAAAATCAGAGCAGAACTGAAGGAGATAGAGACACAAAAAACCCTTAAAAAATAAATGAATCCAGGAGCTGGTTTTTTGAAAAGATCAAAAAAATTGATAGACCACTAGCAAGACTAATAAAGAAGAAAAGAGAGAAGAATCAAATAGACGCAATAAAAGATGATAACGGGGATATCACCACCGATCCCACAGAAATACAAACTACCATCAGAGAATACTACAAACACCTCTACACAAATAAACCAGAAAATCTAGAAGAAATGGATAAATTCCTCGACACATACACCCTCCCAAGACTAAACCAGGAAGAAGTTGAATCTCTGAATAAACCAATAACAGGATCTGAAATTGTGGCAATAATCAATAGCTTACCAACCAAAAAAAGTCCAGGACCAGATGAATTCACAGGCGAATTCTACCAAAGGTACAAGGAGGAGCTGGTATCATTTCTTCTGAAACTATTCCAATCAATAGAAAAAGAGGGAATCCTCTCTAACTCATTTTATGAGGCCAGCATCATCCTGATACCAAAGCAGAGACACAACCAAAAAAGAGATTTTTAGACCAATATCCTTGATGAACATTGATGCAAAAATCCTCAATAAAATACTGGCAAATCGAATCCAGCAGCACATCAAAAAGCTTATCCACCATGATCAAGTGGGCTTCATCCCTGGGATGCAAGGCTGGTTCAACATACACAAATCAATAAATGTAATCCAGCATATAAACAGAACCAAAGACAAAAACCACATGATTATCTCAATAGATGCAGAAAGGCCTTGAAAAAATTCAACAACCCTTCATAAACTGTACAGAGGTTAAGAGCACAGGTTCTGGAGTCCCTTTCATGGGCCCCAGTGTCTTCCTCTTAAGTGGGGATCATGATAGTACTCACTTATAGAGCTATGAGAAGCAGAATCCCTGACCAATACAACAGGCACTGGATAACTAATACAGTTAGGGGAGAGCAGATCACACCTTCGAGGCACTATGGCCAACTGTGAGCTGAGCACAGAGCAGGTATTGATGGGATGCATCTCAAAATAATAAGAGCTATCTATGACAAACCCACAGCCAATATCATACTGAATGGGCAAAAACTGGAAGCATTCCCTTTGAAAACTGGCACAAGACAGGGATGCCCTCTCTCATCACTCCTATTCAACATAGTGTTGGAAGTTCTGGCCAGGGCAATTAGGCAGGAGAAGGAAATAAAGGGTATTCAATTAGGAAAAGAGGAAGTCAAATTGTCCCTGTTTGCAGATGACATGATTGTATATCTAGAAAACCCCATTGTCTCAGCCCAAAATCTCCTTAAGCTGATAAGCAACTTCAGCGAAGTCTCAGGATACAAAATCCATGTACAAAAATCACAAGCATTCTTATACACCAATAACAGACAAACAGAGAGCCAAATCATGAGTGAACTCCCATTCACAATTGCTTCAAAGAGAATAAAGTACCTAGGAGTCCAACTTACAAGGGACGTGAAGGACCTCTTCAAGGAGAACTGCAAACAACTGCTCAACGAAATAAAAGAGGATACAAAGAAATGGAAGAACATTCCATGCTCATGGGTAGGAAGAATCAATATCGTGAAAATGGCCATACTGTCCAAGGTAATTTATAGATTCAATGCCATCCCCATCAAGCTACCAATGACTTTCTTCACAGAATTGGAAAAAACTACTTTAAAGTTCATATGGAACCAAAAAAGAGCCCACATCCCCAAGTCAATCCTAAGCCAAAAGAACAAAGCCAGAGGCATCATGCTACCTGACTTCAAACTATACTACAAGGCTACAGTAACCAAAACAGCAATGTACTGGTACCAAAACAGAGATATAGACCAATGCAACAGAACAGATCCCTCAGAAATAATGCCGTGCATCTACAACCATCTGATCTTTGACAAACCTGAGAAAAACAAGAAATGGGGAAAGGATTCCCTATTTAATAAATGGTGCTGGGAAAACTGGCTAGCCATATGTAGAAAGCTGAAACTGGATCCCTTCCTTACACCTTATACAAAAATTAATTCAAGATGGATTAAAGACTTACATGTTAGACCTAAAACCATAAAAACCCTAGAAGAAAACCTATGCATTACCATTGAGGACATAGGCATGGGCAAGGACTTCCTGTCTAAAACACCAAAAGCAATGGCAACAAAAGCCAAAATTGACAAATGGGATCTAATTAAACTAAAGAGCTTCTGCACAGCAAAAGAAACTACCATCAGAGTGAACAGGCAACCTACAGAATGGGAGAAAATTTCGCAACCTACTCATCTGACAAAGGGCTCATATCCAGAATCTATAATGAACTCAAACAAATTTACAAGAAAAAAACAAACAACCCCATCAAAAAGTGGGCGAAGGATATGAACAGACACTTCTCAAAAGAAGACATTTATCCAGCCAACAGACAGATAAAAAAATGCTCATCATCACTGGCCATCAGAGAAATGCAAATCAAAACCACAATGAGATACCATCTCACACCAGTTAGAATGGCCATCAGTAAAAAGTCAGGAAACAACAGGTGATGGAGAGGATATGGAGAAATAGGAACACTTTTACACTGTTGGTGGGACTGTAAACTAGTTCAACCATTGTGGAAGTCAGTGTGGCGATTCCTCAGGGATCTAGAACTAGAAATATCATTTGGCCCAGCCATCCCATTACTGGGTATATACCCAAAGGATTATAAATCATGCAGCTATAAAGACACATGCACCCGTATGTTTATTGCAGCACTATTCACAATAGCAAAGACTTGGAACCAACCCAAATGTCCAACAACGATAGACCGGATTAAGAAAATGTGGCACATATACACCATGGAATACTATGCAGCCACAAAAAATGAAGAGTTCATGTCCTTTGTAGGGACATGGATGAAACTGGAAACCATCATTCTCAGCAAACTATCGCAAGGACAAAAAACCAAACATCGCTTGTTCTCACTCATAGTTGGGAATTGAACAATGAGAACACTTGGACACAGGAAGGGGAACATCATACTCTGGGGACTTTTGTGGGGTGGGGGGAGGGGGGAGGGATAGCATTAAGAGATATACCTAATGCTAAATGACGAGTTAATGGGTGCAGCACACCAACATGGCACATGTATACATGTGTAACACAGCTGCACATTGTGCACATGTACCCTATAACTTAAAGCATAATAATAATAATAATAATAATAATAATAATAATAATAATAATAAAGAAAGAAAAAAAAATCAGATTCTGCATAGCCATACCCTAGGGGGATACAGTATGAAAGAGCCAAGTCTATTAGTGGCAGGCAACCAATTTTCAATGCCTTCGGATAGGATTTTTCAACTTTTATGTGTGCCCCTTCTCATTTAATGTTCTAACACCTCATGGGCAGCCTTCGTGATGTAGTATAACCCTACTTGTATTCACTAATTGAATGTGCAAATAAAATACAAGGAGCTATTAAGACTTAAGTAACACATTTAAACAATTTTGCATTTTAGAAATCACAACAATATCTATACACAGTGAAAAAATAATAGTACACCTATGTGTAAGACTTGCTTTCTTTTGTTGGCAGACATTGTTTTACAGATATCTCACCGTAATTGTGCTAGTTCGGAAGGTCTGTGGCCAATAGGTTGGGAACTACCACAAATATACTCACTGTATTCAGGCCTTCAAACAATTTATTCACTCTTTCATTAAGTCAATATGTTCTTATACGCTTACTTTTTGCTAAGCACTATGCTAGTGGTGCATAAAGATAGTCGTGGTCTGTCCACAGTAAAACGTACATGGTTAGCCATTACTCGCTAGTACTCTTAGGCCCTTGGATGATCATTATAATTATATAATATTTAAAAGTAAAATAATATAATAATCTCTGTTCTTCAGATAAAGAAAGTGGGGTACACAGTTGTTCAATGATTTAGCAACATTTATACAGCTCATAAGTGATATAGCCAGGACTTGGACCTCTAAGACTCACAAAGGAAGCAGTTACGCGAAGGAGTTTTTAAATACAATGCTCTAAGTTTTCTAATATAGGATTTTACAAAGTTTTATGGGAGCTTATAGAATAGAGTGACAATCTGCCAACTCCTACAATAGATAAGTGCAAGGAAAGCATGATATTTGCAGAAAGAAGAGGGTTTGAGTCTCAGTCCATCCGCAAACAATTTATTTGACCTTTGACAATTGCTCAACCTCTGAATCTTGTGTATGTTTTTTTTTCTTCAGAAAAAAAAAATGAAAACAACACACCGCTTTTCACATTTTGTTTTGGTCTTTGATAAATAATAAATATCAAATATTTTCCAGATACTATGTTTAAGAATTACAGGACTATATTATGGAAGTGGTGGCGTAAAGTATATACTCAATAATTATTAATTTTATTCCTTAACTTTTGTTTTCCTAGAAAACTCTGAATTTATGGAGGTAGGAATTTGGAGAAAAGCTTTGTCATCTTTTTCAGGAGTGTTCATTTCACTTTGGTGTCTCTGGGACAAAGAACAGTTTTGACTCATTTCTGTGTCCTGGCTGTCTAGTTCACTGATCTGTAGCAGCTATAAATATTAGTTTGGCCGGGTGCCCTGGAGTCATAAGAAGTGAGGGGTAATTTTAGGTCTTGACTACTCTGTCGGCAACAAAAGCCTTAATTGGCAATCAATGTGTGTAAAGCCATTTAGGAAAGAATGAGTGGGCTGCACGTGGCCACAGGCTGCTCCTACAGTGGGATCACAGGGAACTTGCTCGAGAATCTGATGTTAGAGGATGTTTTACAGCTCCTGTTCTCCCTGCTGGAAGGACAGCTACCTTTTCACAGAATAGGTAAGCCATTCTGCTAACTGTAACATCACCATCATCCCCAACTCTGACATTTCTTACTAAATGAATACCAAGGATGAAGGATAGTGGGTTAAATCTTGAAATGGTATTTAAAGGGGGCCTGGGTTCCAGGCTCAGCCCTGTGTAATTTGTATAATTTAATTAGCATCTCTGGACTCCATTTTGTCCCTTTCTAAATGGAGGAAATGTGTATTAGAGTTGTCTATGCTCGTTGAAAATGATTATGTACTTCAACAACAATACATCGGTATATTCATATGTGGACTGCTTTCTGCATTTAGAAGACAGGCAGGCTCTAGGCATATGTTTATACTGGCATTTTCTTGTTAATTAATTCTTCATCCTTTTCTATTTGTGGTCAGGGAAATCTTCCATGTAGTGAAGAGGAAGGGATAAGGTTTAAAACCAAAGGGATAGGTTTAGCATAGTATGAAAACCTTTGAAGTGTTAGAGAAAATACAAGGAGGGTAAAAAGATTTGAAGGAAACTGGGGATTTTGCTGATTGTGTTGATGTTTTTGATTCTGTCTGTAACTAATTCAATTGGCAAACACATCAGGACTCTGGGCTAGGAGCAGTAAGGGGGAAAACAGATTTCTGTCAATTTCTCTCCTCAAGGGACTCAGATTCTCACTTGAGAAATGGGACGGATGGGGCAGAGCTGCCAAGGTAAGAAAAATAATCCCCTCCATTAGGCAGTGTATTCTTAAACCAGATAAGTGACATGGACATTGAGTTCAGATGTAGGAGATATGGGGTGACAAGGGAAAGAGTCTCAGCGAAGCCAGGCCTTAGAGGCAAGTAAATGTGATTCAGCTTGTCGACAGATGAGGAGAGGACATGTGCATTCCAAGTGAGGAGTAACCTGAGCCAAGAGGCATAGTTAGACAACCATGGCTGGATTGAAAAGTTCTTGTTATGAAATAATGGCAATTAGATGAAAGGTATGTATTAGTCACCTTGGAAATGATTTTTAACATTGAATTTAAAGAAAGTCAGCTGAAAAGTCAATGCAAATTATTGATGGTTGTGGCTAAGGTGGATCAGCCCTGAATGTGAAGTAGCCAATGCAGTGGCCTTCAGTACCAACTGTCCCCAACCCACCCTCCTTCTTTGCTCTTCATTTCCATTTTCATGAGACCAATAAACATGACCAAAATTGCCATTAGAAGAATTTGAAAGGAGTTCCATTTGCTGTTGGCCCTTCTTCCAGGCCTACCAGGTTTGTGGTGACCTTACACTGTCTTGCACATCCCCTTGGGGTAGCGTCCCATATCCCTGTCCTTTATCACCTGTTGAACTTCAACTGTATCTATACTGAAGCTTCCACTTGTGTCCCACCTCTGTTTCCTAAGACTCCAGTTGGCTAAATTGATAAAATGATTGAGCTAATGGCTCCAAATGAATTCAAAAGAGAGAGTTAGACTCCCCCCACTCCACACACACACTTTTTAGACACTAGATGTCAGGTTTGATTCTGGTCACTAGAAGTAGTTCTTTTGCACAAATCCAAAGAAGTAATCCTAATGGTAAGAAATACAAGCAGGACAGGGGGATGTACGGGAGCTTTCAGCTTTACCAGCAGGTGAATGCAGGAGATGCTCTGCTCAAAGTGTATCCTAACCTTGGAAGTCTTGCTGCAACTTTCTCCCTATGAAAAACACTACTCCCTTTCAAAGGTCAACTAAAATATCACCACCCTTGGGAAGACTTCTTCAACACCTAATAATAATTAACTGCTTGTTCTCCCTATCATCTTTAATAAAACTGTTTCTCTTATTATATTTAATTTACAAATGAGAAAAACCAAAGTTTAAAGCAGTTAAGGACATGTTCAAGATCACGGAGGTAGTAAGTGGTTAGAGACATGGGGTCAAAACTCTTAACAACCAGTTAATCCATTAAAATTTTATCTCTTCCTCCTCTGAGCCCCTGAAGCATTTTGCTTGTGCCTTTATCACAATAACAACTAGAACGGTCTGTTTTGGACTACGATAAAATGTATACTCCACAGTTGGCCTCAGTATATTACAAACTCCTTGAGTTTAAGTACCATGTCTTATTCATCATTTTATCACCCATAGTACCTATTGAGTACCTGATAAGAATAACGTGCTCAATAAGTTTCATTTGAACTATTGAAAATAAATCAAGAGAAAGCATGACAAAAATTTCCTTAAAGTTGTCATTGTTATTTTTTTCCATATTCACCTGTGGATATGTGTGTGTGTGTGTGTGTGTGTGTGTGTGTGTGTGTGTAAGATTCAGGGAAAACTTATCGGCCTAAGTTCATGTCAGATGCCTGTGATTTTGCCTGCTGTGCATAGTATGGAGGTAGAAAACACTGCAGAAATAGGTCCATGAAGCCACTGTTATTTTACAGAGGAAATAACCCTGAAATATCTATGGGCTGTATCCATAGAACTCCCAGAGAACAAAGCCAACTGCATTTCTAATGTATGTCCCTGACAGGATTCCCTCCACATTTATTATTTAGTGTAAATTATATGAAAATGATTTTTTAGCTTTCTCCTCCTGGCTTTATCTTTTATATAAAAAGGAATTCAACCCTAACTCCAGTTGTTTTCAGTAAGGGGTAGGGATTTTAGAGGAATTTTAGCTTCCCTTTCTCTTCTTGCAGTAAACACTATGCAGATAGGTTTTGGAAGATCAAAACGCATCTTGATGCAGGTTCAAGAGCGGCTCCCTTCTTCCCAGCTCAGTAGAGTAAAATACCCTTGAAAGATGTCCGTGGCCTTTCCTTGGCCTGAATTGCCAATCCAGATAGTCACTTTCTAGAATCAAAGCCCTGAGTCCAGACATTATTTACCCACCTCTTGTTTGGATGCTAGGTTTATTCCAAAACATCCTTCAGCTGAAAAAGTTGTTTCGAATCTGTGTCTAGGAGTATAATCTCCCCACTTCCCCCAGAAGCTGTCCAACTCTTTCTCTTAAACTAAAAAGTAGATACATTCTAGCACTATGCATAGCTCATTGTAGGTACTCACACCAGATATAGCCACACTTTATTTCTCTTACGCAGATTAACAAATTCACCAAATGTAAGTCACCTTCAAGAGACAGCAAAAGGAAGGCCCGAATCAGTTTTGTTTTCATTAGTGCTACACTTTGCCTCTGTCCAATTCAGGACCCACACATCTTTAATTCATATGTATCGCAGGCTAATAAGCAACAGAGAGATGGCTTAGTGTACAGGGTCTGGTATCAGAGAACTTGGATAAAATCCCAGCTCTGCAGCACATTACCTCTGTAAAATCAGAAAAGTTACCCAACCTCACTGAGTCTAGGTTTGTAATATGGATGTACCACAGTGACTGCCTCATAAGGCTGTTGAGAGGGTTAAATAAAAGAATGACCACAAAGCACTTAGCACACTGTCTGTTCTATACATTTGAGTTATCTCATAGTGTGTGTGTGTGTGTGTGTGTGTGTGTGTGTGTGTGTGTGTATTTTTCTGTGTTGCCCAGGCTGGTCTTGAACTCCTGGGCTTAAGTGATCTGCCCACCTAGGCCTCCTAAAGTGCTGAGATTACAAGTGTGAGCCACTGCACCTGACCTCATAGTGTTTTTATCATCATAATCAAGTTCTTCCCATGTCAAAGTGAAAAGGCAGCATGAGCTTGACTGCCCTTCTCATGTTACCATGTATCAGATGTGTGGGCTCAGGTAAGTCCCCGAATATCTCAGAACCTGAGTCTTACCTTCTCATGTGTAAAATGGCTAATAATAATAACCACTTCATTGGGTGGTCATGAGCACTGGATACTAATGTTTGTAAAAATCCTTAGCACATAGTCTCACTACACTAATGCACTTAATAAATATGATCATTACAATTTATTAGCAGGTATATGAGTATCATATTATTAGTAGTAGTAGTATCATAGTATTAGTATCATATTAATAATATTATCATCACATTATCATTAGCATGCATATGAGTATCATATTATTATTAGTAGGAGTATCATATTAGTATCATTAGTATCATATTAATATTATTATTATCACATTATCATTACTATCAGTCAATTGTATGCTTTTAGGAACAATGGCAGACTTCTCTAGAACATCCATCTCTGGCTTTCCCTAACTTTCCAAATGGTTTCAGATGCTGAACACCTAAAGCAGCACACCAGGTGGCATTATTTTGCCACTGGAAACACAATACCAGTGTGTGAGCAGAGTGACCAGCCATTTGGCTAAAAATATTTCCATGGAAACCTGCAACTGAGCTTCTCAGTCCTGGGAACTGTTCTCCTCCCTTCCTCTTTCTTTCACTCTCACGTATTGAGTATATAGGCATCTGCCACTAATGAATAACAGGAACCTTGATCCTAGGTTTAAACAATGCTCTCCTAAATTTATCTCTCTTCTGAGAGTTGTTTGAGTTCTTTTCTTTTCTCTCCCTATTTTAATTTTGTTGGGAAGACAGGTACCCTGCTCTGACTCAGTGATAGGCATCTCTTGTTTGTGACATGGTACTTTAGCGTTAGAGAGGAAAGACATTTGTACTCACTCTCTCTGCTTCCTCAGACTCTGTTTACTTCTCAGCAAATAAATGTCTGCTTTGTAACCCTTGCTCCCCAATGTGTACACACACATACAATTCTCTTTTTTCAAACACATGCTTCCTTAGATGACTAAAACTTATTAGACAATAACTTTTTCTGCTTTACCTCCTGTCTCTTTGATTGTTCCTTCTCGTTAATTTTGATGAGTTCCTTTCCTCCATGCTTATGAAAGATTTCTTCCAAATTCCACCTCCTTCTTCATAAATGTACACTTCCCCCAGGATCCTTGTCTTTATGAATAGATCCACTCATTTTCTCAAGCCAGTAAGCTGGACAGAGTCCTTGAATTCTTATTCTTCTCCATCAACAAAACCACACACACACACACACACACCAGAAATCACTAAGTTCTGTTGATCTCACTGTCTTATTATTTCTTGAATCCATATATATCTCCTTATTTTTATTACCCTAGTACAGGCCACCATATGTCTTACCTGAATTACTGCAACAGCCTCTTAATTTGTCCCCCATTGCTAATCTTATTTCATATCCTTCAAATTCGTGTCCATAGTTTAGCTAAAATGATCTTTCTAGAATGTATGTGTGATCTGTCTAGAGCACCATTTAAGCCTCCCAGTGCTTTCCTTGTCTCTCTAGCTTTTATCCGTCACCAAGCCCAAACTCCACATTCTGACCATAATACGTGCTTTCTAAGTTCCACCATGCCATGATCTCCTGTTTCCATACATGCCCTTTGCTCTTCTTTAAACCTCTCCTACTTGTTTCCTGTTATCTCAGTGTTATAAATAAAAAAAGAATAAAATAAAAATAAACCATCCTCACCTTCCTCAAAGAACTTAACTTCGCACACAACATAACCAGCTCCTTGTCCTGTGGGTTGCAGTGGCAAAAGTTGCTTCCTTCAGGAAGCCTTCCCGATATGCCCAGGGTTTAATCTGGTAATCCTCCTATGTGCTCACAGACTTACCCCATGAGAATATTCATCTACATTGTAATTGCCAATCAGCTTTCTGCATTCTTCACTGTAAAATTATTCATGATGAATAAGAAGGAACTATATAATTTTTATTCATGAATATAGATATAGGGGTGTGTGTGCGTGTGTGTGTGTGTGTGTGTGTGTGTGTGCGCGCCTCTGAGATTCCTCAGCACTGTGATTTGTTCCACCTTGGTAAAAAAGGGAAAGATGTGAAGAAATAAAGGAAATGGTCAAAGAAACCTAATCTAACCTCACAGATAGAATGAAGAGACGGATGCTGTCACACAGGACATCACCAAAAAAAAATCATTTACTAACATCTATGTGGATTTTATGCCTAGAAATTCTTGGCTGCTTGGTTTACTTTATAACTGCTAAGTTTTCATTCTTTTTCTTGCTTGTGTTTAATTGCCTGACTTTTAAACAGGTACATTTGTAGTTGTATTAGTTGAAATTTCAAGCATACCTGTAAACAACATTAAATGCCATTTTGTTTATGGAAAATATTGTGAGCCTTTTCCCCTCACATTATTTGTGTTCGTTGATGCTTTACTCAACACAACAGCAGTGTCCACACTACGAACCAAATGTTCAAATTATCTTGTGCTTATATCTCCAAAAGCACGAATTCCTACCTGTTAAGTTGCAATTATATCCTATTAGCATAAGTGTTTTAATTTTGGATCACTGTTTCTTCAGTCCCTAAATACATAATTGGGGGAGGGACACCTAACAAAAAGCTGACAACAAAATGAATCAAAATTTAGCCATCCTCCAGAGATTAAAACAGATAATCAACAATATGATAATTGGTCCAAGTTAGTTGCTTCAGTGTGCTTGAGTGATAAAGAGTTATGACTGGTGACAATTCTGATTATTAGAGTGATGACGATGATGATGATGATGATGATGATGATGATGATGATGGTAGTGGTGGTAAGGGTGATGATAGCCAACATTTTATAAGTTCCCATAATATGCCAGGCAAGATGAGACATCTTTTTACATTGATAATTTTCTTCCATACTTATGATAAGCCAGAAAGATAGATGCTTTCAGTATTACTATGATTCCTGTTTTACAGATGAGAAAACTGAGATTTGTAAATGTTAAGAAGGTCTTGCAGCTAGTTATAGGTTGGAAAGAAATCAAATTCAGATTATTTAATAAAAAAGACCTTGTGTATGACATCATGCCAAGGAAATTCTACCAAAGTGAGCTTTAATACTCATGGGGCCCTATCATCTTCTATTTAGATTTGTCAACATTAGCAGGCAACACTATTTACTTCTTTTCTTGGTATTTTGCTCATCATTACAATACATTATGAGGCTTCAGCTCTAGAAAGATCTGAGGAATAAAGAAGCAGTTTCCTTCAGGGCTTTTCTTATTTCAAAAATAGAATGCTTTGTTTAAAAATGCAAACATAGTACATGACTTTTTTCAAAAGTTATTGTACCAGATGCCATTTGTAACACATGATAAACAACCAAGACTTTAAAAATACAAACACTTAGGTATAATTTACTTTTACATTCAAATACTTAATTTATATCAGTCAATTCATAATTCCTCATCGGTCTTTTCCAAATTATTTACCTTCTCTATGCCTCCATATTCTGATTTGTATAGTACAATAATATTATTAGCAAGCTTACTGGGTTGTTGTAAGATTTAACAGAGATAACTTAAGCAAAGCACTTAGTACCATGTCTGAGACATATAGTAGGCACTCAGTGAAGGCCAACTATTGTTATTATTAGAACTTAAACATTAGAAATTCCTTTTATAATTTACCCTAAAGGCAATTAAACATTCTATAAGGTGATTTCAAAGTTAGAGAGCAGCTTGTCACCTATAACTCCTTTTGGTGGTTTGTCATATGTCTCAATAAGCCACAGCCAATTGTCCTCCTTGAAGATTTGTAAGCTTAAATAAATGGTATATCTGGCATTGCTTTCCTAATTTCTAATTAGCTATAAAAGTCTACTTCTCCTTCTGCCTAGCTTGCTTATTTAACCATGGAGCAGAGAACAGAAAGCTACTTGTAGAGATGTTTCTACAACAGCAGCAATAATTCTGTGACAGTTTTTAAATTTGAATTTCTGGGTCCAAATTTCTTTTTTTTTTTTCATACCTCATATGCATTAGGGTGCACATTTATTTCTTAGGCTTGGTGTGTATGACATACATACACATGCACACACACAAACACACACATACAAATACATAAGCATTTTTTTCTGCTTTTTTGGATGCCTGTGGGAGCCCTGTGGCATAGTTTCTGTATAGCTGGGCCTGGGCTTGACTCTTTCCATCAGAAATTTTCATCAACAACTCTTGACTTTACTAGCTGCTACTTGGCTTCATTGTTAGGCTATTTCCACACGGATATGGGATGATTGTGAAAAGTCAGGAGCTGTGACAGAGACAGTAATACACACCTTCCTTTTACTTGCAGTTCAGTGGGCTGTGTCATTAGTTCTAGACAGTGCACTGCAGAAGGAAGTGACCCATGTCACTCTCAGGCTGATGCAGTGAAAAGTTCATGCTTGAAGTCCCCCATGCCCAATATTATTTTATCTACAACATTGACCCAGAATTGTTCTACCTGCAATATTGACAAAAGAGGCCATGTGCCCCCAGTGGTACAGGTCCTTGATGATAATTTTAATCAGGCTGGACACATAAGTCACCATGTGGTGAACCTCTTAGAACTACGGTGAACTTTGTGTAAGAGAGAAATACAGAAATAAATCTTGAGATGTTAATCTCTAGTGATTTGGGGATTTTGTTATTATAACAAAAACATATTCTATCTTAACTAAAATGAAGGCTATCAACTTGATAGCTTACAAATCCTAAAGCAAAAGGTTGTCTCTCTCAATTGTTTTGCAGTGTATTTCATAGGATTCTTATAGGCCCGTATGAGTAACAAAATGATTCCTAAACCATCAATGTGACTGCTATGGATGAGTAATCTGAGTGTCTAGTCCTATGTGATGATCCACACCCTACTTGGAGAAGAAAGGATCTGAATATACTCAACATCATCAGATGGACTGGAAAGGACTACTCTGGAATGATGGAGGATTAGTTATCCAAAGCATGCTATGTTTATATAGTGGAGCTCTGATAGTTTCCTGAGACCCATCTCTTGTTGGCCTGTAGTGATCTTGCTCTAATAACAATATAGTGAAGAGGAATAATATATTTGCTCTTTCTAAAGTGCTTAAGTGACAGTTTGGATTTTTACTTTTGATCAAACACTTTACTAGAAACATGAACCATGCAGTGGGGATTGGAGAATGTTGTTAAATCCCAAAAGATACAACTAATCTTTTATTTTCTTTTATCAGCTACATGCAATGCCTCACCTTAAATTCAATTCAAAAAACCCATAAAGAGAACTTGCTAACTAAAATACATCGTGTTCAATGGTGTGGCGCAGTGGTTGCCAACCCTTTTGATACTAGGGACCAGTTTCGTGGAAGACATTTTTTTCCATGGACTAGGGGTGGGGAGGATAGTTTGGGGATGATTCAAGTGCATTACATTTTTTGTGCACTTTATTTCTATTATTATTACATTTTATATAATGAAATAATTATACAACTCACCATAATGTAGAATCAGTGGGAGCCCTGAGCTTGTTTTCTTGCAATTAAACAGTCCCATCTGGGGGTGATGGGAAAGAGTGACAGATCATCAGGCATTAGATTCTCATAAGGAGCATGCAGTCTAGATCCTTCGTATCCACAGTTCACAATAGAGTTTGAACTCTTATGAGAATCTAATGCTGTCACTGATCTGACAGGAGGTGGAGCTCAGGCAGTAATGTGAGTGATGGAGAGCAGCTGTAAATGCAGATGAAGCTTCACTTGCTTGCCTGCCACTCACCTCCTGCTGTGCGGTCCAGATCCTAACAGGGCATGGATCAGTACCAGTCCATGGCCCAGGGGTTGGGGACCACTGGTGTAGAGGATAGGGCCAGTGGGACAAAGCATGAGAATAGTTTGATTAATATAAATGGGAACCCAGAATAAGGAATACTTCTGATTTTTGGAAGTAGAAAAACTGAAAGGAAAAAGAAGAACAATTGGGATGGGCCCTGAATAGTTAACATGATGTCTACAGCTAGAAAATGGATAAAATGCCTTTCCAGCCTTGGAGACCAGCATGGGAAAGAAGCATGAGTCTTTATGGTTGTTGGTGCCATGGGAGAATGGTCCCAAAGTGTACAGGATGGGCAGGAAACAAATGATAGGCTAAAAGGGTGATTGAACAGAATCTAACAGGGACTTTTACAGGTAGTGGGATGGATTTATGGAATTCAGGAAAGGCTGGTACAATGCCCCATGACTAGCAATAGCAAAGAAATAGTCAAGTCAGATAATCTGGGACAATATTGGCACTCAGCACGTTAAATTGGTGTTTGTAAGACAGAGTTTCTCAGGTCTTTTAATATACTGATGTACACTCTGAATCTCATAAAAGTGGAATATAATAATATAGCATTTCCAAAATGCATTTGACCATGAAACTTTTGAAATACAGCATCTCTTGGTACTATATAGAGCTCGGTGATGCATATTCAGGAATGATGGCTTGGCATAAACTCATTTATTCTGTTTTGTCTGACTATGTATTATATACTTACATCGTATATTTTAAGCTATTGAGAACAGGAAGGTTCCTTCTGAATTCTTTTCTACCCCATAGCACTTTATTGCTGGTGGGTTGTAGATGGTGAGCAAAGAAGAGGCCTCTATCTGAAAGGGATCAAAGAGTCAAAGTAGGGCATGGAGACATACAGGTAAAGCTGAATTGTGGGCAGTGGTGTTATTGAAGAACAGTAATTAGAAAGGTACATGGTACTTTTGAAAAGATTAAGCCACATGGAGGAATCAAGTTAGAAGTGAAAGTTGTAAAAAGACCTTTAGGATGGTGTGGTAGCCATACACAGAAAATGTGGCCAGTTTGCCAAAGCAGTAAGCAGCTTCGTGGGACAAAAAACAATAGTGTCCTTTTTTATGGCTGCATAGTATTCCATGGTGTATAACGTACCACATTTTCTTTTCCAGTCTATCATTGATGGGCATTTGGGTTGAGTCCATGTCTTTGCTATTGTGAATAGTGCTGCAATTCAGGGACATGAATGGAGCTGGAAGCCATTATCCTCAGCAAACTAACACAGGAACAGAAAACCAAATACCACATGTTCTCACTTATAAGAGGGAGTTGAACAATGAGAACACAGGGACACAGGGAGGAGAACAACACACACTGGGGCCTGTCGGTGGCAGAGGTTTGGGAGAGGGAGAGCATCAGGATAAATAGCTAATGCATGTGGGGCTTAACACCTAGGCGATGGGTTGATAGCTACAGCAAACCACCATGGCACACATTTACCTATGTAACAAACCTGCATGTCCTGCACATGTATCCCAGAACTTAAAATTAAATTAAAAGAAATTAAAAAATAACAATAGTGTCAATGAGGATGAATGGAATTTATCCCCCAAAAGCATGTTCCTTTTCATGTCTCAGGCTCCTTCTCCCATGGCCATTTATTTTTTATCCTAAATGTATGTAAAATTGAATGTTGTGCTTAGCACTGTATTTTCTAAAAAAACATTGTAACTGGTGGAAATCCAAGAATCATTTGCCAATGACTGAAGAGTAATGTAATAGTTTATCAATGTATCACTCAAAGATTCAGTGAACAGAATATTTACTATTATTTGCACAGAATGGTGTTACCTACTCCCTTCTCCCATATTTTATAAATAACAAAAGTAAAGCAGAGTGTGCAGGATGCCAAAAATAGTGTTTAAATGACTGAAACAGGAAATCAGAAAGGAAGGATCCTTTTGAAATATATATAATTAAAACAGGACAGACATTCTTTAACTAATATTCCATATGCAGTGTATGCACAGAGTACACACAGACAGCCAATATTTTCTATTCTCTCATCTCTTTGTCTATTCCAGATCCCTGCTCAGGAACCCACTGTGGGCCAATCAACAGCTTCCCAAAACGAGTCAGGGAGTTCCAGAAGCTCCCATTCCGGTGCCAGCTGAGAATCCATTTGGATAATAACGGAGTAAAAACTCTGGTTTGGAGAAAGTTTCTGTAATGTTTTTCTTTTTCCTTTTTGGTGGAAGGGAGAATAAAGGAGGATATTGCCTGGTAAGCATGCAAAGAAAAAAAGTCACGCCAATTTCACTAGAATTGCCCAGAACCTCAACTCTGGTGAACTGCAGGTGACAACACTTCACACTGTTTACATGATTGGGGCTTCCCTGGAAACTGCGCTGACCCTGAGATGATTGAACATTTAGAGTAAAACCCTTGATGTAGTTCATAAAATTGGATTCAAATGAAAAGTTTAATGTGGAGTCATTCAAAAATAACACTAAGAGCTCTTCCCTGAATTCAAAAGAAAAAGGAAGGAAAACATGTTAGTCTTAGCAGGAGCCAAGGCTGCAGGTGGGGGAAGATGGAGAGGACAGTGTTTGGGTTTTATTATGTTTACTTTTCTCTTACGGAAGAATAGAAGATGGATGACTTGATGCCTGAGGTAATTCAGTATGTTTCACCAATTTGGAGATGGTCATTTGTCCATACTTAAGTCTCAGTAATTATGTTGAAATATTATAATTTCTGTAAGCTGGGAAGGTTACAATGTGGTGGTTGTCATTGCCCGGGCATGCACAAACTTGGTCGTGATTCCTGGTGGCATGATTAGACAGACAACTGCAACCCCTTGACACTTAATTCCAGAAATCATTTAAGAATCACTTGAAAAAGGAATATATTATTGTTCTCCTTCCAATAACCAAGTGTCTTCTGAAAACCTTTCATTGTCACTTTCTGGTAATTGAACAATGAGAACACATGGACACAGGAAGGGGAACATCACACACTGGGAACTGTTGTGGGGTGGGGGGAGGGGGGAGGGATAGCATTGGGAGATATACCTAATGCTAAATGACGAGTTAATGGGTGCAGCACACCAACATGGCACATGTATGCATATGTAACAACCCTGCACATTGTGCACATGTACCCTAAAACTTAAAATATAATAATAATAAAATTTAAAAAAAAAGAAAAAGGAATATATTGTTGTTGTCCTTCCAATAACCGAGTGTCTTCTGAAAACCTTTCATTGTCACTTTCTGGTAATACACAAGGACCAGAATTTCCTGAGTGAGCATTAGCAGCACAGAAGAAATCTGGGAGATAATGGTGGAGCTCTGTTAAGAAACGCTACATCATCAACATTGTTAACACATTTAATGGCACGAAGGATTATATTAAAATAAAATATATAGCTAGTGATGACTCTGAGTCAGAGTGATTCAAAAGAATAAAATTCTGGATGTGAAGAAGTTTAGGACATCTTAAACCTATTTATTTTATTTTATTTTATTACATATACACAAGACTGATATAAGATAGCAATCAATGTCTATATAAATTTAAAAGATCCACTTCAACAAGTATTAAAGTATCAATCTAAATGAAAATGATATATTGTTTTAAATTTTAATTGGCATTATTACTTCTTTCTTAAGTGTGCATTTTTTTAAACAGCTTATCTGGCAACTGACAGTGTCTTACATTCCATAGAAAACAGTAGAATAGTAGATTTCTTTCTCCTGAATGTTGTTTTCCTGACATTAAAGATGCCAAAGGCAGTTGCAGATTAAACTGGGGTTGCAGCACAAGTTGTGACCCATCCATCCTGTTCTCCCAGAATCAGAACTGTTCCTACTTGACCTTATCCCTTCTGCTAGGAACATCTTGGCTTCAGCAAAATCACCACCCACCCTGAGAATGAGTTCCCATTAAGCCATCAATGTCCATGACCCAATATGCTACCTCAGCTATATGAATCAACTGCACTGCCTGTTTCACCACTGGCCCAATGGCAAGCAGCTGCCACCAAATTCTCCCTTTTTCCCTATCCTGCTGAAGATTAAGTTTCCATACTTCTAGATCACTCTAATGGGCTATCACAAAACTTTTCCATTAGAAATGTCTTATTGAATGAACACACTCCTTTCTACTCCAATTGCTGTTATAAAGTTGAAATTGAATTGTACAAGATTATAGAGAAGTGCACCCACACACATACACACAAACACATGCACTCACACTTCCCTTTTTCTTCTTCCTTTTATCATAGGAGAAATAATTTTTAGGGCTCTCCATGTTCAACTTTCTTTTTTCTCTTCTTATTACCAAAAGGTAGTAGCACTTACGCTTAAAAAAACAAACTAAGATTTATCCATAAATGGTAATTTTTTTTGTCTTTGAATAGTTTCCCTGCTTTGTCAGCAAATTAAGTGTTTACCTGCAGTCCTTCATTGCATTACCAGGTTTAAAAAATCACTCCTGCCATCACAGTGAAGAAAAATGATGACTACAAAGAAATAATTATTAGAAACTTGAAATGAATCATTCTTTTATGATCCTGCACAAAGACTGCAGATCTCCCTAAGGGAGATGACCAGAGAAATATTTAAGTCTGTCTCTTTCAGTTAACATTTTTATCTAGAAATTGACATAAGGCTGAAAAAAAAAGGACAGTATTGAGTCATGAGCTAATTTTGTTATTGTTATTTGAAAGATCTCAGGGAAAACATGTTGATATCTACAGAGGAAGAAATGTGTCTGAAGTTTACAATAGTTGATTATTTTTTCATGATAAAAATGAAAAATTCAGCTCTTTAATGTTCTCTCTTAAAATACTGAGCTGCAGACCCCTTGAGATAAACAATTTTATGTGTTCAGTTACTTCCACTGTGATTAGGTCAGTAATCTATCATTTATTGCAATTGTCTCAGGGTAATGTGAATAATTAAATTTTTTACATAATAGAAAAATAAAAACCTTTAAGTTTATAGCTGACCAGTAGCAAAGTTAATTTAAGATGTATTAACATTTTCCTACCTTAGTAAAAAATGTAAATGAAATATAATTTCGCTTCTCATTGATAATAGCATTATTATAAGCATAAATTACTATATATCCTGGGAAACTGCTCTTCTTTTCTGGTCCTCAGATTCCTCATCTGTGAAAAAGGGAGAAGGGTTAACTAGGACAATTTTAAGGTCATTTCATGCTTTGGGAATCTATACTTTTATTCTGTTGGGAACATTAACATTTTAGGCTGGGATAAAGCCATCGGTCTTCTCCCTTATGTCAAAAACTCCAACTGAGAGTGTATTTACAGGTGAAGTGGAAATAACAGCATAGCTAATCTGACATCTATACAATCTTTGTGAAGTCACCAATTCTGGGTCACAGTTTCCTTATCTGTAAAGAGGAGCAACCATATGAGGGGTTCATAAAGCTCTAAATTATTATTTTTAATGACACAAGTTTAAACACACAGAAGTCAGTGGAAATTGGAGACATTTTTAGACTCTTTGGCTTACTATTGTGGAAAGCAATTTTAAAGTGAAATCACAAGTGATATTCTAAGCAAACTTCATCTGTGGCATACAGGTAGAGAGTAAAACTTCTGTTGTATTTCCTCCTGCCCTTTCAATGCCTGCCATACTAATAGAACTCAGATCTCTCCTAATGTTTGCATCAGTAAACTAGTGCATTAGCAAATACACATCAAGTGCCTATTTTATGCAAGGCATAGTTTTAGGAGTTGACATGCCTATCATAGAGGGACACAATCTGATCAATTTATTCAAACTAAGCTTAGGGACTCCTAGGAATTGTTTCAGGTTACTTTCAGCAGGGAAACAATTAGAAGCACAGATGACCCTTCTGGCAGTGGAAAATCTGCTCCCTCTGTGATTAACGGTCCAATTAACAAGGCTAGTTTAGTTGTTACCATAGAATTATTTGCAGGTGCAAGTATTTGTGAAGGTAATTTTAAATTGGCTTAGATTTGCCTGGTCAGGAACAATCATATACATGTATTTTTAAGTTATTCTGGTGGGACCATTTGGGGCAGAAAAAATATTGCCTAAGTTCCCAGGATATTTGAAACCAACAAAAGAAAATGATTTTTTAAAAAAATATAACACCCAAACTCTCTTGTTTTTAGATCAAAGGAATATTTAGAAACTTCCCACTGGTTATCGTTTTGACACTTTAAATTTTTTTTCTTCAAACATATGTAAATATCTGAAGTTATATAATCCCCATAATACTGGCTTATATTATTACTTCCACTTTTGAATTTAATTGTTTAGTATTCATGTGGCACATAGGATTTGTAAATCAGTTTACAATAATTAATTTGTTGAAGAAAAACACAGATGGATATTTTGGTATTCAAATTATATTGCACCTTGGTTTTTCTTTAAATATGTATACATATATATTACCAAACTGTTTTATAATTATGAAAATTATAGTTATTTTTTTCAAACTGACTTTCTATTTCCACCAAAACTCTATCATTTTACTCTTCTAAATATGATGTATTTTGGCAAATAAATATCAACAATTGCAACTTTATAAATTCCTCGGTATCACAGACATTGATGTAAAAGCATTTTTCCACAGCCCTTCCTTCACCAAGGGGTTATATTTTGCAGGCATTTAAGAAGATTCTCTTGAACAAATAAATGAATGAATAAACATGTTTTTTTTCTCTGACACTTTGTTCCATTTTTACATTGCTTGATGTTTATGAGCTCTTTTTCACATCTCTGAACCAGGCATTCCTGATCAGTAATAATGTATGTTACCATCTGTTTCTTTACCCTTTCTCTCTTCTTTAGATACATGCAGATATCATGGTATAGTAAATCCCATAAATGTTAGGTGACACAGCACATCTAATGATAAAAACAGCTTAGCTTGGAAGAAGAGAACATAAATACAGGCATACCTTAGAGATATTGCAGGCTTGGTTCCAGACTCCCACAAAAAGTGAATATTGAAATAAAGTGAGTCACAATTTTTTTTTGTTTCTCAGTGCACTTAAAGGTTATGTTTACACTATGGTATAGTCTATTAAGTGTGCAATAGCATCATAGCTAGAAAAATCACATATATACCTTAATTAAAAATACTTTATTGCTTAAAAATGGTAACAATTATCTGAGCCTTCTGCAGGTTGTAATCTTTTTGCTAGTGGAAGGTCTTGCCTTGATGTTGATGGCTGCTGACTTATCAGGGAAGTGGTTACTGTGGCAATTTCTTAAGATAAGGCAACAATGAAGTTTGCTGCATCAATTTATTCTACCTTTTGTAAAAGATTTCTCTGTAACACCTGATGCTGTTTGACAGTATTTTACCAATAGTAGAACTTCTTTCAAAATTGGAGTCAATTCTATCAAATCTTGATGCTGCTTTTTCAATGATTTTTATCTAATATTCTAAATTTTTGTCATTTCAACAATGTTCAAAGCATCTTCACCAAGAGTGGATTCCATTTCAAGAAAACACTATCTTTGCTCGTCCATAAGAAGCAACTGCGCAATTATTCAAGTTTTATTATAAGATTGCAGCAACTTAATCACATTTTCAGGCTCTACTTCTAATTCTAGTTCTCTTACCATTTCCACCACATCTGCAGTGACTTCCTCTACTGAAGTCTTGAATCAACAAGTCATCTATAAAGGTTGGAATCAACTTCTTCTAAACTTCTGTTCATGTTGATATTTTGACCTCCTCCCATGAATGTTGTTAACAGCATCTAGAATGATGAATTCTTTCCAGTGGGTTTTAAATGTATTTTCCCCAGATCTATTAGAGGAATCACTGCCTATGGCAGCTATAGCATTATGAAATGTTTTTGTAAAAATAGTAAGACTTGAAGGTTGAAATTACTCCTTGACCAGTAGACCTCAGAATGGCTATTATTTTAGCAGGTATGAAAATAATATTCATTTTCTTATACATCTCCATCAGAGCTCTTGGGTTGACTAGGTGCACTGCAATATGCAATAAGATTTTAAAAGAAATCTCTTTTTTTTCTGAGCAGTAGGTCTCAACAGTAGGCTTAAAATATTTTATAAATCATGCTTCATACAGATGTGCTGTCATCCAGGCTTTATTCTTCCATTTACAAAAGCATAGGCAGAGCAGATTTAGCATAATTTTTAAGGGCTCTTGGATTTTTGGAATAGTATGTGTACATTGGGCCCCAACTTGAAATCACCAGCTACAATAGACCCTAACAAGAGGCTCAGCCTGTCCTTTGAAGCTTTGAAGCCAGGCTTTAACTTCTCCTCTCTAGCTGTGAGGGTTCTACATGGCATTTTCATATAATATAAGGCTGTTTGGTCTACATTGAAAATGTGTTGTTTAGTGTAGCCACCTTCATTGAAGATCTTAGCTGGATCTTCTAGATAACTTGCTACAGTTTCTCCATCAGCACTTGCTGCTTCACTTGGCATTTTAATGTTATGGAGATGCCTTCTTTTCTTAAACCTCCATAAATGAGTTATTTGAGAAAATCAATACAATTTAGTATTAGTCTGACTCTAGTCAGACCAATGAGGAACAAGAGAGAGAAATAACACATATATAAATTACTATGATCAACATCAAGATGAGAGGGAAGATATTACTAAAAATTCTTAAGGCATTAAAAGATTAATAAAAATATGAGAAATGTTATGTCAATATATTTGATAACTTAGATGTAATGGACAAATTCATTGAAAGACATAAACCACCGAGCTTGCTCATGAAGAAAAAGATAAACTCATAGTTCCATATATATATGTATGTATGTATGTATATATGTGTGTGTGTGTGTGTGTGTGTGTGTGTGTGTGTGTATATATATATATATATATATATATATATAGTACATTCAATGAGTAGTTAAATTCTTTTCCACAATAAAACTCCAGACATAGATGGTATCACTGGTGAATTACACCAAGTATTTAAGGATAAACAATATTACTCTATATAAAATTTTTCCCTAAGTTGAAAAGGATAGAACACTTCTCAACTAATATAATAAAGCCATTACTCATATAATGAGGCCCATAATCAGCATTACTCAGATACCACAATGAAAGATATTACAAGAAATATATGTATCAATAACCCTCATGAACTTAGACTAAACAATTCTCTTTAAAAATTTAGCAAATCAAATCCAACAATATACAAAAATGATAATACATAACAAAGGGTCGGCAGTGTTGGGGGTGGTTATCCTGGGAAGGGAAGAATGATTTAACATTCAAAAATAAATTAATGCAATTTACCTCTATCACAAAAATGAAAAAGAAACACCATATGACTACCTCAATAGATTTAGAAATAGTGTTTGACAAAATCCCACATTCATTTTGATAAAACTACAAGAAAAGCTAGGAATAAA
The DNA here is from genome assembly GCF_000001405.40 of Homo sapiens. Lineage (NCBI taxonomy): Eukaryota > Metazoa > Chordata > Mammalia > Primates > Hominidae > Homo > Homo sapiens. The sequence continues at coordinate 105,454,291 of NC_000010.11, read as the reverse complement.
AGAGATCTTCCTCAACCTTAATGAAGAGAATCTACAAAAAGCCTACAGCTAACATTACACTTAATATTCAAAGACTGAATACTTGCCTTCTAAGATCAGGAACAAAGCAATAACTTAATCATAAGAGCAATGGAGTTTCAGACAAGGTTCAATTCTCAGTCCTGACAAGTCTTCTTTACCAATGTTAAGGCCCTAATAGAGATAGAAGATGAAGTTGAAAGTGTATTAGGTTCCTCTCAACCTGCACAGTTTGCTGAAGTGTTTCTCTTTCCTTTGTTAGAAAAGAGTAGCCCAACCCTCCTTGAAGATCATAAAGAGGCTTTATTTGAGCAGTTGCCTTACAAGCCATCACTCAGACAAGTGATAATTATAGAGTGAATATACAACAAAATGCTTGAAAAACCACCAGCCAATTGTGTTCTGTAGGAAAGTTCCAAAGATACTTCATTTGCCAACATGACAAAGAATGTGCTGATGGCAAATACATCAACATCATTGAGAATCTCAGTGGTAGCTCTCTACTCTGTAGGACAGAGGTAAGAGTGGAAAATTCTGGTACAGAAATTAGTTCTCCGATAATAATGAGCATGACAAAGTCCCAAAATAATAGAGGCCAAGTGGCTATACCTAGCCATCCAAAGCAAGTAGACACAACTAACACAAGGATGAGCAAGACCAGAGTGGCAGTCACAGAGGCCCAAGTTAGAAAGAGCTATGGAGACATTTAATAGAGCATGACATCTCTAGAGGGAAAATAGATGAGTATTTAACATGGACATTGCTTAATTTATATGATTAAAAGAAATCAAGGATGGATGGGCTAAAGGCTGGTGGTAGCTACACCAATCTAAAAAAATTATTTGACTAGTTTCAAGATTTGAGATATTTTTCATACTGAGAACACATTGAAGAAGGACTATAAACACTGTTGCAAGGAAATTCAGAAGTAACTTTCCAAAAAGATCTGTGCTCATTTACTCAGGTGAACATGCATTGGAGGAAGGGAAATATTCAGGATTATGAGCATCAGACACATGGATTGCTGGACACATGGTCTGAATTGTCATTGATGTGGCTTAGAGGGGGACATATAGGAGCCAGATAATAAATGAAATTCTGGCCTCGGTCTTAGTCAAAGTGGCTCCAGTAGGTTTACAGAAAAATTTGGTGGTCGTTTTCCCAGTTCTGAGATGTATGTTTGGAATGGACATATGTGTAGTTGCCAGCATTTGCTATGGTTTGAATGTTTGTTCCCTCTAAAACTCATGTTAAAATTTAATTGTCATTCTGATGGCATTGGAAAGTGGGACTGTTAAGAGGTGTTTGGTCATGAGGGCTCTGCCTTCAGGAGTGGACTAATGCCATTAGTACAAGAGTGGATTCTCCTCCTCTTGTTCTCTCTCACTTTCTCTTGGCCCGTTCTACCTCTTACCATGTGAGCACCCAGACATCCCCCTTTAAAGGATGCAGCATGCAAGGTCCAAACTTGGATGAAGAGAATAGCCTCACCAGACACCAGACCTGCTAGTGCCTTGACCTTAGACTTCCTAGACTCCAGAACTGTAAGCCAATACATTTCTGTTCTTTATAAATAACCCAGTCTCAGGTATTTTACTCCAGTAGCACAAAACAGACAAAGGAACATATCAGTAATGGTTCTTTGACCTAGGTAAAGAACTATTATAGTAAGTTAGACTAAATGAATATCTTTAAAATCAAACCCCTCCTACCCAAAAAGATAACAAAAAATAATACTGCATCCTAGGTGAAATGAGATACATAGTGCCACCCTCAAAGATACAGAAAAGGTCCCAACCAGAGCAATTAGGTAAGATAGAGAGATAAAAGGCATTCAAACTGGAAAGGAAGACATTAAGTTGTCCCCGTTTGCAGATGACACGATCTTATATAGAAAAAACCCTAAAGACTCCACCAAAAAATTCTTAGAACTAATAAACTAGCCCAGTAAAGTTTCAGGATACAAATAAACATACAAAAATCAATAGCATTCCAATACACTGAAAACAAACTATCTGAAAAAGAAATCAAACTTACAATGGCTACAAAAATATAAAATACTTAGGAATAAATTTAACCAAGGCGATGGAAGACCTGTACATTAAAAACTAGAAAATAATGGTGAAAAAAATTGAATAAGACACAAATGAATAAAAAGATATCCCATGTTCATGGATTAGAAATATTGTTAAAATTAATCTAGTTAAAATTTCCATAATATCCAAAGTGATCTACTGATTCAATGCAATCCTTTTCAAAATTATGACTATTTTTTTTACAGAAATAGAAAAAAATTCTAAAATTTGCATGGTACCACAAAAGACCTCAAACAGCCAAAGAAATTTTGAGCACAAGGAACAAAGCCGGAGGCATCACACTGCCTGACTTAAAAATATACTACAAATCTATAGTAATCAAAAATAGCATGATGCTGGAATAAAAAGAGACAGAATAATGGAACAGAAGAGATAGCCCAATAATAAATCCACCCATTTTATGGTCAATTTTACAAAGGTACTAAGAAAACACAATGGGGAAAGTACACTTTCTTCAATAAGTAATATTGAGGTAACTGGATATTCACATGCAGAAGAATGAAGTTAAACCCTTATCTTATACTATACAAAAAAGCCAAATAAAAATGAATTCAGACTTAAATGTAAGACCTGAAACTGTAAAACTGGTAGAAGAAAACATAAAGGAAAAGCTCCATGACATTGATGTGGGCAATGATTTTTTTATATGAACCCCAAAGCACAGAAAACAAAAGCAAAAATAGACAATTGGAATTACACAAAACTAAAAAGCTTCTGCACAGCCAAGAATATAGTCGACAGAGAGAAGAGACAACCTAAAGAATGGAAGAAAATAATCTGTAAGCCACACATCTGATAATAGATTAATATTGAAAATATATAAGAAACTCGCATAACTCAATAGTAAGAAAACAAATAACCCAACCAGAAAATGGCCAAAGGATTTGAATAGACATTTCTTAAAAGAAAACATACAAATGACCAAGATGTATGTGAAAAAAATGCTCAACATTAATCATCAAAGACATGTGAATTCAAACCACAATGAGATATGGTCTCATATCTGTTAGAATGGCTATTACCTAAAAGACAAAAGGAAAGTGGTAGAAAGGATGTGGAGAAGAGGAAACGTTTGCACATTGTTGGTAGGAATGTAAACCAGTACAGCCATTATTTAAAACAGTATGGAGGATTCTCAAAAAATTAAAAATAGAACTGCAGTATGCCCTAGGAATCCCACTAGTGGGTATATATCTAAAGGAAATCAGTATGTCAAAGAGATTTCTGCACTCCCATGTTTATTGTAGCACTATACACAATAACCAAAATATGGGATCAACCTAAGTGTTCATTGATAGATGAATGGGCTAAGAAATGTGATCTATATACACAATGGAATACAATTCAACCATAAAAATAATGAAATCACGTCATTTGCAGCAACATGAATGAACTTGGAGGACATTATGTTAAGTGAAATAAGCAAGGCACAGAATGACAAATACCACATGATCTCATCATATCTGGGATATGGGATTGGGATATTTGTTTTCATATCTGGAATTTAACAAAGCTCATCCCACAGAAGTAGAATAGAATGGTGGTTACCAGAGAAGGAGGTGGTTGAGGGGAGATGTTGGTCAAAGGATACATAATTTCTGTTGGATAGGAGAAATAAGTTTAAAAAATCTATTGTAAAACATGATGGGTATAGTTAATAAGAAGACATTATGCTACTGAAAATTGTTAAGAGAATAGATTTTGAGTATAGTCACAAAAATGAAAATTATGTGAGAAAATGAATGTGCCATTTCACAATGTACACAAATTTCAAAAGATGTTGCATGTGATAAATGTATATAATTTCTATGTGTCAATTAAAAACTACGTTTTTAAAATTGAAATAAAATTAACAAGAAAAGACAATGAAGGAAGTTAGCCTTTGTTATATCTTTATTTAATTTACCACTCTAGTCTCTAAGAACAATATGGATCATAGTATGTGAAAGTAGGTTACTGTAAAATTAACCAGGTAGTAGTATCAACTGCAGAGTTACATCACCTCCTGCTTGTAGGATGTGGGCGCTGAACCAATGAATGTTTATGTCTCATCACCATCAGGAAGGAGAATCAGAAGCAGGCCACCTTTATGTGGTAAAGACAATAAACACTTATGGTCTTTCCTAGGATTATATTAACACTCACACCCTTTGTCATAACATGTCCAAGCGTACTCGGATCATCTGCACATCCTGCAGAACATCACACTGATACACCATATCAGAGGCATTACTCTAATAAGACTGAAGGAGTGGCAAGATGTGGCAAATTGGAGGCTATAGTCAGACATACATGCTCCAAAATGGTGACATCAGTAAAGTTTTGAGGGATTTAGTAGTCTAGGGCATGTGAGGTCATTCCCTTCATGGTAAGAAATAGATTATACCTCCCACCAATCAGAAACTAGCAAAATGATTGATAGGCCTCTTCATGTTCTGAAGGCAGCATATTCCACACTTGGAAATACTATTTTGACCAATTTACCTGGTACTATGATCATTTTCCAGCTTGAATAAGGCTGACAGAAATAGCGCTACAATTGGTCCAGGCTGCTATACAAACTATTCTGTCACTTGGGCTGTGTTAACAAGCAGACCCTAATATATTGGGGTACAAGTTTCCATGTAGAATTTATGATGAGTCCAAATAGAAGAATCACAACATAGACTGCTAGGGCTCTGGGGCAAGTCTATGCCATCTGCAGCAGAAAACTACACACCATTTGAAAAGCACAAGACATGCTACTAGGCCCTGATAGAAAATGAACCTTTAAGCATGAGACATCAAGTGACCATATGGCCAGAGATGCCTATGATAAGTGAGTTATTTCAGACCAATTAAGCATAAAGTCAGGTGGTCCCAGCAGCAATCTATTGTAGGATTGAAGTGGTATACCTGCGCTGGAGCACTAGAAGGGCCAGAGGGCATAAGTAAGCTATGAAAGCAGCATCCCAGATCCCCATATTTTCAACCACTGTTTCACTGGTGCCTCTCCATTAGCTCACACTTATGGCCATGCCAGTATTCTTTATTATCAACAGAGAAAGGAAAAATATTTGGCTGTGTTCATGGATAAGTCAGTTTAGTGTGTCAGTGAGAGCTGAAATGTACTGCATGTGCACCATAACCCCACTCAGGAGTGGCCCTGTAAGAGAGCAGTGGAACAAATTCTTCTCAGGGCAAAGCCCCGGGTATTGCACCTGATCATCCAAGTATTATGGAATGAGAAGTGACCTGAAATAATAATGTACATGGACACATAGGCAATGTCAAGTGACCTGGATGGTTGAGCAGAGTCCTGGAAAGAGAAAAACTGGAATAGCAAAGGCAAGGAAACTTGTAAAGAAGAATGTAGATAGATCTACAGGGGTGGACCCATGTTGTATCACATGTTGAAGCCCACCAAGAGTATTCACCATTTAAAAAGCACTGAACCTAGAAAGACATTTCATGCTCATGTTTATGAAGAATCAATATTGTTAAAATGTTTATACTTCCCAAGACTATCTATAGATTCAATACAATTTCTATCAAATAACTAATGTCATGCTTCACAGAATTAGAAAAACTATTGTAAAATTAATGTGTAACTAAAAAATAGCCCAGATAGCCAAAGCAATCCCAGGCTAAAAGAACAAAACCACAGGCACTCCTACATTACCTGAGTTCAAATTATACTACAAGGCTACAGTAGCCAAAACAGCATTGTACTGTTACAAAAAATTAACATATAGACTAATGGAACAGCATAAAGAACCTAGAAATAAAGCAGCATACACACAACCAACTGATCTTCAACAAAATTAACAAAAATTAACAATGGGGAAGGGACACCCTATTCAACAAATGGTGCTGGCAAAACTGGCTAACCGTATGCAGAAGAATGAAACTGGACCCATAACTGTCACCGTATACAGAAATTAAGTCAAGATGGATTAAACACTTACATGTAAAACTTCAAACTATAAAAATCCTAGAAGAAAACCTAAGGAATACTCTTCTGGACATTGACCTAAGCAAAGAATTTATGGCTAAGTCTTCAAAAGCAAATGCAACAAAAACAAAAATTGACAATTGGGACTTAATTAAACTTAAGACCTTCTGTGCATTAAAAGAAACTGTAAGTAGAATAAACCAACAACCCACAGAATGGGAGAAATACTTGCAAACTATGCATCTGACAAAGATTAATATCCAGAATCTAGAAGAAACAAACAAATCAATAAGAAAACAAACAAAAAAACAAAAATGGGCAAAGGACATGAACAGATACTTTTCAATAAAAGACATACAAGCAGCCAACAAACAAGTGAAAAAACGTTCAACCTCACTGATCATCAGAGAAATGCAAATCAAAACCATAATGAGATACCATCTTACACCAGTCAGAATGACTATTATCAAAAAGTCAAAAGATAACAGATGCTGGGTGCAGTGACTCACGCCTGTAATCCCAGCACTTTGGGACACCAAGGTGGATGGATCACTTGAGGCCAGGAGTTTGAGACCAGCCTGGTTAACATGGTGTAACCCCGTTTCTACTAAAAAATTCAAACATTGTCCACCTCAGTGCTGGCACAATGGATATATAAACAGAGCAGCACGATAGTGTGGTGGTGCATGACTCTAATCCCAGCTACTTGGGAGGCTGAGGCAGGATAATTGCTTGAACCCAGGTGGCAGAGACTCCAGTGAGCAGAGATCATGCCACTGCACTTCAGCCTGGGTAACAGAGCAAGACTCAATCTCAAAAATAATAATAATAAATGAAAATGTTGGCAAGGTTGCATAGAAAAGGGAATGTTCATATATTGTTGGTGGGATTGGAAATTAGTTCAGCCATTGTGGAAAGCAGTATGGAAATTTCTCAAAGAACTAAAAGTAGAATTACTATTTGACCCAGCAATTCCATTACTGCGTATATACCCAAAGGAAAATAAATTGTTCTACCTGCACTTACATGTTTGTTAATAGCACTATTCACTATAGCAAAGACATGGAATCAACCTAAGTGCCCATTGATAATGGATTGGATTAAAAAATTTGGTACGTATACACCATGGAATACCATGCAGCCATAAAAAGAACAAAATCACATTCTTTGCAGCAACATGGATGTAGATGGAGGCCATTATCCTAAGTGAATTAGTACAAAAACATTACAGCAAGTACCACACATTCTCACTTATAAGTGGAAGCTAAATACTGGGTATAGGTGAACATAAAGACAGGAGCAATAGACACTGAGTACTCCAAAAGAGGGGAGGTGGGGAAGAGTTGAAAAACTATGTATTTGGGACTATGTTCATTATTGGGAGGATGGGTTCAGTCGACGCCCAAACCTCAGCATCATGCAATATATCCATGTAACAAACCTGTATGTGTGCCCTCTGAACCTAAAATTAAAAAAAAAAAAACAAAAAACAAAAACACACTAAACAAAGTATAGAATGACTTGGCATGATGACATAAGCCAGCCTCTGTCACTGTCCACCTCAATGCTGGCACAATGGATATATACATAGAGCAGCATGATAGCGGACGTGGAGGCTATACATGAACCCAAAAGAATAGGCTGCTACTGTCCAGGACTGATCTAGTACATCTACATGGGAGTTTCAGTGTGTTTTATTCACTGACCTGGGATCCTATGTAACACTGCATTGAACCAAGGGTATCACTTTTCGGCAAAATGTATACTGCACTGGGTACATCATCATGAGAACTACTGGCCACATTACACAGAACAGTGAAAATTCTCACACTTATGCAAAGAAACCTGTAAGAAAATATTTAGAGCATTGTTGTTTGTAATTATTTTTAAAATTGGAAATGTTGACAGGAGAGTGGATGTGTATCCCAGTCCATACATTTTCAAATATGCACACACAAGAATATTATAGAACTCCTAAAATAAATGAGCTACATGTGCAAATGTAAAAATGGGGAAGAAGCCACAGATCTGATAGAGTAGTGAAATGACGCTGTAAAGACACGGTTCAGTTGAAATGATATGGATGCAATGTGTATTTTAACTCAACATCCACTTCCT